>NC_000010.11:35182800-35487083 GCF_000001405.40 Homo sapiens | reverse complement strand
ACCAGTCAGGTTGGCACAAGGAATACTGACATCCAATATCACATGATCCTTTTCCTCTAGGGGCTAGCGGGTGGCAAAGACAAAAAGGTCGTTTTAAATTCCACAGTATGGTTCTGATGATGAAGAAAGATCCACAGGCTACTCCTATGGGAGCTCACCAAAGCCCCACTCAACCCAGGCTGAGGGATCAAAGAAACCCTCAAGGAGGAAGTGACAGCAGGAGGAGCCTGGAGGACAGAAGAAATCAGCTGTGTGAAAAAGGGAAGGAGAAATCCAGGTGTGAGGCAAGTGGCAGACTTGAGGAAGCAAGTGATTCAGTATGTATGGCGGAAGCACAGAAGTACACAAAGAAGAGAGGAAGTTGGCTGGGAAGGAAGGCAGAGGCTGGATCACGATGGGCCTCATATTCCATGCTAAGATGTTTGAAATTTAACTCTAAAGCAACTGGGGAGCCCTTGAGAAAGGTTAAGGAAGCCAGTGGCACAATCGTATCTGATTCACGGGAAGTCCTGTCAGCTAGCGGCAGCACAGACCAGGGACTAGAGAGGGATAAGGTCAAGGGCAGGGAGTCCAGTCTAGAGGCTGCTGCAGTAACACAAGTGGGGAACTGTGAGTCTGAACTAAGGTGGCAGCAACTGCAATAGGAAATAGTGGTCAGGTTCAAGGCTGGGTAAGAGGTGAAACTGAGTACACCTTGGAATGCCTGGATGCAATGGTGTACTAGTAAATGTTTAACAGTCATCTGTTTAAAAAATGCTCTGATTTGCAGCATTTACCAATTTCCATGGTGTAAATACTCTGATTATGGCTATTTCAAGCCGCCAATATGATGTCACTGAACCTGGAGCTGGGAAGAAATGTATCTCCAGCACCGCTGCCCACCTGTGAGAAGAGGAGAGTCTACGAAAATCCAAAGCCCTCCTTGGCTTAGGGACCTGGGCAGGGTAGAAAATGCAGAAAGTTAACTGGAATTCTTAAGTTCTGTCTGGGACATACTGAGTCAGGGGAACCTACAGCCTTCATTGTAAAGATGTCCAGCAGGCAGCTGAATACGTGGGTTTTGAACAGTACAGAGAAAAATATGGTTAGACACGACAGTTGACATAAATGCCATGAGGAACTGTGTGCAAACCAAAAAGATAAGAGGGTAAACAAGAGACCCTGGGAAATACTACATTAGAGGGACAAATAGAAGTTTATGAAGATGTCTGAGGAGCTTTCAGAAGGGCAGGATTTCTTAGGACCAATTTGCCAAAAGCCAATTCACCAAGTAGCCAATTCTCTGATTATCATGTCACTAAAGAATTCATTAAAGTTACCAAATCTACGTGTTTTTTTTTTTTGTTTTTTTTTTTTTTTGAGACGGAGTCTCGCTCTGTCGCCCAGGCCAGAGTGCAGTGGCACAATCTCGGCTCACTGCAAGCTCCACCTCCCGGATTCACGCCATTCTCCTGCCTCAGCCTCCTGAGTGGCTGGGAATACAGGTGCCCGCCACCACACCCAGCTAATTTTTTGTATTTTTAGTAGAGACGGGGTTTCACCATGTTAGCTAGGATGGTCTCGATCTCCTGACCTCGTGATCCACCCGCCTTGGCCTCCCAAAGTGCTGGGATTACAGGCGTGAGCCACCGCGCCCAGCCCAAATCTACCTATTTTTAAAATTGATTTTTTCTAATTATTTATAAAGCAATTGTTCATTAGAAGCACTTAATTTCAGCAAACTGCCCATCTGAAAACAGAAGGCCAAAAAGTTTTTAAAAAGCACGGAATTCTTGGTGACAGCAAGTGCCACATACATGGGCAATAGCCCAAGAAGAGAAAATGTCCTTAGGTCACTCTACTGCTATGCTCCACAGAATGGCAGGGATAGGAGGAAGATCCCAATGGGAGAGTGGACAGGGAGAGAGGTAGAAATGGCATAGAAGCTTTCACCTGAAGAGAGGTATTGGTTACTTTCCCTTTTTCTATGAGACTCATTTATGTTTACATGTTGAGTAGAAAGATCAAGCATTTAAAGAGAAACTGAAGCAATAAACAGAGGGGTCAGAGTAATTGATGCCCTGATGTTCCAGAAGAGGAAAGGGAATGATATCTAGTGCAAAGGTGACGAGGGAAGATACAGTTCCCTAAGCTAAGTCTGGAACAACCCTGACTTAGGTCAAGTTTCCTTCTACCAGGACAACCAAGGTATGGGAAATCCACTTAGAGGCCTAATGCAATTTCATGGGAATCTTGTTAGCACATCTTCTGAATGAAGTTGGTCTGCACTCTGAGTTCACAAGAAGCAAGAATGAAACCCGAAAGTAAGCCAGCTTTGTTTCTTGTTTTTATAGTACTATGTTTCTTGTTTTTATAGTACTATCAGTGTCTGCAAAACTTGGTTTTGACCCTCTTTTTTCATGGTTCCAAACACCCATCTTCACTACCACTCTCCTTCCTTTGTATTATCCCACCCCTCCCAATGGCTTCCTGCTTCACCAGAGGAAAAAAATGTTTCTTTTGTATCCAGCACACCAAAAACTTACTTCAGTTTTGCCATTACTTTTAATGGCAAAAACTGAAATTACTTTTGCACCAACCTAAATACTAGATGCCTATACTAATTTATTCTTGGAAACGTTTACTTTTCATAAACACATCAAACTTTCAAATCCAGTCAGTGGCTTGCCTAACTAAAGATTCCCAATAACATTAAATCAGCACTATACCTTGCCAAAATTGTTACCTAATCGTTACTGAAGTGTTATCAATTCTCATTTATGAACTTACTATCTTAAACATGTTTGGTTATTTTCTAGTCCATTTAGGATCTTCTCTGAATTAAAGCTTAGCAATTGCCCAAAAAGTTAGGGATAGAATCATGTAGGACTCCAGCATCCTAAAGTAATATCCTGGTCATGATATCATCATTTAACGAGTTTCTCCTGCCACCTTTTTCTATAGGAATCCAATGAAGATGTGTGTTTGCCACATTGTATAAGTTTTATCTTCTCTCTCCTCTGCAGCCAATGCCCAGGGAGGGGGCTGAAAAGAGAGAAAACTCCTAGAAGAAATCCCACACACACCTGGGATGAACCATAAAGATGGTACGATCTACAAGAATAAACTTAGATATGGTTGTTATTATTATAGAGGTGGAAAAAAAAAGAGAAAGAAAACATCTGCACCTACAGTATGGGTTCAATTCAGCTCTCAACTGACACAACAGAGCTAGTTGGTGGTACTTTTATTTAAGGATTATATTTTGCTTTCTTTTACATACTGTCTAAATTAACAAATACTTCTGATCTTATGAGAAATTATGCAAATATCAATTCTAAAAGGAAAATTTCTGACTCTTAGGGCAGAAACTCCCATGACACAATGTATGTAGAAATAATATAGCTGATTGACAAAATGAGGATAGATGCTTCAAATAGGAAATTCTAAAAACATAACACTGCAAAAGAAAAAAATCCCAAGAGAACTACCATTAAACAGTATATGTGTGGGTCACTAAAGGGACTCTATTTCATATTGAAAATTAAATCCTGTGGGAAATCAACACTAGGCGAAGTACCAACATGAGCCTTTTTTACAAAAAGAAACATAAATTAAGGACCTACCGTCCGTCTGAGATTTACTGAGGAATATTGTGCTGGCCCGAGGATGATCTGAAGGATTGAATTCCATGTTCAAATCTTTAAAGAAAGGAAAATAAATTATATGAATAAACCATCTGATAACTAAGAGGAATCAAGATTGACTCAATTATTTTTCAACTTTAAATTGCTAATACATTCAAGGATTCTGGAAACCTATAGCTATTATGTTAATAGATTCTTTTGGTTCAATTCAGAACACTGCTATTTAGAAATATGAAAGTCATACATAAAAATTAGACAGTTGGCTAGACATCTATTAGCCTAAGAAAAACTCCACTTTCTCCTGAAAAAATTCTGCTCTGCACCCAATATACTATAAAATAGCAGGACAGAGTTATGGCATGTGATTAAAGAGAGTTATGTGCTACAACAGATTCATCGAAACATTACAGTCAAGTACATGGTAGTTCCTTATTCAAGGTGATTAAAATAGGAATATCTCAACTCGTTAGGGCGAATCAGCATCCACATACTCTGCTTAATTATTTTCTGAAAAAGCAAAACTTGTCCCTTAGAGCAAAAGCTACACATCGGCCATTTGTGGACCTAATCTGGGCCCCAGACATGTTTTGTTTGATCCCTACTTTTTAAAAAACATTTAAGACAACATATAAAAATCAAGAGATTTCAAACACATAACACACACACACACACACACACACACACACACACACACACACACACACACACCTATTTCCAGCTTCCCTTGAGAAATCAGATCGTTTGGCAACACTGAGCCCCCACCCCAGTGGACACAACTGGCTGAAGCCAAGCAGCTGTGACCCCTTCACAGTGGCTGTGTCCCTTATGGGACATAAGACTCCAGCTCCCCAGTGACCACCCCTCTCTGCTTTACTGGCAGGTCTTCACAAGCATTTGATTTTGCAATCTTAGAACTCTTAGAACAAGCTCCAAGGTCTACAACTTGTCAGGATGGTATAAACAACTTAGAATGCCATCACAGAAGAGTTTTTCCAGTTTAAAAAACAAAAAACAAAAAACTGATTCCATAGAAAATAAGCAAAACAGAAGAATTAAGTTAGGGAAGGAAAGAGATCAAAATTACTGGAAAGCCAGAATGGTCTTCAAACCAACTTAGAGAGTCAGAATAAAACTTCTTGGGTTCAATTATTTCAATAAATTTGCAGAGAAACCTAATCAACACTAAGAAAAACAGAAGGGGCTATCCTTAGTGTTAATAATCAATCAAAGATAAAGTGAAAGAAAGAAAAGGATGGTAAAATAAATATACACTGGAGGCAACACCTAATCACTTATCCACAAAGAGATTTATCCTGAGCAAACTTCTGAAGTGTGGTGATTTTTTTCCTACATCAGCCAATGGCTACTGGGCCAGTTCCTAACTTCTCCCGGAGTACCTGATTAAAGAAACATCTATTGAATCTTAAACAGATGCTACTTCAATTATCTGATCCTTCTTGTATTATATAACTTCTGTTAACATTACACAATAATTTCAGAGTCAAAGCTATTAAGGGGGTTTGATGGAAGGAGAAAGATGGGTGGAAGAGACACTGAATTTTTTGAATTTGCTTCAATTTGAACTACAGTTAGTCAAGAAATTTCATGGTGAAAATGACTCTGCAAGGAGGTTTCCTGCTCAACTAGGATATAAAAGGGGTTAAATAACAAATGCGTTACTAAATGTTTTGAGGGCTTTTGCATATCAAAATGAGGGCAAATATAAAATCCTAACCAGGATGGATGCTTTTAATGTCCAAGAAACTTAACACATAGTCCCCTAGAAAAGCAGCAGTGGAAACACATCATGCATGCAGTTCCCACATGCCAGCAAGGTGACACCAGAAAATCAATCCTTGGCCTCAGACAGCATCTGGACTAGCGACTACTACCTTATTCCCTTCATGCCCAACTGAGACTCATCTACCAGACCAGTTTTCTTTAAGACCCACTTTTATTACTAAAATACATCAGTAGAGGTTTATGGAACACCACAATCAAAAAATGTGAAGCTTTCCTGTTTGGAACCAAAATAACACAAGACTGTCATTTCTTGGAGAATTGAGATCCTGCTCCTAAGTCCAAGAATGTCCTGGAAGACAATCCCCTAACTGCCTGCAGATTGGGGTTCTATGCTGTTATGTTCACAAGCCCTCAAAGTTGTTAATAATGGGGATATCACAGATTCTAAGGGACAGCCTCCAATAATGGGACACTTTTAATAGTAAATAATAGTACTATCATTTGGATGGTGAAATGCTATCATACCATCTAAAAATCACATGAAGAATATTTTATTGACACGGAAACCGATGTACCGTATGTCATTAGGTGACGAAAGCATTATGATACCCTTTTGGGGGAAAATATGTGTAGGCATAGAAAATACATCAAAAGAATATACACCAATATTTGGTTATCTTTGAATAATGTGATTGTTTTCTGAGTTTTATGCACTGTAAACACTTTCATTGGTTTGTTTTTTTGTTTTTGAGATGGGGTCTTGCGCTGTCACCCAGGCTGGAGTGCAGTAGTGCAATCATGGCTCACTGCAGCCTCAATTTCTTGGATTCAAGCGATCCTCCTGCTTCAGCCTCCTGAGGAGCTGAGACTACAGGCATGTACCACAAGCCTGGCTAATTTTTTTATTTTTTGTAGCTACAGAGTCTTACTGTGTTGCCCAGGCTGGTCTCAAGCTCCTGGGCTCAAGTGATCCTCCTGCTTCAGCCTCCCAAAGTGCTGGGGGATTACAGGTATGAGTCACTGTGCCCAGCCTATTGGTTTGCTTTTTTTAACTTTTGTTTAAAAACTACTTGTGAAAACTGATTTGACCCTCTGAGTGGCTGGACTGCCTCTCCAACACAGGGTGGTGTTCCCAGAAGATGCCCTGAAGCTCTCCCTGAATTCAGAGGAGATTCACACAGAGTCACCAAGATGAGTCTCCCCTCGGCAGTGTCCACTGTCATAGAAGCTCAGGGTGAAAACTGACCAGCTCAGAGGCACTCCTGAGCGATGGCACCCTCGCCCTCCACCAGCAGCCCGTGCCTCTCCGCTCCTCCTCAAGAGGGCTGCAGCGAGGAAAGGCGGAATGACCACTTGTTCTCTGTGGGGGAAGCCAAGCAGCAGGATTATGTCTCACACTCTCCCTATGAAAGGTGAGCACCAAGTGGGAGGCTAAGAAAACCCTGTCACGTTTCCTTCATGGCCAAGTTATAACTCTAAGTCTGACAAGAATGCTCCCTGGGCCACAAGTGGTCCCTAATGATGACAGGCCAGGTGTCATCTCTCCCCAGTGCGGTGACACACAGCAAGTGACTTGCAGAGTTCAGAGACTTCAAGACCAGTGTCTGATGTGAAATTCACGGATGAGGTGAATACAGGCCAGATCTTGAAGAAAACTATGGTAATTACAATATGTGTTCTATCATGGGAACTCTACCTCCTTGGGGAACAAAAAAAAAAAGGGGAAAAGCCACCATTCTCAGAAGCCAAGCAAAATGAACCTGCTTTATCACCCTAACTTCACACTGAAGCCAAGCATGACAAACACTGCAATTTTAGCCATGAAGGAAAAAGATCCCCTCATTGCAGAGTCAGGAAAAATGATATCCCCAATGTTTACCATGAGGTAGAATACATCTGGAAGAGCGTAGTGGTTTCAGTTCACCTCTATGATGTTTTTCTTTTTTTTTTATTATTATTATACTTTAAGTTTTAGGGTACATGTGCACATTGTGCAGGTTAGTTACATATGTAAACATGTGCCATGCTGGTGTGCTGCACCCACTAACTCGTCATCTAGCATTAGGTATATCTCCCAATGCTATCCCTCCCCCCCCTCCCCCCACCCCACAACAGTCCCCAGAGTGTGATGTTCCCCTTCCTGTGTCCATGTGTTCTCATTGTTCAATTCCCACCTATGAGTGAGAATATGCGGTGTTTGGTTTTTTGTTCTTGCGATAGTTTACTGAGAATGATGATTTCCAATTTCATCCATGTCCCTACAAAGGACATGAACTCATCATTTTTTATGGCTGCATAGTATTCCATGGTGTATATGTGCCACATTTTCTTAATCCAGTCTATCATTGTTGGACATTTGGGTTGGTTCCAAGTCTTTGCTATTGTGAATAATGCCGCAATAAACATACGTGTGCATGTGCCTTTATAGCAGCATGATTTATAATCCTTTGGGTATATACCCAGTAATGGGATGGCTGGGTCAAATGGTATTTCTAGTTCTAGATCCCTGAGGAATCACCACACTGACTTCCACAATGGTTGAACTAGTTTACAGTCCCACCAACAGTGTAAAAGTGTTCCTATTTCTCCACATCCTCTCCAGCACCTGCTGTTTCCTGACTTTTTAATGATTGCCATTCTAACTGGTGTGAGATGGTATCTCATTGTGGTTTTGATTTGCATTTCTCTGATGGCCAGTGATGGTGAGCATTTTTTCACGTGTTTTTTGGCTGCATAAATGTCTTCTTTTGAGAAGTGTCTGTTCATGTCCTTCACCCACTTTTTGATGCGGTTGTTTTTCTTGTAAATTTGTTTGAGTTCATTGTAGATTCTGGATATTAGCCCTTTGTCAGATGAGTAGGTTGCCTGTTCACTCTGATGGTAGTCTATTTTGCTGTGCAGAAGCTCTTTAGTTTAATTAGATCCCATTTGTCAATTTTGGCTTTTGTTGCCATTGCTTTTGGTGTTTTAGACATGAAGTCCTTGCCCATGCCTATGTCCTGAATGGTATTGCCTAGGTTTTCTTCTAGGGTTTTTATGGTTTTAGATCTCACATTTAAGTCTTTAATCCATCTTGAATTGATTTTTGCATAAGGTGTAAGGAAGGGATCCAGTTTCAGCTTTCTCCATATGGCTAGCCAGTTTTCCCAGCACCATTTATTAAATAGGGAATCCTTTCCCCATAGCTGGTTTTTCTCAGGTTTGTCAAAGATCAGATAGTTGTAGATATGCGGCGTTATTTCTGAGGGCTCTGTTCTGTTCCATTGATCTATATCTCTGTTTTGGTACCAGTACCATGCTGTTTTGGTTACTGTAGCCTTGTAGTATAGTTTGAAGTCAGGTAGTGTGATGCCTCCAGCTTTGTTCTTTTGGCTTAGGATTGACTTGGTGATGCGCGCTCTTTTTTGGTTCCATATGAACTTTAAAGTAGTTTTTTCCAATTCTGTGAAGAAAGGCATTGGTAGCTTGATGGGGATGGCATTGAATCTGTAAATTACCTTGGGCAGTATGGCCATTTTCACGATATTGATTCTTCCTACCCATGAGCATGGAATGTTCTTCCATTTGTTTGTATCCTCTTTTATTTCCTTGAGCAGCAGTTTGTAGTTCTCCTTGAAGAGGTCCTTCACATCCCTTGTAAGTTGGATTCCTAGGTATTTTATTCTCTTTGAAGCAATTGTGAATGGGAGTTCACTCATGATTTGGCTCTCTGTTTGTCTGTTGTTGGTGTATAGGAATGCTTGTGATTTTTGCACATTGATTTTGTATCCTGAGACTTTGCTGAAGTTGCTTATCAGCTTAAGGAGATTTTGGGCTGAGACAATGGGGTTTTCTAGATATACAATCATGTCATCTGCAAACAGGGACAATTTGACTTCCTCTTTTCCTAATTGAATACCCTTTATTTCCTTCTCCTGCCTAACTGACCTGGCCAGAACTTCCAACACTATGTTGAATAGGAGTGGCGAGAGAGGGCATCCCTGTCTTGTGCCAGTTTTCAAAGGGAATGCTTCCAGTTTTTGCCCATTCAGTATGATATTGGCTGTGGGTTTGTCATAGATAGCTCTTATTATTTTGAAATATGTCCCATCAATACCTAATTTATTGAGAGTTTTTAGCATGAAGGGTTGTTGAATTTTGTCAAAGGCCTTCTTTGCATCTATTGAGATAATCACGTGGTTTTTGTCTTTGGCTCTGTTTATATGCTGGATTACATTTATTGATTTGCGTATATTGAACCAGCCTTGCATCCCAGGGATGAAGCCCACTTGATCATGGTGGATAAGCTTTTTGATGTGCTGCTGGATTCAGTTTGCCAGTATTTTATTGAGGATTTTTGCATCAATGTTCATCAAGGATATTGGTCTAAAATTCTCTTTTTTGGTTGTGTCTCTGCCCGGCTTTGGTATCAGAATGATGCTGGCCTCATAAAATGAGTTAGGGAGGATTCCCTCTTTTTCTATTGATTGGAATCGTTTCAGAAGGAAAGGTACCAGTTCCTCTTTGTACCTCTGGTAGAATTTGGCTGTGAATCCATCTGGTCCTGGACTCTTTTTGGTTGGTAAGCTATTGATTATTGCCACAATTTCAGATCCTGTTATTGGTCTATTCAGAGATTCAACTTCTTCCTGGTTTAGTCTTGGGAGAGTCTATGTGTCCAGGAATTTATCCATTTCTTCTAGATTTTCTAGTTTATTTGCATAGAGGTGTTTGTAGTATTCTCTGATGGTAGTTTGTATTTCTGTGGGATTGGTGGTGATATCCCCTTTATCATTTTTTATTGCATCTATTTGATTCTTCTCTCTTTTCTTCTTTATTAGTCTTGCTAGTGGTCTATCAATTTTGTTGATCCTTTCAGAAAACCTGCTCCTGGATTCATTGATTTTTTTGAAGGGTTTTTTGTGTCTCTATTTCCTTCAGTTCTGCTCTGATTTTAGTTATTTCTTGCCTTCTGCTAGCTTTTGAATGTGTTTGCTCTTGCTTTTCTAGTTCTTTTAATTGTGATGTTAGGGTGTCAATTTTGGATCTTTCCTGCTTTCTCTTGTGGGCATTTAGTGCTATAAATTTCCCTCTACACACTGCTTTGAATGCGTCCCAGAGATTCTGGTATGTTGTGTCTTTGTTCTCGTTGGTTTCAAAGAACATCTTTATTTCTGCCTTCATTTCGTTATGTACCCAGTAGTCATTCAGGAGCAGGTTGTTCAGTTTCCATGTAGTTGAACAGTTCTGAGTGAGATTCTTAATCCTGAGTTCTAGTTTGATTGCACTGTGGTCTGAGAGATACTTTGTTATAATTTCTGTTCTTTTACATTTGCTGAGGAGAGCTTTACTTCCAACTATGTGGTCAATTTTGGAATAGGTGTGGTGTGGTGCTGAAAAAAAATGTATGTTCTGTTGATTTGGGGTGGAGAGTTCTGTAGATGTCTATTAGGTCTGCTTGGTGCAGAGCCGAGTTCAATTCCTGGGTATCCTTATTGACTTTCTGTCTCGTTGATCTGTCTAATGTTGACAGTGGGTGTTAAAGTCTCCCATTATTAATGTGTGGGAGTCTAAGTCTCTTTGTAGGTCACTCAGGACTTGCTTTATGAATCTAGGTGCTCCTGTATTGGGTGCATATATATTTAGGACAGTTAGCTCTTCTTGTTGAATTGATCCCTTTACCATTATGTAATGGCCTTGTCTCCTTTGATCTTTGTTGGTTTAAAGTCTGTTTTATCAGAGACTAGGATTGCAACCCCTGCCTTTTTTTGTTTTCCATTTGCTTGGCAGATCTTCCTCCATCCTTTTATTTTGAGCCTATGTGTGTCTCTGCACGTGAGATGGGTTTCCTGAATACAGCACACTGATGGGTCTTGACTCTTTATCCAATTTGCCAGTCTGTGTCTTTTAATTGGAGCATTTAGTCCATTTACATTTAAAGTTAATAGTGTTATGTGTGAATTTGATCCTGTCATTATGATGTTAGCTGGTTATTTTGCTCGTTAGTTGATGCAGTTTCTTCCTAGTCTCGATGGTCTTTACATTTTGGCATGATTTTGCAGCGGCTGGTACCAGTTGTTCCTTTCCATGTTTAGTGCTTCCTTCAGGAGCTCTTTTAGGGCAGGCCTGGTGGTGACAAAATCTCTCAGCATTTGCTTGTCTGTAAAGGATTTTATTTCTCCTTCACTTATGAAGCTTACTTTGGCTGGATATGAAATTCTGGGTTGAAAATTCTTTTCTTTAAGAATGCTGAATATTGGCCCCCACTCTCTTCTGGCTTGTAGGGTTTCTGCCGAGAGATCCGCTGTTAGTCTGATGGGCTTCCCTTTGAGGGTAACCCGACCTTTCTCTCTGGCTGCCCTTAACATTTTTTCCTTCATTTCAACTTCGGTGAATTTGAAAATTATGTGTCTTGGAGTTGCTCTTCTCGAGGAGTATCTTTGTGGCGTTCTCTGTATTTCCTGAATCTGAATGTTGGCCTGCCTTGCTAGATTGGGGAAATTCTCCTGGATAATATCCTGCAGAGTGTTTTCCAACTTGGTTCCATTCTCCCCATCACTTTCAGGTACACCAATCAGATGTAGATTTGGTCTTTTCACATAGTCCCATATTTCTTGGAGGCTTTGCTCCTTTCTTTTTATTCTTTTTTCTCTAAACTTTCCTTCTCGCTTCATTTCATCTTCCATTGCTGATACCCTTTCTTCCAGTTGATCGCATCAGCTCCTGAGGCTTCTGCATTCTTCACGTAGTTCTCGAGCCTTGGTTTTCAGCTCCATCAGCTCCTTTAAGCACTTCTCTGTATTGGTTATTCTAGTTATACATTCTTCTAAATTTTTTTCAAAGTTTTCAACTTCTTTGCTTTTGGTTTGAATGTCCTCCCGTAGCTCAGAGTATTTTGATCGTCTGAAGACTTCTTCTCTCAGCTCGTCAAAGTCATTCTCCGTCCAGCTTTGTTCCGTTGCTGGTGAGGAGCTGCGTTCCTTTGGAGGAGGAGAGGCGCTCTGATTTTTAGAGTTTCCAGTTTTTCTGTTCTGTTTTTTCCCCATCTTTGTGGTTTTATCTACTTTTGGTCTTTGATGATGGTGATGTACAGATGGGTTTTTGGTGTGGATGTCTTTTCTGTTTGTTAGTTTTCCTTCTAACAGACAGGACCCTCAGCTGCAGGTCTGTTGGAGTACCCTGCAGTGTGAGGTGTCAGTGTGCCCCTGCTGGAGGGTGCCTCCCAGTTAGGCTGCTCGGGGGTCAGGGGTCAGGGACCCACTTGAGGAGGCAGTCTGCCCGTTCCCAGATCTCCAGCTGCGTACTGGGAGAACCACTGCTCTCTTCAAAGCTGTCAGACAGGGACATTTAAGTCTGCAGAGGTTACTGCTGTCTTTTTGTTTGTCTGTGCCCTGCCCCCAGAGGTGGAGCCTACAGAGGCACGCAGGCCTCCTTGAGCTGTGGTGGGCTCCACCCAGTTCGAGCTTCCAGGCTGCTGTGTTTACCTAAGCAAGCGTGGGCAATGGTGGGCACCCCTCCCCCAAGCCTCGCTGCCGCCTTGCAGTTTGATCTCAGACTGCTGTGCTAGCAGTCAGCGAGACTCCGTGGGGTAGGACCCTCCAAGCCAGGTGCGGGATATAATCTCGTGGTGCGCCGTTTTTTAAGCCCGTTGGAAAAGCGCAGTATTCGGGTGGGAATGACCCGATTTTCCAGGTGCCGTCCGTCACCCCTTTCTTTGATTAGGAAAGGGAACTCCCTGACCCCTTGCGCTTCCCGAGTGAGGCAATGCCTCGCCCTGCTTCGGCTCGCGCATGGTGCGCGCACCCACTGACCTGCGCTCACTGTCTGGCACTCCCTAGTGAGATGAACCCGGTACCTCAGATGGAAATGCAGAAATCACCCGTCTTCTGCGTCGCTCAGGCTGGGAGCTGTAGACAGGAGCTGTTCCTATTCGGCCATCTTGGCTCCTCCCCCCAAGGAACACATTTTTATGATGTTTTTCAATGACAAAAATTAAAAGTAATAAATTAATGGAATACTGAGCTTAAAATTAGAGATTATAGACAAAATACACTTCACTGCTAAAGTATGCTGACCACTTTGCTGAAGTCAGCTCTAACAGTTTATTATTCATTTTTAAAGTAATAATCTAAACACTAATTGTTCACATGATCCTCCCTCAATCCACCCCAAAATCACATATCCCTCACCCCTCACAAAGCCCCTCTTGGAACTTCACACAGCTGGGCCTCCCTTAGACCCGCCTTTGCAGCGTGCAGAGAGCTCTGACTCTTCCCACCTGCTCCCACCAAGCTCTTGAAATACCTCATGTGCTAACTCACCAAGAAGAAGAAGAACTTATAAAATTTAAATAGTTACTCTACTGGGTGTCATTGTAACACAAACTACTGCCTTACTGAAAGAGTGAAGCCCCACCAGAGCATTTCCATCCCTGAGAAAAGACGACACCACACAGAAGCCGAGAGCTCTGCCACGAGGCAGGTGGGCATGTGGCCGGCCTCCGGGAGGGACAGAGACATGTACGGCCTGGTTTATCCTACACAAAATTACAATTGATTCAGGGAGTCAAGATGAAGTACATGACACATCAGAGTGCAGAACCAGCTAGGGAACAATGAAGAATAAAATATGTGACCCAATCCTGGGAGACACAGAATAGCATGCTTACAAGAGAATAGCTTAAACAAAGCACTGGACTCATAATTTTTTGAGTCAAAAATAAATATTGCTTTTTTTTTCCTAGCAAGGCAATTCCGTTGAATTCAGTTAAATGGACCAACATGCATTGAGTCTCCACTATATGCTAGGTATTATGTTCAATTCTATTCGTATCGAAATACTACTTTGGGGTAGTAACCACTTGTGTCATTAACTTTCCTATTCTACATGACCTATTTCATGGTCATAAGAAAGCATTCTTGGTTTTCAAAGGGCTACAGTCGATTAATGGTGAGACAAAACATGTATTTAGCTGACTTCAAAATGCATCCTATGACATTTCTATCACATTTACCTTCACGATTATACTGTGATAGGATAAATTAGCATTTCATTAGATGTCACGAGTATATACTGAGAGGTTGTCAGGGCCAGTCCATTCTGCCATGGTTTTCATTCATTCATTCATCCATTCATTCAACAAATAATCACTGAGCATCTACTAGGTACTAAGTAATGCTGAGTTACAGGTACTGAGGATACAGAAGTAACGAAAGAGATCAAGTCCCAGCCCTACAAGAGCATCCTTCTAAGTTGAAGGTATAAGGTACTAGAGGAGAAAACAAAAAGAATGAAAAACCCATCAAGACTGACTCTATAACCCACATTCAGAAAGCTGAAAATAAGACTCTCCAGGAGTTCTCGGAATCATTCATTCCCCAAAGAGATGCTCAAACAGTAGAAAAAGAATTACACATTTTAAAATGTAAAAGATCCAGATTTGAATTCACTTTTGCTAGCTCTATGGCCTTGGGCAAATTGTGATACTATTCTGATCTCATTTTCCTTATCTACAAAGTGGGCTAATAACACCTAGCTTCGAGAACTGCTATGACGATTAGGAGTCAGGTACTAGCGCAATGGGCAGGATGTCCACCACACAATAGGGTCCCCAGAAATAATGGGTATTAAAAACATTAAGCCACAGCACTTAGATCAGGGCTAAAGAAACAAAACTCTCAATACATAAATGTTAGGCTTAGAGACACTAAAGATTGTTAAATTTCATTACACAATTTCTGTTCTCTAAGGAGTGCTGGCTTGAAATTGATGTTTAAAAGTTTGGTGTTGCATACTCCTGACTTAGAGTCTCCTACCTCCTAAAAGAATGGCAAGATAATCCATAAATTAACCTGAGGAAGTAATGCTTTAGAGGAAAAGGCAGTTTTAAGGAATGTCATGGAATCCCCTGAGCTGACTTCAATCTAATATTTAGGAAGCAGAGTCTTAGCCTATTTTTTGTTTATGATGTTGATACCTATTAAGACACACAGCTGAATTAAAATATTCAAAGAATGGTTATTCTAAGGGCCTCCTGCCAGACTCTGAGGTGACAACTGAGTGT
The DNA here is from genome assembly GCF_000001405.40 of Homo sapiens. Taxonomy (NCBI): domain Eukaryota; kingdom Metazoa; phylum Chordata; class Mammalia; order Primates; family Hominidae; genus Homo; species Homo sapiens. The sequence continues at coordinate 35,471,672 of NC_000010.11, read as the reverse complement.
TCGGTCACACTGCTTTCAGTCCATGTGTCAGCTGAGCACAAAGTAAAATACAATGCCTTTATTCAAAACTAAAGATAAATCAAACGGCATGTGGCACAGTTTAATTCGGCAGTATTCTCTTATACTGGTCAACCTCATTTTCTTCAGTCTTTTCCACAGATGTCACAGTAACAGTGATCCACAATTGCTCATCTTGGCTTTTAAACCAGCACCAAGTTTACCTTCCAGTGTTATAAAGGATCCAGGTAATAAGATAGTGGCTAAGAAAAGCAGCCATCATAAGCTATCATTAATGGTCTGAAAAACTAGTAAAAAGTAAAGCAGAAAAGCACAGTAAGACCTAAACAGCACTGGATGGAGAGGAGGCGCCAAAGCAAGCCTGTAAAGTCAAACTATCCCCTCCCCCTCGCAAGCCCCTCGCATCCCCCTTTCTCTGCACTGCCACGCCCCAAACTGATAATCACTCCAATAAATCATCTCCACAAGATGGGCTGTCCACTTAGGTCTAGACAGTGTCAGTGAGCAGAGCCCAAAGGAATCAAGGGTTCTGTGATTCCTTGATAGGTTCTGGAACTTCAAGATGCACAGAAAGTGAGTTTCAACTGGGAGGCCAACTGTGGTACAGCCCCACAGTTACCCTCCGAAGACATCACTAGTTCTATTTCCTGTCTTTTGAGCAATATTTGATATGGTTAAAATCTCAAACCCCTAATTTCAATTTTAGGTAGTCACATTTCCAAATCTGGCTATGATGTGGGAGGCAATTATGAAATCAACAAAGCCTGTTAATTTTAAATCAGATTGTTTCTTTTGTTGCTATTATTGTCCCTGCCACTGCCTCACAATCAGTGATTATCTCCATTTGTTAGTGTCAACAGGATGAAATCAGGAGCTGACCAGGCTGGTTTGCTCCAGGAGGCTGTCACCAGGGAAGCCTGAGCCCAGCAGCCCACATCAGCATTCCCACGAGAACAACAGCTCCTGCTGTGGCTGCCGCAGCCAAGTGCTGCTACTGCAGTTCTGGTTAATCCCACCTAAAGCCATCTTTTCTACTCCCACTGACTTCAAGTTTATTTTCTGGACTATCATAACACACTTATATTTAGTTGTTTCCTATTTTCACTCTCTTTCAGCCACTGGTGCCCCTGCAGGTGATCTCCGTGTATGTCTTTGCAAGTGTGTGTCTCTGTGTCCACACGTCTACATGTGTGGGCCTCCAGGGCAGTCTCTCCGCAAGTGGGTTGCTAACTGAATGGATGTGTCTCTGTGTGCAGCTCTCTGTGCACACACATCCAGCCCTCAGTCATCTGCTCTGTTTGTCTGTCTGTCCCTCCATCTCCCTGTCCATCTCTGCATCTCCCCGTTTGCCTCTCCTTCCCTCTGTCGGTCTCTCCACCTGCCTGTCCGTCTTTCCATCGCCCTGTCTGTCTCTCCATCTCCCTGTCTGTCTCTCCAACTCCCTGTCTCTCCATTGCCCTATCTCTGTTTCCCTCTCTGTCTCTCCATCTCCCTGTCTGTCTCTCCACTGCCTTGTCTCCCCATCGCCCTATCTTTCTCTCTCCATCTCCCTGTCTCTCCATCTCTCTGTCTCTCCATTGCCCTATCTCATCTGTCTCTCCATCTCCCTGTCTGTCTCTCCACTGCCCTATCTCCCTGTCTGTCTCTCCATCTCCCTGTCTGTCTCTCCACTGCCCTATCTCCCTGTCTGTCTCTCCATCTCCCTGTCTGTCTCTCCATTGCCCTATCTCCCTGTCTGTCTCTCCACCTCCCTGTCTGTCTCTCCATTGCCCTATCTATCTCCCTGTCTCTCCATCTTCCTGTCTGTCTCTCCATCGCCCTGTCTCTCCATCTCCCTATCTCTCCATCTCCATATCTGTCTCTCCAGTGCCCTATCTCCCTGTCTGTCTCTCCATCTTCCTGTCTCCCCATTTCCCTGTCTCTCCATCTCCCTATCTGTCTCTCCAGTGCCCTATCTCCCTGTCTTCTCCCTGTCTCTCCATCTCCCGTCTGACTCTCCATTGCCCTGTCTGACTCTCCATCTCCCCCTGTCTATCTGTCTCTCCACTGCCCTGTCTGTCTGTCTCTCCATCTCCCTGTCTGTCCATCTCTCCATCTCCCGTTCTGCCTCTCCATCTTCCTCTTTCCAACCCATCTCTCAGTCTCTCTTCTCCTCCTTCTCTTTTCCTAGCTATAACTGTTTCCGTTTTCCCTTCTTCCCTCCCCAGTTCCTCTCTGCTGTCCTATTTCTAATTTTCTATCTTAATGTATCTAATATTCTATCTTAAGATTAATCAAGGAGATAAAGATGCTAATGTTAAGACTAAAGACAGATTATTCTGCCAATACACAGACCAGATAACCTAAAAGCTCTCATGCTACATGCACTTTGTAATGTGAGTTAAAATATAATACAGCCTTTTAAATGCCTATAAGTGTGGCAAGAAAGCAGGGTCAACGGCCTAAGGCCCGAATCAAAGAGAGAACTGAAGTCTGTGGCAGGACAGGGGCTATCCAGTTGTGTGAGCTGGTCTTGGGTTTTGACTAAGGTGACACACATGCGGGTTCACACCAGTGATCTGGCATAATAAAGAATTCTAACCCCCTTTACTCTCAGAAGTATCTTGGTTTGAAGACACTATTATTTTAACGTTCCTGCAGGACAGGATATAACACAGGAGTTGGAACTGACACTTTTACATATAGCTAGAACCCTCAGAGAGCTATGATCTTAGCAAAAACCTGAATTAAGAAAAAGTATCTATGAACCCAAATGAAAAGGAGGCTGGGCTGGCAGGGGGAGCAACTGCCCAATCTCCCAGCAACTGGTAACTGTCAGTCTGTCTGTATCTCTAATGTGGTTTTTGACATTCTACTTTATACATGTAGCCCAGAAAACTCCTGGAAAAGAAATTCACACCAAATTGGCCAAATTATAAACCACTCTAAAGCAGGCTGTCTCCCAGAATTCCACCAGATTATGTCCTCCGATGACAGGCTCACCATCTAAAATGGCAACACACAGGAGGAAAAAATAGTCTCATGACTCTTGAGCAAGAGTCAAGAAACTCAAAAATATCAAGATCAGACCCTCAAAAACTTGAGATAATAAAACTAACTAAAGACCATAGAATGAATTTGTGCACAGTGGTGAAAAACAAAATAAATTTTAAAATAAGGGGGAAAAGATACTCTGAAAAAAATAAAAGGGAGTTTTAAAAAAGAACCATGTTTGTAGGATTCACATAGAGACACACACATATACACACACGTCTATACATGCATGCAAACACAATCACTACAGACTGAATATTTGTGTCCCCCCAAAATTCATACGTTAAATCCTAGCTCCCAGTGTGACAGTATTTGGAGGTGGCACCTCTGGGAGGTGATTGGGTCATGAGGGCAGAGCCCTCACGAATGCGATTAGCGCCCTTATGAAAGAGGCCCCAGAGAGTTTCCTTGCCCCTTTTGCCATGTGAGGTTACACCAAAAAGAAGATGGTCATCTATGAACCGGGAAGCTGACCTTCACCAGATACCAAATCTGCCAGCACCTTGATCTTGAATCTACCAGCTTCCTGAACTGTAAGGAATACATTTCTACGGCTTATAAGCTACTCAGTCTATAATATTTTGTTATAGCAGCCCAAATGGCTAACATGGTCAATGAAATCTACAATTCAATAGATGAGTTAAACTGCAGGTTAGATATTCCTGAATGTAGAACTGGTGACCTGAAAAACAGATCTGAGGAAATCACTTAGAATGGAGCACAGAGAACAGAGTTAGGCATTGTATAGAATGAACTAAGTCCAACTAACAGGGGCTCTACATTCCATAACCACCTAGGATAAAAACTCTCAGCAAATCTTAATCTGATAAAGGCTATCTGCCAAAAACTTACAGCAATCTGTATACTTAACGGTGAAACATCAGACACATTTCTCAAGTCAGGAATGAAACTGGGATCCACCTACTATCAACATTGTATTGGGGGCCCTAGTCAATGCAAAACAACAAGTAAACGTAACATACAAGGAATTTATTGAAATGGAAAGAAACAAAATTATTGTTATTTGCATATAATCCTCTACACAGAAAATATAAGATGGTTTAAAAATCTATTGGTGCTAGACACAAACTGACATATAGAAATCAATTTCATTCCTTTATCCCAGCAATAGTGCTCAACTAAAGGAGCAATGTCATCCTCTTCACCCTAGGGGGTATTCAGCAATGTGTGGAGTTGTCACATGTCAAGTGGCTGCTATTTTTCCACACCAGTGTCCCACACAATGAGAAACTGTACCTCCCAAGGCCAACAGGGTATTCACTGAGAACACTATGGCCCAGAGCAATAAACAATTAGCATACTAATAATGACAATAAAAAATAATCCATTTACTAAGCAATACAAACAAAACATCATTAAATTTAACAAAAGATGTGTAAAGACCTTATATAGATTATAAAAAGCCAAAATACATCTATAATGTATAGAAATACATTCTACTCACGTATATACTCATCTGTACATACAATTATTCACACCTAAACATACCCTGCCCTGTGTCAAGCCATGGGGTGCATGCTGAGCTGGGCACACAGCAGTAAACACAACAGGTATGGCCCCTGCTCACAGAATTATCAATCCTTTTGGAAAGTTTAAAGATTATCACTGTCTGGTCACAGTTCATTTTACAACCTACTTTCATTTTAAGATTTAAAATTCAATTAGCTGGGCATGCTGGTGCAGGCGTCTAGTCCCAACTACTAGGGAGGCTGGGGCAGGAGGATCGCTTGACCCCATGAGTTCAAGGCTGCAGTGGGCTGTGGCTGTGCCACCACATTCCAGCCTGGGTGACAGAGCGAGACCCTGTCTCTATTTAAAAAACACCACAAAACCAAACCTTAAAATTTAGTTGCGGCTTTGCCAGGAACCTTGCTTCACCCTAACACTGCTCCCTTTTGAGCACTCTACTGCTCACTGCCACATTCACCAGAGGCCAGGTAAGGAAAACCATAAAGAGGGTTACGGAAAGTCCAGGTGAGGGTGAGGGACAGCGGGAGCAACAGGATAAATGCTAGTGCCTGTTCCCTTCTGTGTGAGGCTTGATAGAAGCACAGGCACAGGCGGACACACCTGAGAACTCTCTCCAATTCACAACACTGGGACTGGCAAGCTCTCGCTAGCTGCCATACCTGATCATCACCCCTACAGAGCTGGCCTGCTCCTCCAGTCTGGCCTTGTTTCCCGTATCTCTTCACCGCACACTTTCTGCTCCAGCAACTTTGCCACCACACAATCTTCTTTCAGTTTTTCCCAGGCTTGACCAGGCCAGCCCCTCTGCCCTGAATATCCTCTCTAGGGGAAGCCACTGGCTCTCACCTCAAGTGTCAGGCAAACTCCTAAGCCCTGGAAGCCTTCCTGACCCTCCTAGGCTCACTTCCGTGCCTCTCTCCCACTCCCACCAAGCCTGGTACATGCCTGTGTACTTCTTATATCCCTATAACCACTGGTTTGAATGTGTGCCCCCCATACCCCCAAAATGTGTGCTGACTACAGAAATGAGCCGGTAAATTAGTTAAAATGTCTTCTATATGCCACTAAGGAATGGAACTGAATGGACTGCAGAGAGGTATTTCAGATCCAGTCCTCGCTCTCAAGGAGCTTCTTTCCACAGCAAACACAGACACACACACACACACACAGACACACACACACACACACACACTCTCTCTCTCTCTCTCTCTCTCTCTCTCTCTCTTCCCCCTACCCTGCTGATAATCCTGAAGCAAGGCAGAATGCAGTAAGGATCACACATACAGCAATGATAGGCAGTGCTCCAAGTCTAACTGGTGGAGAGATGACTGCACAGAGCAGGTGAGATTTCGACGGGCCTCACGCAGAGCTGGATTTTTATTTGGAGGACTGCTCAGAGGAGGTGCATCTCAGCTAGAAGGAAGAGGACAGGCCAAAGCACATAACGGACAGAGAAAAGCTTATTAGGGAACTGCCAGTAGACACGCAAGGCAAGACAGTTGAAGAAGAAAAGCTGTGGGTAAGGAAAGCATGCAAGGTGGATTCAGGCCACCTTGGAAAGCCCTGGGTGCCAGAACAAGAAGTTGTACTTTTCCTGAGGACAGAGGGACAAACCACTGATGACATCTCAACAGTTCAAATTTGACTGCTGGTGTTTATGTTTAGAAGGATATTCATTAAAAGAAAATGTGAAGGTGAAGTGACAAGTTTAAATTCAGAGAAAGGAGAAGAGAAAAATCATGTATCAGAGAAATATACGTGACGACCTCACTGGGTCCTAGGACGATCAGAGCAACAATGCTGGTTAAAACTATCGGTGCTCGGACCCCAGCACAAAGGCAGGGGCGGGGCGGGGAGGGGCCATCGGTCAGTGAAATCAGTACCACATTAGGACACGAACAGTACTCGCCCTACCATGCATAAAGTCCAAATGTTCAACAGTCATTAACAAATAAGCTGAATAATGAAAGGAACATAAAAGAATGATCAAATGAAATACCTCTTCTCAACAACTTAAGGAAAGAAAAGGAAAAACTGGCAAGGACCAACCATTAACTCAAATGCAAATGAACTCAAAGAAAGAATCTCCTAGCAACCAGCCTCTCCTGAGAGGCATGAATTAGCACTATCAATGGAACGGGAAAAATACCACTTGGATTGCTGATATTTTAATACCCAGCAAATGACTAGGTCTTTTAACTATGGGGCAATATTTATGAAATCTGCTGTTGCAGACAGCTGAAAAGCATATGAAATGACAACACCCTGAAAGCTAGAAAAAAGGCATTTGAGTCCACTATCATTACTCCATTAAACACTCAACAAATATTTATGGAGAATCAACTCGATGTAGGTGTTCCTTAAGAGAAACACGATGGTGAGGCCCTGTGGCCCCCAGGGTTAAAGGCTGGGGGTGGGGCATGAGGCAGACAAGTCAGAGGCTTTTGCCCCAGGTAAGTGCCTCCAGGAAGAATGGGTTAGTTACCCAGGCTAACAAGGGAGCAGGCGAAGGGCATAAGAAGCAAAGTACACCAAAGACACAAGGGTTAATTTAAAAAAAAAAAAAAGCATACTGGGCATTTGAGACGCACCATAAGAAGGGGGAAGCAGTGAGAAAAAATTGGTGAAGGAGTCTGGATTTTTATCCCCAGAGAACCAGGGAGTTACTGAAGGAGTGGAGTGACCAGACCAAATACACACTTTAAAAACACCATTATGACCGCACGCTGGTGAAAAAAATGAGCCCAAGGAGTAAAAGTTGTCAGTTGGGAGCTGTGGTCATCATCCACGTGGGAAAGGGGTTGGAAAAAGTAGATGGATTTGAAGATCTGGAGGAGACGGGATGCACCTGGTAAGTAATGAAAGCTGGAACATGAGGACAAGGAGGCAGATGAGAGTGACAAGCAGTGGTTGACAATGGGGCCATGCACTGGGCTAAGGCACAGAGGAGGGAGCTGGAAGACCCAGTTCGGCGGTGGATATGCTGCTGGGTTTAACCTATCTGTGGGATAACCACAGCCCATCAATCCAATTAAGCCCCATCCACTGACAGCTGTGCCAAATGCCTGACACCGCTCCTCTTTCCCATTTCCTAGAACCTTTTCCTCCAGGCTCAGTAAGATAAAGATAGCCTGTTACCATCTCCAGCTCTAGAGGCAGCAGCTTCCTGCACCTTCTCTGCCCACTGTTACTCTGAAGCTTTAATGCTGGCCAGGCAGGACCTTCCATAATGCAGCTTCTTTGCTGATGATCAGGAAGTAGGTCAATGTCATAAACTTACTTCCCAAATCCAGTTAACAAGTGGTTACTTTCAAGCAAATGATGGTGTAAATTTCAAGCTCTGGAAGTATTTATCATTTGCCTACATCCATAAATTACTGTCAGAGCCTTTGATTTCTTTGCCTCTTCCTTTCTCTCCAAGTTGAGGATGTGCTGCCAAATTTAATAATGAGTTTTAAAACAATTTCCATAAATCTTTTTTTAAAGTTCTGCCTGACAGTTGTTTCCTAAAGTGTTGGTATATGATGTCATTTGTTATCAAATTGTAATCTCTTAGCTTCATTGACTCTTTTTCCTTTTAAACTTGGTGCTTCCAGAGTTTCACTATTTATTACCTTCCACGAGCTTATGCTGCTTTAGAGTTCAGTCACCAAAACATCCTTGACTCTTCCTTCTGTCAGATTCAGTAACTTATATACATATATGCATATACTCTGGATCACCTGAGTTAGCATATTCTACGTCCATTGTTACTGAGGTAACAGATGCTTTCTGAACGTTAACTCTGTGGGTAACCAAGAACACAGGAAGAAACTAATGTTTAGTAAGCATCTACCATGTGCCAGACATGTTTATTTAATCCTCACAGACACTCTCTAAAACAGACATTACTAATCCTATTTTTTAGATGAATAAGGAGAACCAGATAAGGTAAATCATACAAAGTCAGACTCCTAGCACATAGCACAACTATGGTTCCACATCTAGCACATCTGAATGCAGAACCCTAGCTTGAATCCCTCTAGTGAAAGAAGTCACTTCCTTAGAAGCCATGAAGATCAGGAACCTCCATCTGCCAAAAGGCAGTGTCAAGGAGACACACCTTCACTTTCAGTGTACAGAACCTCCATTTACCAGCAGTTTATACTTTCCAAAAGTGCCGCTGCAACCATTTCCCCAAATATCTCTAACTAAGGCCTAACGTAGCTGATACACAATACAATGCTGGGAATGCCAAGATCCCATTGTCCTCTGCTCTGCCTTCCTCACAGCACAGCAGTGCACCCTGCAGAGGCGCTCAATGGAAAGAGCCCTCCTGACAGGGGCACCACCCACACTGAGATCTGGGACACAACTTGTGCAGGCTGTGGGTAGAGGGACGGCTAGTGTTTCTGACCTGGAGTGGTGGGCAGCTTTCCAATCCAGCACCAGCCCCTCTGCTCTGGAATGACCCCTCCACCCGCACACTCTGAGAAGCTGTCACAGAGAGCAGCTGCAGCAGCAGTGAGTGCAAATAAGCAAATAAGACAGGTCCTGGCAGAGAGGTCCTTGCCCTCTGTGTTTCTGAAAGTTCAATCGCTTCCTGTTAGGTTCAGAGTAAGGCTCTTGGTTCCAGCCTCAGCATGGTCTCACTGTCTAGCTAGTTCACCATGGTTTCCTGATTTTCAGAAGAGGATCTTCTCAGATCATAATGGCAAAGCAATACCAGAAGGGTGAGATGAGGGTGAAGATGCAGAGATGCTAAGTGCAGGAAATCTCAAGGAGCAAAATACAGGAGAAAGGGAGCGGATACACTATCCAGTGGCAAGACGGGGTCCTTCTGCCACTGGTGAGCCAGGACTACCGCCATTCCTAAAGAGGCATCAAAACGAGCTCCACCTAACATGGCTGCTTTGAAGAAACACTGTTTCTGTGGATGCAAAGGTGTCACAATGTTACTTTAGTGAAAAACATCAATTTTATTATATTGTGGTAATATTCACATTTAATCATCAAAATTCCTATTTAATCCACTTCCAGAGGTTTATGGCTGACATGTAAAGACTTGATTTTCTAGAGTTAGGATCAAACTCCAGTACTGAATTGAGTGCCTTAGAGTGTGGCCACCATTGAAGCAAATGCCTGGAGATTAGAGGAGCCTGGAATATAACTATATTGAGTGTAAGGAGAGGTGCAAAGAGTGGGATGTGCCGGGAGAAAAAAAAACAGAAAATCCACAGAGAGATTTATTTATGCATTTACGTATGCAGGCTGGACTCAATAACATCAGGGACAAATGAAGATGCTAACACTGAGATACCTCAATAACAAATCAGACATTTCCACTTTCAAACACAAAATCATTCAGTAGACCAAGGGCCCATACTTTGCCATGAATAATACACATAGAAGCCATGAACACTAGAAAAAGGGCAGCAAAAGAGACCTTGGGTTCAAATTTTCATCAAGTGGTCCCAAGTATTCTGAAAAAGATCCCCAAGATGCTGGGGGATGACTCTAAAGAAAGAGTCTTTGCTTGGCCAAGCTTTGGTCGGGTTTCTGAACCTTCTCCTGGGCCCAACTGTGCACTTCCTTATAAACTCCACTTTTAGCAAAGCACCCTGCTAAGTCAGATTAGCAAGAACCCCTGACCCTCGACATCTAATCAAGCTCCTTGTCCTTGATCACCCTCAGGTGATCCTCCCTGTCTGCCTTCAGCAAGAATCCTGTCAGACTGATTTAGCCAGAATTCTCCTTACTCCTGATGTTTCCTCTTAGTAATTTTCCATTCACTAACCACATCCCTTGCTCCTTGGCCATAAATTCCCACTTGCCCATGCTATATTTAGACTTGAACCTAATCTCTTTCCCCCATCACAAAACCCCATTGCTGCAGTCCCTCTACCTATCGAGATGGTCCTTAGTCAAGTTTGCCTTACTGTGCTTTAACAAGACTCATGGAATAATTTTCTCTTTAACACAACCAAACCTCAGGCACAGGATATGGAAAGTGTCATCCTTCAGATCCCCCACTTGCTTCCATAAACAGGAGACCTTCAGCCAGCCCAGTGGTGGGCCTGGGAGCTGTCCATGCCATCGTCTCCTATTTCAGGCCAGCTGGGTGGATCATCAGCCCCTCCCACCCCTGCCCACTGCTCCCCACTCTTCACATCCCTCCCTCAGTTTATAATAAGTGGATGTCCTAGCCCAACCTCCACATACAAGTTCCTTTGATTACAAATACTGTATCCTGTTCATCTTAGACACAGTACAGTGCTTGGCATGGAGCATCACTTATCATCCATGCTCTATAAATGACTGAGTAACAAATAAAACAAGAGAACCTGGGCTAATGAAAGGAGGAAATAACTGAGTGAGGAGTATTATGATACTGTGCCGTGCCATAGGTACTGTGCTGCCACATTCAGGACACTTTAGAAAACCTTATGCAACAGAATAGATAACACATTAAATATGTTCCACGAACATTTCATGCTGATTATTTCCTCTGAGCTCCTGCTAAAGGTATTTTCTTTTTTCTCTTCCATTTGTTCAAATCATATTTATAATAACAGTAGCTTGATGCTTACTGAATGAATGTTATGTGCCAGGCACTGTATCCAGGCATTTCACCTACATAAATTCCAATTTCCACAAAACCTTGAAACTTCTAATAATTATCCTGTGTGTGTGTGTGTGTACATATACAATTCTTCTTCTTCCAATGTGGCCCAGGGAAGCCAAAAGATTGGACACCCATGGTGTAGATGAATGAAGTGATGCTTCTTCCTAGGTATGATGACACTGTTTCAACAAGGTGGGACCCTGAGGGCCAGGGGGCATCACCACTGTGTTTCTCTTATGCAATGCCTACAGTGAGTTGATTCTCAATAACTAAATAGAGATATACGAGAGAGAGAGATTTTTTAAAAGAGGCTCAGAGATGTTAAAGAACATTACTAAGTTCACACAGCTGCCAAGCGGCAGGGAGACACTAGGTCAGGGATATCAGGGAGCTCTACCTGAAACAAAGGCCATTCTTTCCCATGACACCATGCTACCTCACCAAGGAAGAGATGCTGTTAACATCCCCTGCTATTCCACTAGCATGCAATGGAGGTCTTCACAGCTTTTGTATCTGATTTCCAGGCTATCAGATGTTGTTTTAGGCTGCATTTATATCTACCTCAGCCAGTAATCCTTTTTTTCCCTTCCTTTTAATTAGCAAGGGACTGGAAGATCAGTTAGCTGTACTTGTTAGTCCTGGTATAAAGTACTCCCTCCAAGTATGTATTCCCCCCAAGTACCCAACACAAGGAGAGCCCCAAGCAGGTGCTCATCCAGTGCACATCTGATTAAGTAACAGGTATAATAATTATCTGCCCATTCCTCAACCTCCAGGCAAGTCATGATGGTGCAATGAGAGTATGCTCTACAGGGGCTGAGCTGGTGGAGGAGGTGGAACCCGCTACTACTAACCTAGGAGGAGTTCTGAGAAAACTCTGCATCCCCTACCACATTACTTCCTTTGTTTATACCCCTATAAGACAGGGTCCCACCTTGTCAAAACAGGGTGCAGCCCTGTCAAAACAGTGTCATCATGCCTGGGAAGAAGCGTCACTTCATTAGTCTACACAAGGGATGTCCAATCTTTTGGTTTCCCTGGGCCACAATGGAAGAAAAAGAATTGTCTTGGGCCACACATAAAATACAGTAACACTAACAATAGTTGATGAGCAAAAAACAAAACACAAAATGCAAAAAAAGGTCATAATGTTTCAAGAAAGTTTACAAATTTGTGTTGGGCTGCACTCCTGGGCCACATGCGGCCTGCAGGCTGCAGGCTGGACAAGCTTGGTCTATCTACACCTTTGGAAGAGATTCTGTGGCCTCTCAGACAGCAGCGCTGGCCCGGGAGCCTCTTGACTCTCAGCTCTGCCTCTCACGGTGTATCTGCATCACTCCAGATTCAACTAAGAAATCCCATCTGAACAGATTTCCATCTATTTTTACCCTCTTCTGAACTAAAGCTTCATTTTAATCATCAGTTAAAATAAGCTTTTTTACAAAATATGACGTGGGCTTCCCTCCACATGCTAAGCAGAATTTGTTCTCTTCTCTGTGGCTCAGCCTTGAGGTCCTCAGCTGATAGAAGTAGCTTCTGCTTCTCAGGTTTGGTCTTTCTGTCCCCTGCCTCCCTATCTGCCCCTCACTCTCCCTTCCATTTTCTGCTCTGAATCAACTAAGGGCTGAGAAAGGACACTCTCTCGTTCTTTAGAAGTGAATGCAAAGAGGAGCCTGAAGGATCCACCTTGGGAAACAAAGAGCCTTGGTTCCCTGAAAGGGGAAAGACCTGTGATAAAAACGCATGGGCAGGCGTGGGAGCAGTGGTTAAGAGTTTCAGTGCACACAATTCAGGACGGGCTTGGCTCACACCCTCACATGTCCCTGGCATTCTACACAGCTGAGGCTACAGATGCGGAAGGTAAGATTACAGTACTTATTTTGCTTGTCATCTGTCTCTTCCCTCCTCCCACACTGGAATGTAATTTCTGAGGAAAGGGACCGTCTCCTTTGTTCACTGCAAAATCCTCAGTGCCTAAGAGAAAACGCTGGTCAGAAGCTAACCCAGAATGGGAATACTAAGGTGCCACCCTAACCCCGCAACCAGATTCTCAATAAATATTTATTGAATGAGGAATTACTGAATAACATTTCTTATTAAAATTCCTCTTCTATAAACAATATCCTCAGTTCAGAATCTTTACAAACTCTGTATGGGCTGGAACAAGTAAACTGAAAAAAGAGAATTCCAACAAACTGTGGATGCAGGGAGAAAGCTGAGATTCTCTCCACCCTTGGAAGAGGGAAAGGGCCAAGTCATCACATCAACACGTTACAGCTATGCTGCCTTAGGGATCAGCAACTCTGAGGTGCAATGGGTGGGGTCCTTGGGACACTGACATACCCCCAAAGCCCAGTTCCTCTACAGCAGTCAAGCACAAGTATGCAGAAACAGCTTGTAGGAAAACACAAAACACCACTTTTTCCCCCTTTCAGGGAGGAAGGTACTGCTTCCAATTTTCTTTTAAACAAAGAACACGTACATAACATGTCCTGTTCCACATCTTCCCCAACTCAAAAAACAAGGGAGAAGAGAAACCAAAAAGAGGAATAGTTAAAACAACAGAAGGAAAAAAATTCAGAAAGAATCCAACTCATATTTCTGCATTCATGATTTCCCTATAAGAGAATTTAAAAATACAAGTATGGGCTGGGCATGGTGGCTCACGCCTGTAATCCCAGCACTTTGAGAGGCCGAGGCGGGTGGATCACGAGGTCAGATCAAGACCATCCTGGCTAACACGGTGAAACCCTGGTTCTACTAAAAATACAAAAAAAAATTAGCCGGGTGTGGTGGCAGGCGCCTGTAGTCCCAGCTACTCGGGGAGCTGAGGCAGGAGAATGGTGTGAACCTGGGAGGTGAAGCTTGCATTGAGCCGAGACTGTGCCACTGCACTCCAGCTTGGGCGACAGAGTGAGACTCCATCTCAAAAAAAAAAAAATACATCTATGAATTTGGGTTACAGTAGAGTAACTGTGCAGGATCCAACATGGAGATTAAACATATAAATCTGTTTTATGGTACCATTGCAACTGATTTCAAGTAAGGTGCATCTTCTGTCCAGACACAGGAAACACGGAGGGGCAAGGCCTCCCTGGGCTGAGTTCTGCCCATCCAGCAAGAAAGGACGGGCAGGTGTACACACGAGAGAGACCTGTGGACAATATGACCACAAGTAAGAAAGGCAGCACCAGGCTGCGACGGGACTGAAGCAAGGCAGTCATCTGCGGAGACTTTAATGAGGGTGCCATCCTCACTAAAGAGGGAGATTTAGATTGAAAAGAATCAACACTGAAATCACGGCTACATAATCAGAAATTAGCTCAAACAGAATGAAAAGGAGAAAGCACATGAAGAAACTAAGTAAGATTTTTAAAGGTTATACATCAAACATGAAAAAGAACATGTAATTCAGGACAAATACAGTGGAACCAATCTGTAACAAAACTTTGATTGGATGGCTAAACCAAAATGTGAATACTAAGGTAGTTTCCCCCCCGCATTTTCAGAGGAGAATAAAGAGCTGGTTCACTACTTGAATCACATGGCATAATATTAACATGTGACAGAGAAAGCAGAACAATTCAACCTCTTTTTATAGCCATGGATATCCCACAGACTCTTTATTTTTTTGATCCGTGAATGGTGTTCTAGGCCACGTCTCTGATTCCTGACGGCCAAGTTCACAGGCATATCTGCAAGTAAGATAATCACCTACAGTATTTTCCTTTCAGACCTGATATATATTTTAAGGGAAAAAAAATCTAAAATGTATTTCCTACTTCATTCTATAACTTTAAACTGCCCTTCAAACATTCTGGTTCTTGAGAAAGTAGAAAGGCAATATCATAGCCTCTGAGGGTCACCTCAGACACAAGGAAATGTGATGCATAACTAATGATAAAATTTGAGATGCCACTATCAAGGCAGAGCGGTTCTGAATTTAATCAAGTCTGTCGAGCTTTGGAAGGATGGATAATAGGCAACCAGATGGACAAGATTTGCATTCAGAAAAGCTACCCTGGAAGATACAAATGAATGTGCCTCCGAATCCTGTGCAATCAATGATCTGCTGCCCAGCTTAATAAAACCTGAATTAAAACAATCACAAAACCAAAAATGTTTAAACAATCCATTTCACTTATACAGCTGAATCAATAATAAGGCAATTAGCCCAGCACAACAGAAGCTCCATTCTCTTTCTTTTTTGTTCCATGTGAGTGCTCAAGAAGCACATGGCTGCCACATCCAGCTCTGGTCTCAGCTATACTGAGGGAGACAGACACAGAGATGCAATGGGAGCAAGAAGACAGGAAGTATCTCTCCATAACACTGGTGAATGGTGAACACAACTTTACAACCTTGAACACATGTGTGAGTGCAATTACACACACACCAGTACATACAATTGTCACTCTCCTGCAAAACCTGAGCCATTAAGACATGGGGAAAAACATGAGCAGAAAAATACTGGGCTGTGATACTGCAGCAAGGTACCTAAAGTTGACTATTTTAAGTCATCATCACTATAAAAGAAAAATAAAGCTGGGCATGGTGGCTCATGCCTGTAATCCCAACACTTTGGGATGCTAAGGTGGGAGGACTGCTTGAGCCCAGGATTTTGGGGCTTCAGTGAGCTATGATTGTGCCATTACCCTCCAGTTTGGGCAACAGAGTGAGACCCTGTCTTTTTCTTTTTTTAAAAAAAAAAAAAAAAAAAAAGGAAGCATCCCTTGGAGCCATCAGAGGATCACTAAGATTTTCTGATCTGTTAACCACATAAATAATGTTCAATAAAATATGCCAAGAGCCATGGGCGTGGCACTGTGGTCCTGGTTCATGTTCTCTCAAGACCCAGAGAGAAAAGGGGAGAGGAAGGGAAGAGGAGACAGTGAGCACTGAGCCTTATGAATGTTCGGTCATGTCGAAGATCCTGAGGCTCTCAAGGCCACACTGTGCACTTGAGGAAACTAAAACTCAGAGAGGGTCACTTGCCCCAGGTCCCAAGGCCATTGCAAAAGAGCAGAGATTCAGAACCACCACCTCCCACCAAGCCAGCTCACCTGCTGAGCCTCCCTATGCTGGCTCAGTTAACAGTGACCTCATGAAGAGCATTCTCTTCCCTTGTTTGATGGAAGTGGAGGCAGGGCCCTCTAGTAGATTCCCTGTGCTAGAGAACAGGAGTAGAAAAATCCACATTTATCTGTTGTTTTCCTACTGTAATCTGCCAAGTTTGGTAAAATTTGATTTTAAAGGCAGCATTTTTTTCAGCATTCAAAGAAATCCAAGATCAACAATATACTCTTATTTTCTATTTTTAAGCTCCAGTCAATCAATGTGACTAGGCTGAAAATAGGAAATGCTACTTGTTGGCATGATATAATGAACCTGCTCTTTGGGAACAGAGTGTTGTCTGCTATTAGCTTTGATTTCAATGATGGTTTCACCTGGTGAGGGGAGGCAGTATTTTCTTCCACAATTAGAAATGTCCATGTGAGTTAATTAAGATGAAGCCCTTCAATGGTTATTGTATGGAATGGAAGGTACACTGCATTCAGGGAAGGTTTTCAGGTTCATCAGGCCCTCCTGAAAACTCTCTAGGCAAAATCTCTTTCCATTTGGTATTTGCAGCTGGTCACATCACCCTTCTGAGAAGTTACAGTGGGGCAAGGTTTGTTGGAAGTTACTGCCAACTTCCTTCCCAAGCACTCACTGGCCTTCCTCTTACCCTGGCAGAAGCATCTTGGTAAGGAGGACAATTCCACAAGAAAGCCAGGAAGAAAGCTGCTGCCAGAGAGCATACCCGCCTCCAGGCTTACTAAGGATGCTATGCATGCACCACCTCCCCGGGCACCTCATGCAGGGCCCCACTGGCTGGTTAAAGGCAAAGGGCAGGCGAAGCCGCTGAGGTTCACAAAACCCGAAGGAAGCCATCGGACTGACACTTTTAACTGATCCTTCTGGGAGCTATGGAAGATGCTCCTCTGCTGATGGAAAACTTGCTTTCCACCCCTAACTCTACCAGGCTCCAGGTTTTCAAGGGGCAAATGTCAGAGTGCAAAGCTGCATTTCACCCTGGTTGACTTCTGCCTGTGCCACAGTTCCTGGTGGGGGGTTCACAGTCCATTCCAGGTGAACAACCTTTGGTAAACCTGCGCTGAACCGCTACGGCGGAGTCTTTCCTGCAGATCATGTGCCTCTCTTCTGGATGCCTTTGCGTCTTCCAGGACAACAGAAGCTGAAACGGCTTCTATGCTGCTGGACTGTGAAACCCTGGACCTGGGGGCCACCCAGAAGTGACTGTGTCCGAGCTTGACCACTGGTAGTTGCGTGCCGTTGGGCAGGGTACTTAGCTTCCTTATTTCTCACTCAGGTACTGCCAGGATGAACGAGTACAAGATTCCCACCCACACACAGGAAAAGTAAAAGCAGTCAGGGAAATAAGCCATGTGTTCCTCTGGATTCGCCGCCTGTCACAGTACAGTATAGTGTTTTTCAAACTATGAGTTGGAACCTCCAGGAGATTATGAAATCCATTTAGAGGATCATGACTCATCTTTTTTAAAAAATGGAATGAAACAGAAAGTTCAGAATATAACATTATGAAATGCATAAAGACAAATATTGTTTCATGTGTGTTTACCAATAAGAAACCAACTGGATTCAAATATAAATTTTTTTTTTACTATAGGTCTTAGTTTAAAAATTGGCAAATCATGTATATAGCAGTAAAACATCAATATGGTTACTAGAAATATTGCCCAGCTATTTCAATATACAAAGAGCCTTAAAAAAGCCAGATTTTCTTTCACCTACTGATTAAGATTCTTAAAAGTTTCTAATCACTTGAAAGAAGTAATTTAAAGGAGTAAAAAATAAGCCTACCAAATGCTGCCCAACTTAGATATCCAATAAGCAGCTTTTGCTAACTCAAATATTAGTATCATGTATTAATACCTTGTCATACAGTAATTTTGTAGACTGCACCCAAAACTTTTGAGTCATTAGAATGCCTGCTAGGATTCTACCTTGCTGAGATGATCTGATGTTCAGAGGAGGCTTTAGACACAAAGATGTTCATTACCATATTGATTATAAAGGAAAAAGAAAACAACAACCTATATGTCTAGTAATAAAGGACTGAATAAGCGGAAAATTTCCCACATGAAAAATTATGTAGTGATCAAAAATAATAATCAATAGTTTTTATAAACAGTTCAATACATTTGTAATTGGAGAAATACTTCTGTTTATCATGCTAAGTGAAAAATATATAAATTTTATATACAGGACTAGCCACAATGGCTCACATCTGTAATCCCAGCACTTTGGGAGACCAAGGTGGGAAGACTCCTTAAGCCCAGAAGTTTGAGATCAGCCTAGGCAACAAAGCAAGACCCTATCTCTATGAAAAAATTAGTTGGACGCTGTGGCTGAGACAAGAGGAATGCTTGAGCCCAAGAGTTCCAAGTTACAGTGAACGATGATTGTGCCACTGCAGTCCAGCCTGGGCAACACAGCAAGATCCATCTCTAAAAATAAATAATATTTTTTTTAAAATGTTCTAGACAATGTCACCACAATTATATGTCATACAAATTTGGAGGGTATGGGTTTTATTGTTTTGGTGACAGTGGTTTTAGACAAACCCAGCTTTTAAAAAACAGAAGAAATGAGACATAAAAGGTCCACAGTAGTTCTCTTTGTAGGAGACAAGCACAATAGCTTTTTTCCATTTTTTTTTTTTTTTTTTTTTACTTTTCTATAATTTCCAAATTTTCTCTAACAGGTAAATTTTACATCCAAAATGAAGAGAATGATATAACCTTTCCTTTTAAGTATACTGACACATACAGTTTTTCAATTATCATTAAATTTCCAACCTCAAAGGACAAGAATTTTATTCTGAAATGGTGAGAACCTCAGCAGTCACTTAGAGGGAAAGGAAAAGGGGCTAGTATGAACACCATGAAATGGTAAAACAAACAATAAAAATTACACGAGTAAAGGTTAACTCTATTTACCTCTGAATAGGAATACTGTTTCATTCTAAGATAAGCAGGATTATGCTTGGTTTAAGAAAGACCAAACCCAGTATTATTACTGATCTGACAGGAACTAAGAAGCTGTTTGGACATCTGAGTAGGAGTTAAAAAGTTTGTATTTCATTTCTCATTTCTGTAGCATTTAATGACCTGAAAGTATATGCAGAGACCAACAAACAGTCTTAGTTATAGAACAAACTAGTAATTGCAGAAATCACTCCAATCACTTGAGCCTCAAGTGTGGAATGCAGTATAAACTACTGTCTGAAGACATCTTCAACATCACAGTCAACAACTGCAACTTCAATATGTAAAAATCATTATTTACTGTATGTTCTCTGGTACTCAACAGCAAAAAAGGCAGCACTTGCTCCCATATAAATTAATTCAGGTAGGAACAAGAAGAAAATTACTAAGCTAGTAAACAAAATATTAGTCTGACCTTGGCATACATTACTATTTGAACTATTAAAGAATAAAAAAAAAGTGTCATATTAAATACTTCACTATAACACAAAGTTGAAATGAAATTGTGAGTGAAGGAGACTGGCAGAGGACACTGCCAGGCCCAAAGTCACTGCCATTCAAGCCAGTGTGGAATGTGTGGCTCGCCTGGGTGACAGCAGCAGGACAGGCATGCCCTGACCGCTCCCCCTGCCCCTGCCATGCGTGGAGGTGAGGTGGTAATGACCTGCTGGGCTGCACTGTTGTAGAGGGTAAAAGACATGAACCCCGAGCCTGCCCTGGTTAACAGGCCCAGCCCCGTGTGGCCCAGGCACTATGGGGGACTGGCCTCAGGAGGCTCCTGGGCTTGTGGGTGTCCATTCTCAACCCGCCTGGTAACACTGTATTGTTGAGCCTAACCAGCTCTGTCTAGTGCCATACAGAATTGGCCCTCACAAAAGCACCAACAAAAGAGGAACCAAACCAACCAAAACCTGCTCAGAAGTGCTCTGGGTTTCACTCACTCAGCATAGCCTTCAGGCCATACTCAGATATCAAAATAAGCCTTCTGTTCATCACCAACTTTCCAGTCATTTTAAGACGACATGGAAAATGACCCACCCATTCTGGTCAGAGGCACTTGGTAACATTTACAAGTGCCCAAGTATACATGAAGAAAGCTACAGATAATACAGCAAGTTCTGCTCACCAAGCAAAACAACTACACCCAGGCAGTATCAGTCCATGACGGTGCAAATCCCATTTCTTCTTTCCTTCTCTGACTCTTAACTTGTTTTTGTAAAAAAGGGGGAAGAAGTGGGAGAAGATGATTTCACAATTTATATAAACACACATGCTAATTCTGGGTCTTCTTGAAGTACTTATCAGTAGTTCCTTCTCTGATGGGAAATACACATTTATTCTGCCTAACACTCTTCAAAAAATACTAATTTGCATTAGGTATAAAATGTATTTGTTTTAAAGGTACAATAAATAGATAAAGTTTTAAAAACCAAAGAAATTTGAGATCATGGGCACAAAAAACATGCTTCATAAACCAACAAAATAGAGTTTAATTCTAAAACCAAAGGACCTTAAAGCTGAGCCCCACACCCCTTCTTTTAAACAGTCCCAGAGGAAGTAGCTGCTCCAAAGTCACAGGTGCTGGTGACAGGAAGGCTCCCAGCCCACTGCTCCATCACTGTCATTCTCCAAAACAGAGGACAGAGAGAAAGTGAAAAAATTATGTCAAAAATATCTCCCACCGAATTTAAATAAATAGGCATTTCTTATTAAGAAATACTGATACACAAAAGGTAAAAGAGAAAGAAAAAAAAAAAAGAAAAATCTCCTGGTAATACTGGCCTCCCCAAGTGCCCCATGTCCAACATTCAGAAATAAAGATGTAGCTCCACAATGATGGGAACCCGCAAGATGCCCTTCCCAATGTGCCAGCAGCCTCAGAACCACAACCTTTCCATCAGAAGAAACGCTTTATCCCCACTTGGCTGTCAGCTCAAGAAGCTGACAACTCCCAGGCTGTCCCTTAGCAATCAAGCTCTCAGCCCAGAAAACTCCAAAGAGCCTCTAATGCCATCTCCCAACTTCCAAAACCATCCCAGGGAGCACACATCCCCAGCACAATGTCCTACATCCTCCACACACTGCTAAAACCCAGGATGCCACTGCCCTGCAAGGCCTGGTGTTTTAATCTTAACCTCCACCCTCTCCCTGTAAGTCACCAAAAGGACTCCCTGCTCTCAAAGTTGAGCAGCCCTTTTCTGAGCCTCATCTCCTACCTTCCCAACTCACTCCCTGACATCCCAACCCTGTAAATTCTTCCACCCACCAAGACCACAAAGCCCGATTCCACCACCTCTCTGCCACCCCTCCCCCTGCTACATCCTTGCTTTCTTCTCTACCCGACTCAGAGCCACAGCCTTGTAGTCATATTGGCTCCCTGGTGCTCTCACGTGCCACCACGTTCCTCTGCCCTCCAAAGCGCTTTCTGGCAAATCCCAGAGCTGATTAAATCTAACTCCCCATCTCCTCTGCCCCAAGCAGCTGTACACAGCTGGAGGAGATGCAGAATCCTGCTGACTGGTCCCACCGTAAACTCTTGACACCCTACTCAGGTAGGCCCTGAGTGGTGCGAGATAGCATCATTGGAAAGGCCCTTTTTGTCTCTCCCCCAACCTCCAACACTCCCTGGCACTCTCAACTTACTGTCCGTTCAGCTGAGAAGACAGAGGCCAGGAGAAGCACTGCAGCCTTCTTGCCTCCATTGTGCTCACCCTGCCATCTCTGCTCCCTGCACCTCTCTGACCTGTGGTCCCTAAAAAGGTACCTCCCTGGGGCCGGCCCCCCTACTCGGCAATGGATCCCTGCCCCTCCCACCCTCTCTCTCCTGCATCATGCATTTCCCATCAGCACAGGCACGCGTAGTAATTACTCTCATTCCAAAAACCGAACTACAGCTCTCAACCAGCCTCCCCCTCTGCAGCCTTCCCTCTATTTCTTTGCTTCCTGTTCAGCCAGGCTCCTGCGTGCTCCAGTTCCTCCTCCCTGTTCTCTCTGGAACCCTGCCCAGTAGGGCCATTGCTCCCACCCCCAACTCTCCAGCTCTTACCAAGGCCACTGCTAATTCAATGGCCACATCTCAGTCCTTATCTTACTAGAGATGCCCACTTTCTCCTCAAAATGTCTCCCTCGCTGACTGCCGGGACCATCTCTCTCTCTTCACCCCCCTCCCTGCCCCTATCTCTGCCCCTCCTCAGCTCCTTCTCACACACACCTCTGCTGCTTCCTTGTCCCTTCCCTCCTCGCTGCGTGGTGACCTCAGCCACAAGACTGTAATGAATACCCTCAGTATGCCAATGGTTCCCATGCTATTATCTCCAGCACTGACTCCACTGAACTCCCATGCTGCCCGTTCAGCTCCCCTGTTGACTAACATGTAAATCAAAATCAACAGGCTCAAGACCTGTTCCTTCCAGTCTACATCAGTCACTAAGGAGCAACTCCACCCTTCAAGGCCTGCACTCATCCTCCACCCTCGCTATTCCCACCCAATGCAGCCAACCAGCAAATCCCCTGACCTTGCCCCTTGACATGCCTCAGGGTCTAACCCACACTGCACCCCCTGGGGATACTCCATTGTCCATTCTCTCCATAGTTGCCACAGGAATCCTGCCAAAACTGCATTAGGAGCACGTCTGCTCAAACTCCACATTGGCCCCCATTCTAGAGTGCAAAGTACTCACAGTGGCTACAGGACTGGACATGCCCTGCCCCTGCTGCCTCTCTGACCACTCCCCTCCATCCCCCACACTCCCTCTGCCCCTCAAACCCACCAGGCGCATGCCCACTCTGCTGGGAAGGCTCCTTCCCCAAGGAGTCACATGGTTCAGCTCTCATATCCTTCAGGTATCTGAAGGATGTCACCTTACCTAACAGTAACACCATAACATCCCTTTATATAAGCACTGTCCTAATACCTAACACATAGTAGTTACATGGCAGGCACCATTTTAAGAATTTTACACATGCCAATTTATTTAGTACAACTCATATAATAATAATATTACCCTCATGTTACCTATGAGGAAAGAGACATAGAGAAATTAAAGGGCTTGCCAAAGTCACACGGCAAGTAATGGGAATTCGCATTCCAACTCAGGCAGCCTGGCTCCAGAATTTCTGCTACACCGGCCCTACCCATGTCCCCACCCTTAACTTCCTGCTTTGTTTTCTCTCCGGTCTGCTTTGTTCGTGACTGCCCTGGGGCCCCAGATGGTGTCCAACAGAGAGCAGGTACTTGGCCATTACTTGTTGAATGAGTTAAAGAACGATTCAATCACACTGAGCCACCTGTTCCCCTCCAAAGCTGTCATCAATCTGCTGCTGTACAGAAGTCACCAGATCACAATTAAAATGCGAGCCGCTGGTTCCCACAGTGAAGGCGGTCTCCTTCACTGGCTGGAGGATGAGACAGTGACCTGGTGCCAGCTGAGCCAAGGAGCACCAGAACAAGTGGCCTTTCTGATAGCTGAAAACGAATGAGGAGCTACACCATGAACGGCAAAGCACAGCCTCAAACACCTTCATCACGGGAAATGCCAGGGGCAGGCCTACATTTTTTGGTTAAAAGCATATCTTTTGTTTTCCTGCCTGTTATGCCTTTATCAAACTATCTGTGGTTTACAGCCACGTGTTTCAAATTCCAGACCAAGCACAAACATCCGACCTGTGCCAAACAGACTCAGCAAGCCAGAGAACAGAAATCACAGGAAGCCAAGAAACTCCCCAAAGTGTCAGACATGCCCATTATTTCTGGCATTTCATGGCAGAAATGCTACCCTTGGGTTATTACTTATAAATATTTCAAGCTACTGCAATGACACTGCTACTAAACAACACCTCAAACCTCTTGAAATCTTAGAAATTAAGATTGTATTTATATTATTTTAGGGTTTAGCAAGTTTTTCTTAAGAAATGGAAACGTGCAGGTAAAATCAAGAAGTGTGAGAAATGACAGAGATAATGATGATGATGGTCATAATCACCCCACTGTCTCAAGACCACAGTGGTGTTTCCCCATCATCTGCCCCTAAATATAAATAAAAATTGCTCTCTGGCTTACCACGTTATCGCTAGTAAAGCCTCCTGTCTTTTTGAAACATGATTACATTTGAAAGTCCTGCTTACAAAGCCACGTGTTAAACTATGGTTTTTCTAGAATTCAAACTAAACCAGCTTTCTTAGATGGAGTCTCGCTCTGTCACACAGGCTGGAGTGCGGTGGCACGATCTCAGCTCACTGCAAGCTCCGCCTCCCGGGTTCACGCCATTCTCCTGCCTCAGCCTCCTGAGTAGCTGAGACTACAGGCGCCCGCCACCACATCCGGCTAATTTTTTGTACTTTTAGTAGAGACGGGGTTTCACCGTATTAGCCAGGATGGTCTCGATCTCCTGACCTCATGATCCACCCGCCTCAGCCTCCCAAAGTACTGGGATTACAGGCATGAGCCACTGTGCCCAGACCTAAACCACCTTTCTTTAACCTACATGGTAACTATATGTTTTCCAAAATCTGTATAATCAATTTATCTAAAAATTACATTAGAAATTAGGAGACACTAATTTTTAAATCTAGAACTTATCTCGACATGCAATTTTGAAACTGTCAGGAATGAAGAGACAAATTGCTTATTACACTTCCGCTGGAGAACAACGAACAGCCCTGGGATGGTACCCAGAGGGCCATCAGCCCCACAGATCCCACAAGGGGCAAGAGGAGCAACCCAGCACTGTCAGTCTCTGCTCCATCCAGGATCCAGTGAGCCAGTGACAAGGCAGGGTTGGCAACAAGAAGATCATCACTAACCACAAAGACCCTGGCAAAGGGAAGCTGCTCATGAAACACAAACTGGATATGACAGCTTATTACAATTCCTGTCCATGAGTTCATGTCCAAATTCACACTATCCCTGGCAAATCTACACTACCACACTTTTACTAAAAGCAGGGACAGGACAAAGGAACAATTTCTTGCACACAAATGCATTCTGGAGGTCAGTTAATTTAGGACAATTAAGTACTATTTAAATGAAAGAAAATCTATATTTAGTGGGGAAAAAAAACTCCACATTTTTCACTGAGCATGTGTGTCCAGTATCTTCATCAAGGAGAATATTTTAGGCATTTGACATGTAAGTATTTTGAAGAGATTTTTGAACCTCACTGACCTGTTACCTTACTTCTCAGATGATAAAGTATTGTACTGTGGAATCGAACATTTAGTACTATTTTTAAAAGGCTGAAATAGCCATCATTTCCTTCCACCTTTTCTGTTGATCAGCAAACAATCAACAGAGACCAAAATCTGAAAGAACAATTATATTTTAGAAGTTTCCAGTACAGTCCAAGTCCCAAATTTCCTGTGTTTAATCCTCCCGTGAGACAAATAACCACAAAATGTTTAAGGAGGCAGGCAGAGTACTCTGGTTATTTTTAATAGATCTGCCCAACGACTTTTCTTATGAGAGTAAAGGGTGCTAAACGAAGCCTAAAGACCACGAAATATTTAGAAGTAAAAGCACCTACTTACTGTCTGCAACTTACTCTCAAATGGTTCAGAAAAAAAAGTAGTAAGAAAGAAAAAAATGATAAAGCAAATGTGGCACAGTGTTAACACTGGTGATTACAGGTCTACTCCAACTTTAAGTTTGAAATTGTTTCAAAATAAAATGTTAAAGAACAAGTATCAGCAGGATTATTACATAAAAGGATTATTTAAGATATGAACTACTTCCTACACCTACACACATGCTCCACCCCTCCTTCCCTCTGGTTTCCAAACAACCTCCGTCCTTTCCTAGTCAAGATCCTAGGAAAAGTAGTCTCTCACCTCCTACTCCTGGCTCCAAATAGCCTCAAAACATGGCTTCTGTCTCCCTCCCTCAATTAAAACTGTTCTCACCAGAGTCATCAATGACTTCCTACTTCCCAAATCCATCAGCACATTCCAGCTCTAACAGTCTTCCACCCTTCCTGGCAGAAATGCGGACTCCACTCCTGCTTCTCTGCTCAGTCTCTCCATGCAGTCTCTTCCCCTAACCCTTACATTTTGCCCCAGTTCCTGTCAGCCTTCCAGTGCACTGCCTTGAGAAGATTCTGAGGATCCCACAGGCTCCGTGGGAAACAGCAGTAATGGTTTAGTAATGTCTGCATGGGTGGAGAGTGGGAGGCAGAAGAGCAGGGCGGCAGCATGGCTCTACCTGGAACTTGACTTCCTTCTCTAAAGGCTCTCCTTCATGGGTAAACTCATCTCCTCCTTTAATTCCAACTATTTCTAATACCCACCAAAATCTACCTTTTAAGGGACACTCCTCCACTGACTTCCAGACCTACAGTGCCAACCACCCACAAGCAGTTCCATTTACTGTTCCACAGATGTGAACTCTTCTGCCACCAAAACATGCTCTTCTTTCCATAATCCCAAACTGAGTTAATGGCACCACTGATCACCCTGAAGCCAAACCACAAATACTAAAAATTTCCCTGATCTCTACTGTTCCCTCATCCCATATATCCAAATCTATTTGGAAGCTCCTCTCATTTCCATCACTGCTTCCACCACCTTGATTTAAGTCCTCATCATCTGTCGCCCGGACTATTCAATATCCTAGCATCTCTACCTCTCGCCTCCTCCACCCCTACATCCATTCTCCACGTTGCTTTCTTAGGATTACCTTTTCAAAATACAAATCTAATTTCATTTGCAAAAAATTTTAAAACAAAAATTCAGTCATGCACTGCGTAACGTTTTGGTCAACAGACTGCATCAATGACAGTAGTCCCTTGAGCTTATGATGGAGCTGAAAAACTGCTATCACCTAGTGACATCATAATGTAGTGCAACACATCACTCCTGTGTTTGTGATGATGCTGGTGTAAACAAACCTACTGTGCTGCCAGTCAAACAGTTATAGCCAGACACAGTGGCTCACAACTGTAATCCCAGAACTTTGGGAAGCCAAGATGGGTGGATCACTTGAGGTCAGGAGTTCAACACCAGCCAGACCAACATGGTGAAACCCCTTATCTACTCAAAATACAAAAATTAGCTGGGCGTGATGGCGCACACCCATAATCCCAGCTACTTGGGAGGCTGAGGCAGGAGAATAGCTTGAACCCGGGGGGCAGAGGTTGCAGTGAGCCAAGATCACGCACTGCACTCCAGCCTGGATGGCAGAGCAAGACTCCGTCTCCAAAAAAAAAAAAAAAAGCCAAAAAACAGTTAACTGTGAAACAGCCTCAGGCAGGGCCTGCAGGAGGTACCAGAAGAAGGCCTTGCTATCATGGGAGATAACAGCTCCATGAGTGCTGTCACCTCTAAAGCCCTTCAAGTGTGTTGGAAATGGGTATTCAATGTCGCAGAAATCAACCCTAAGACAAAGGATCTCTCAGCAAGGCTAATTTACTTTCTGCAGAAAGGGTGCTACTCGCTAGCAGTTTTGCCAGAGAGCACACACAAAAGAGACAGGGTCATTTATAGTCTGACACGTCCACCCTATGGCTGTGTCCAGTTTCCATTGGCTGGAATGGGACCTCACATTCTGTACTTGTCCTGATTGGCTAGCAACTTAGAACATCCCAAAAGAGACATACATAGAGGAGAACAAAGGAAAGGAGGAAGTAACTTGTGGAATGCTGAGAAAGGCAAAAACACCTCCAAATAAGGAAGAGGAACAGGCTATGACCTAATGCTTTCTTGGGCCTGTACAGGTATGCCAGGGGAAATATCTAGCCTAAAAGATGGGGGCTAAGAACACAAAGTATATTCCTTTCTTTATTACGGCTAGCAGATATTTAAGAATATTAGCACAGGTCTTTGAGTAAATTTTGCTTCTAAGAGAGGCTACTATTTATTCCCAATTAGACTGCGAGGAAAGTCCCTTTGAAGAGGAACCTCTACTTCATTTTCTACAGAGTGGGACAGAGGTGCTGGTGGAAGACAGTGATATTGATGATCCTGACCCTGTGTAGGCCTGGCTAATGTGTGTGTTTGTGTCTTGTTTTTAACAAAAAAGTTTAAAAAGACAATAAAAATTTTAAACCAGAAAACAGCATACAGAGTATGGATATAAAGAAAAAAATATTTCTGTACAGCTATCCAATGTGTTTGTGTTATAACTGTTATTTCAAAAGTCAAAAAGTTTTAAAAATTTAAAGTTTATAAAGTAAAAATGTTACAGCAAGCTAAGATTAATTTATTAGTGAAGAAAAATATTTTGTATCAGTTTAGTGTGGCCTAGGTGTACACTGTTTGCAAAGTCTCTGGTAGTATACACAAATGTTCTAGGCCTTCAGAGTCACTCTCCACCCACTTGCTAACTCACCCAGAGCAACTTCCAGTCCTACAAGCTCCATTCATGGAGATGGTAAACAGGCATACTATTTTTTATCTTCTATACCGTATTGTTACTGTACCTTTTCCATGTTTAGGGATGTTTAGATATACAAGTTCTTAACCACTGTGTTCAAATTACCTAAAGTATTCAGTCCAGTCAGATGCTGTACAAGTTTGTAGCCTAGGAGCAACAGGCTATACTATGCAGCCTACATGTGTAGTAGGTTAGACCATCTAGATTTGTGGGTAAGTACACTCTCTCATGTTCACACAATGACGAAATCACTTAATGAGACATTTCTCAGAAAGCACTTCTTAGAACATACCACCTTCATTAAGTGACACGACTGTATATGAAATAAAGGGAGAAAATAACACAAACCACATCAATAGCCCGTCCCGTAGCCATCCCCAGTAGTTTCTTTATTCATACTCCCAAATTCATTACTCATACTCTATATGTTCCAAACATGAAAATGTCTTCTACTCACCAAATACATCATGCTGTTTCATATCTCAGTATTTCAAACAGTTTTCCCTTAACTAAAAAGTTCTCATCCTACAAGCAAACTCCTACTTGTTTTTAAAAACTATTTTCAAATATCAAGTCTTGCAGGTAGACCACCCTAAACTCCCAACAAAGTACCTCCTATCCAGGCAATTTGTATGAGTCTCCGGTCTCATTATTTCACTACCTTTCAATTATAAAGCCATCTCTCCCACCACACTATGAGCCTGATGCACAGCAGATGGCTAATAAACTGTGAGTTAATTTTATGTCCTTTTAATGACTCACATTGCTTCTGCTTCAAAGTTCTAAGCTTAGCATTCAAGGTTACCTAATTTTCCCTTATTTAGTTCTATTTCTCCAACCACCACCATAAGCCCTTGGAGGGCAACCAGCACTGCCTCAGAGATCTGCATCACTCCAACGCAAACAGGGCCCTACACATCAGGAGTTATGGCAACACTCTGTGGGTCATGCAGGCTAAGTGACATTTCTAGCCAGCCCATGTGTTATACCCAGGTACACTTTCACTATTGCTTTACTAGGACTTTTAAGCTATTATTTAAAATGCAACAATGAATCTAAGTTCTTTCAAATTATGTCATCGTTTTAACTAAAACTATAAATGGGAACTTTTCCTTTCATACAGACTTTACAACAATGGGTATTCTCTTAAGTATGATCATTTTAAATCATACAGCCAAATTTGTTTTCCAGAGAAACACATTTTTATTTTACAATTAATACGTAATTAACTTCATTTAATGAAATGAACTTTATTAAAGACATCTACACCTTAAAATAAGATACACCAGCATGAACTCTTATCAAGTTTATGCTAATAACCTACTGCTTTTTCTTTTCTATTTTCATACAGGGCCTCACTCTGTCACCCAGGCTGGAGTGCAGTGGCACAATCTCAGCTCATGCAACCTCCGTCTTCTGGGCTCAAGCAATCCTCCCACCTCAGCTTCCCAAGTAGCTAGGACTACAGGCACACACCACCATCCCTGGCTATTTCCTTTTTTATTTTTAGTTGAGATGAGGTTTCGCCCATGTTGCCCAGGCCAGTCTCGAACTCCTGAGCTCAAGTGATCCTCCCGCCTCGGCCTCGCAGCCACTGCGCCCAGCCTCCTACCGCTTTTTCCATTGAAAAGCCCAATTGCTAAGCTAAAGCATAGTAATAATAGGGCCCTAAAATTAAGAAAACAAGAAACGTACACAATGCAGATACATAGGAAACTCTGTACCACTCTCTAAGGCCACAAACACTTAACATCAGGGAAAGCTCTTATTCATCTTGTCTCTGTTCCTTCCAAAATGAAAGTCATTTCAAAGAAGACTGCTTCTGCTTCTTTGCTAACAACAGTTTAAAGGCCAACTTGTTCTTGGCTTACAATGGTTCCATTCTGCAACATGGTAAAACAAGGCGGTATTCAGAAGAGGCCAAAACACCTGTCAGTGCTACAGACTCTCCCTGACCCTCATACCACATGGGGCCCCATTCTAGCTCCTTATGGGACTCTTCCTTTCCATTTCAGGCAAATGGAGTCTTATAAGTGGTGCTAACAATATAGAATCACTTCTGAATTGGCAATTGTATACTCTCTCTTCTAGAGAAAAACCCAAAGCAATATAATGGAAATAAGAGCACCCATCCTTAACTTCCCAGGTACACTTGTTAAAACAAAATGATGTGTGAAAAGAGATGTCTTAAAATAGCAATGACACGTGAAAATCTAGACTTCTTTCAGCTCAGTTTATGAGTTAAGACTACCTCTCTTGTAGCATAATTAACAAATGTATGTAATGCTTCTCAGAAGTAAAGATAAGCAGGGACTGGAGTCCCACGTGTGCAATTACACTTCATTCTACTTTGGAAACTGCTCTAGGCTCCGTCCTTTCTGCTGCCCAGAATCACTCTTTCTAGGAGCTGATTCTGAAGTTCTCTCCCACAGGTGATCACCACCACAAAGCTGTGCCCCGGACAGGGGTCTAAAACAGCAGAATACGCTGCAGTGAAGAAAACTTGAAGCTTATTCTGAAGACATCTAGCAAAGAGTCAGCACTAGGAGGGGTGGGAAGCAAGGGTCTGGAGGAGGGTAGGCAGATCCAGGCCAGGCTGTTTTCATAAGCAAAGCTGAAATGGAGCAGCCAGGCCTGTTCTCTTACATCTCATCTACGCTTGCCTCTGAGGTTCAACAGCAGAGTTGAGCAGTTCAGAGACCACTTGGCCCTTTCCAGAGAACCTCTGCTAACCTCTGCTCCAGAGTGGCCAGGGACACAAGGACATGAGAAACAGCACAGGGGTGAGTTCCCTGAGTTTCCTTTCTGCCTCACTTATCTCAGATAAAAGCTGAAGAAGGAGACAATCTGCAAACATGAAGGGTACAGACCAAAGAACACCTGCTCTCTCTGTCCAAAGAACAGAAAGGAGCCTGTCTAGCAAGACAGAACATTTTTAGATAATAACCACTCTACTCCACAGGCGCCAAAAACGACTGTGGCTCCAGTCCCATCCACACCAACAAAGGCTGAGTGTGAGGCCTAAACTTTTGCCATTGTGAAGTGGTAATGAGATGCCCCAACACCTCTAGGTCCAAGAAGGCCAAGTAGGGGGCCAGGACTTTCATCCTCCACTGCCAGTAATAACCAGCTCCCTACACTGCTGCACTATCAATGAAAACAACATGGAGAAGTGAGACTCCCACCAACTATAACAAAGAGCCCCAGCCACATCCCCTCAGTGTCAACAGCGGCTAAGTAAAACCTGAACTTCTGTCTCCACCTGGCAGTAACAAGGGAGTGGCCCACCATCCTCTGCCAGAGCAATGCCATAAGTCAACTAAAACAGAAGGTTTAAATAAGATCCAAAATGTCCAGGAGGTTTCAATTAAAAAAAAAAAAAATCACTCATCCTACCAAGAAGCTAGATCTCAAGCTGTACGAAATGAAGAACATACATGCCAGCACTGAGATGACAGAGATGTTCAAGTTACCTGACAGATTTTAAAGCAGCCATAATAAGACTCTTCAATGAACAAGGACACACACACACACACACACTTGAAACAAAAAAAAAGAGAGAGAGAGAGAAAGAGGCAGCAAAGAAAAAGAGGCTCAGCTCAGCAAACAAATAAAAACTATAAACAAGTACCAAATGGAAATTTTAGAACTGAAAAATATAACAACAGAAGTAAAAAGCTCAGTAGATGTGCTCAACAGCAGAACAGAAGAAAGAATCAGTGAACTGAAAGATGGAACAAAAGAAATTACCCAAACTTAACAATAGAGAGAAATCGAGAAATAGACCAGAATGAAATAAAGCTAATAATAGAGCCACAGGGACTTGTGGGACTGTGAAAAAAGAACTAACATTCTCATCATCAGAGTACCAAGGGAGAAAAGACAGCGGGCAGGGCTTGGAAAGTATATGAAGAAATAACAGCTGAAAAGTTCCCAAATTTGGCAAGAAACAGAAACCCAAGATTCAAAAAGCTAGTTAAACTTTGAAAAACTAAAGACAGAAAAATTCCTCAAAGCAGCCAAAGAAAGATGACACCTACCTATAAGGAAAAAACAATTTGAATGACAGCTGATTGTTCATCAGAAAACAGGAAAAGCCAGAAGAAAGTGGCACGATGCTTGCCAGGGATTGAAAGAAAAGAGGTGACAACCCAGAATCCTGTATCAGCAAAAATATCATTAAGGAATGAAGAGGAAATCAAGATATTTTCATGAAACTAAGAGAAACTGTCACCAGCAGACCTACCCTGAAAGAATGGCTAAACAAAGTTCTCTAAGTGAAAAGGAAATCAAATAAATCAACCTTGGAACATCAGGAAGAAAGGAAGAAGAGGGTGTGTAAAAACAAAGGTAAAATGTAAAAGGCTTTCCTCCTTCTCTTGAATTTTCCAAATTACATTTGACAATTGAAGCAAACAGTGTAACAATGTCTACTGTGGTTCTAAATGTATACAGGAGAAACATTTACGACAATTACATAGCTCCCACATGTACCAAATGACTTGTTATAAACAAAAATATTCACTGAATAATAGTGAAAGATTACAAATAAATGTCCATTAATAGAGGGCTGGTTAACTTAACAATGATACAGCCATACAACAGAATATTATATAACTCTTAAAAAGATGGTTAGGCCAAGCATGATGGCTCATGACTGTAACCTGGGCACTTTGGAAGGCTGAGGCAGGAGGATCACTTGAGCCCAAGAGTTCAAGACTAGCCTGGGAAACATAGTGAGATCTTATCTCTAAAAAAAAAAATTTTTTTTTTAATTAGTCAGGCATGGTGGTGTGCACCTATAATCCCAGCTACTTGGAAGGCTGAGGTGGGAGGACAGCTTTAGCCTGGGAGGCTGAGGCTGTAGTGAGCTGTGATTGCACCACTACACTCCAGCCTGGGAAACAGAAAAGGCCTTGCCTCAGAAAAAAAAAAAAAAAAGAACTCTGAAGATATGTTTTTATGGACAATAAGCAGGGCCACAGCAGTGTCTCCTGGACGCTATCATTTGTATGATGATAAATACGCATGCAGAGACTCTCGAGAGAGAGACACACAGAAGCTGGTAAGAGTATTTGCTGCCAAGCAGAGAACTGGCATCCAGCGATCAGAGTAGGCTGTGGGGTGAAGGGGACAAGTTTTCCTGTACACTATTTTCATTCCTTTCCAGTTTATTATCTATTTAGTATTGTTAATTTTAAAAACTTTTAAAAGAAAGTAAAAAATTCCCAACCCAAAAGCAAGACTTGGAAGGTTTCAGCTAAAGCTAAGGGGAAACAGTAAAACAGTGCTTCCAGGATAGCTAGGTGTTTACATGTATTTAAACATGGCTACAGATTTTATAAAATTCTAGAAAAAAAACCTTTTCTCACTCTATTCATACTAGCTTCATCGAAAAGGTGGTGGTGGTGTTTTTTGGTTTTTTTTTTGAGACAGAGTCTGGCTCTGTCGCCCAGGCTAGAGTGCTGGAGCGTAGTGGTGTGATCTCGGCTCACTGTAACCTCTGCCTCCCCAGCTCAAGCAATACTCCCAACTCATCCTCCCAAGTAGCTGGGACTAAAGGCACATGCCACCATGACTGGTTAATTTTCGTATTTTTTGTAGAGGCAGGTTTTTGCCATGTTACCCAGCTGATCTCGAACTCCTGGGCTTAAGTGATCCTCCCCTCTCCACCTCCCAAAGTGCCTGAAAATGATACTTTAAATAGCCAAATAATAATTTATTGCAAAGTGTTCTATGAATGTTGATCCTAAGGCCACACCTAGGGAAAAATTTGATTTCAAATTATTAGGCCTTTGCCTGAAGACACAGCAAATGTGACATCAGACTCTCAAGGATCCTGGCATTGCAAACCCAGTTCCGTCAAGTGACACTGATATGATTTGGCTCTGTGTCCCCACCCAAATTTCACCTTGAATTGTAATAATCCCCATGTGTCAATGGTGGGGCCGGGTGGAGATAACTGAATCGTGGGGGTGGTTTCCCTCATACTGTTCTCATGATAGTGAGTTCTCACAAGTTCTGATGGTTTTATAAGCGTTTGACATTTCCCCTGCTGTCATTTCTTCTCTTGCCTGCTGACACGTAAGACATGTCTTCCGCCTTCCGCCATGATTGTCAGGCCTCTCCAGCCATGTGGAACTGTGAGTCCATTAAACCTCTTTTTCTTTATAAATTACCCAGTCTCAGGTATATCTTTATTAGCAGTGTGAGAAAAGATTAATACAGTTACCAAATATAAAACTTAAAACTGAATATTATAGATCATGAACCTGTAAACCAAATCACCAACAGAGAAGGAAAAAAAGAAACAGGAAAAAATTAACTCATTTTAAGATTTTTGAAGATTTCATTTTCATCCAACGTACAGATTTCATTTTCATCCAACGTACAGAAGTCAAAGCCACCACCAGTTCTAAAAAGGTAACGTATTTAAGGATCTCAAAGTCATGGAGGAAAAGAGCAACATGTGGGTAAGAGCAAGTGCTGTGCCTCCAGTGTCCTTCCACGAAGCTCTGCCACAAGTCAGAGATCCACAACCCCAGAAACATCATGACCCCCACAACAGCTCTCTCCCTGGAGCAGGGCCCCAAGCTCAGGTGAAACCAGGTCCTACACTGTCAGCCTCCAAAGACTAACTGGAAACCCTTCAACCAACTGCAGGGTAAAGCCAGCAGCAGCAGAAAACCTAACCCCAAGAGCCAGGAGCAAGAGCTTCTGACAAACAGGGAGGGCAGAGGTCACTTTATGCCCAAGATAATCTTTCTAGATACCTGCTGAGGGGTGGGGGACCCATAAGGATCAGCTCACCAGGAAATTGTGAACACTGCATCCCACCACCGCACACACCTTTCTAAAGCCCTGCCTTTCCAAAAGGCGATGTCCAAATCCCTGCTTGGCACTCAGGGTCCCACAAGTCACTCCTGGGCTTCCCTCCTGGCCTTGCCCAGTCCCCATGTCACACTTCCCCATGGCCTGGCTGCTGCTGCTGCCCCACCCCTGCCCAACTCTCCAGCTCCCATGTCTGGGCTTCTCTCTCCACCTGAAACTGTCTCTTGTCCACTATCCAAATTTCATCCCTCTTTCATAACCGAACTTCCTTCCTTTCTGGAACTTCTGCTGACCACCTCCCACCCAGAATTAACTTCCTCCTTCCGAACTACAGGAGGCACTATCCATCGTCACTACTACCATCATAATTAGGAGGAGGAACTTAAACATCTTAGCCATTATCTGTGCCAGATGTTCTCCCATTTAATTCTCACCAATACCTAGCATTTGGTTCCCACAGCAGAGAGGAAGAACCTGAGGCCCAGAGAGATTTAATGAGAGCCTCTGAGCACATGTCCACTGAGTCCTCAACACAAAAGCTTCTGATTGTACCAACAGCTCGCAAGGTCTGTGACTGAAATAGTCTAATATACAAAAGTGTGTAAACAGGTAACCCAGAAAGAACACAGAGCTGTAACGGCAGCTTGACTGTGCCATGTTTTATCTTTAAAATAAAGGTTAAGCATTGTATTGTACAAGACAACGTGTGTGATTATTTTAGTATAGAAATCATCTCTCATATTACTTATCCTCAGGTAGAACCAGTCCTCCACGCAGATGGGCCACACGGGCCTATGAGACAGCCCGATATGACCCACTAGGCCACACTGTTCCCCAAGGGTATGGGGCAGGTTTATTCCACACATTGGGCTTAATCCCTTACAAGGGGCCTTTATGTACATCCTATCTTATTTCAATTTCACAATAAGCCT
Organism: Homo sapiens; assembly: GCF_000001405.40. Classification (NCBI taxonomy): domain Eukaryota; kingdom Metazoa; phylum Chordata; class Mammalia; order Primates; family Hominidae; genus Homo; species Homo sapiens. Next base: position 35,435,327 of record NC_000010.11, on the reverse strand, counting down.
GTCCATAGGTAGAACAGATAGTTATTTCCATTATCTCACAGACAAGGAAACTGATTACCAGGTAAGTGTAAGTGTCTTACCCTGTAGCTACTGAAGGCCCTGGCAGAGATAGGGACCTGGAGCTTCCAACTCCTAGCCTTAAAATCCATGTTTCCAACCATCCTCTTCTGTTTATTGGCCCTGGATAGACACTCTCCCCAGTCATCTCTCAGACTCATGAAATCCACATGTTGATGCCTCAACTCATTGCCCCAATCCAGGTGCAGCCTCTGCAAGGCAGGGGGGCTTTGGGTTTCCTCATTTGCCTCCTCGCCCCCTGCCTTCTTCACCAGTCCATCATCTCACAGCGCTCAGCACAGATCATTCTGTTCTCTGACATTCTCAAAGTAAAAAGGAGTCGAGAAGCAGGAGATACATTAAGTAGAAAGAAAGTATAAGGGGCACAAAGTGAGGAAAGGGGAGAAAAACAGAAGCAATAAATAACTGAGAGAGCAGAAAAGAGTCTTATCCAAGCAGCAGCCCCAGCTGAGAAGGGCAAATGTGCCTAGACATGGGTCAAAAAATACAGTCATTCTCAGAACTGTGATATGAACAAGGCAAACAGGGGAAGTCATTCTGAAAATACCTACTTATTGGTTTCATTCAAAGCATCCCTCTGAATAAAGAGTGATACTTCCTAAGTGGAAAGGAGAGTCTTGCTCTTAAATGTTTTGTAAAAAGTGTTTGACAAAGGATCACTTAAGGGCAAAATTTACACCAAGAAAAACAGAGTTCAAAATTAAACACTTCCCATTTGAAAACTTTTTTAAATACCATTTGTCAAATAATGCAAGTCTCTAAAATCATAAAATCATATATGTGTAGTATTAGTCCCAAAAGTAAGAGCAGGACAAAACTCTCCTGTCCATAGCCAGGCTCTGTCCCTGAGGATGCGCCACTCCACAGTGCGCTCAGCTGGGCACTCCATCAGGGTCATAACGCATTTGTGAGTGGAGAGATTACACAGCCATCACTTTTCCCTGAACCCATCACACCCAAATCCCCATTTCAGACAGAGGGAGACAACATAATTACTCATGGCAATGGGCCAGTCTTTTCCAGACTTACAGCCTTTGTGGGTAAAAACCAAAGCCACAATGAACGTCCACATCTGCATCACATTAGCAATATGGGCCTCATCCGCCTTCATGCTACATGTCACTGGTTTTTAATACCCTAAAGAGAATAAATTAATAGAAGATTATTTTCCAGCAAAGACAATTCACAGGCAGGCTCTTGCTCCCCTTCCCTGTCACTCACAAGTGTGTAAATATGACTGATGAGATTTGTAGCACTTAAGTTCGCATACAAGGAAATACTGCCACTACTAGTCAAATTCCTGTGGTAACATGCATCACTTTCAGAAACAACTATTTCTTAGCCAGGTGCAGTGGCTCACGCCTGTAATCCTAGCACTTTGAGGAGGCCAAGGCAGAAGGATCACCTGAGGTCAGGAGTTCGAGACCAGCCTGGCCAACATGGTGAAACTCTATCTCTACTAAAAATACAAAAAATTAGGCATGGTGGCACGTGCCTGTGGTCCCAGATACTGGGGAGGCTGAGGCAGGAGAACTGCTTGAACCCAGGAGGCGGAGAATGCAGTAAGCCGAGATCGCACCACTGTACTCCAGCCTGGGTGACAAGAGTGAAACTTCATCTCAAAAAACCACTATTTCTTAAGATGGTAGAACCAAGACTAATACATGTATCATACACTAGAAAATCCATGTTTTTATCTTTTTATTTACAATAACTAACATATCTAATTTTTCTACTTTGGAACACTGAACATTATTTTCCACACCTTTTCTTTGATGACTGTTGTGTTATACTATTTGACAAGAACCTGTCAAATAACTACCCTGAAATCTTCTTATGGTACTGAAGGTATGAAAAGAAACCCCAAAATAGAGGTTTTATTAGATAAATAAAAATAAGGCTGAAAAACATTCTAGGACTTGAAAAAAGTAAATTTAAAAGCTGAGAAGAGAGTACAAAGGAAAAATGTATTTTATTTCATTCAAAACGTTTTACAATAGGAGGAGGGAGATAATCAATGAAAAACCCCACCTTAGTTTACAGGTAGTATCTTTTTTATTATTTTTTGTAGAGACAGGGATCTCACTATGTTGCCCAGGCTGGTCTTTAACTCCTGGGTTCAAGGGATCTTCCCACCTCAGCCTCCCAAAGTGCTGGGATTACAGGTATGAGCCACCGTGCCCAGCCTACAGGCAGTATCTTAAAGAGATGTTAACCTCATATGCACATCAAGAATCTGAATGCTCACTCAGCTGGTAAAACCAAGGTGGTAATGCTAATGGCACGTTAGTCTAGTTCAAAATATTTTTTAGTATTCTTAACCACATTCCAGACACATTAAGGATCAAATAAGATGCTGGCAAAAAAGACAGCAAAGGAACACACTGAGCCCTGGGGCACCTTTGCTGTATAATTAAAAGATTTGTTTTGTCTCTTACATTCTAATAATGGATTTTTCCTAGGGAGAACAGAAAAGTTACTTTTCAGAAAACATTTTAATTTCCAAAGTTAACCATAATTAAATTTATGAAACCCAAAATGTGAACTTGTTTTTGTTTTCATATTAAGGAAATTTCAGCTTGTGATCCTAAGCTTTCAGTGGAAGGAACAGATTGTCTCTCTCAATAAGATGGCTGGTGGACAGATATATATGCTCTACCCAACAGCTTATTAGGAAGAAGTACTTAAATATTACAAAATACACAAAAGTATCATACTCTTATACCCAAAGCATAGCACAGTATGTTCAGTTATTAAGTCAAGTGTCATGAAAATTATATGAAGGTCTCACTAAAGTTCAAAGTTTCAGTCAAAGGTAAGCAGTTTGACAGAAATATTGGTCATTTACTTACAAAATCTAGAGAATCCCCATTTATTAGTGCTTACTGAGTATCAGCACTCTTAGGTTCTTTGGTATAATCTCATTTAATCATCTCAACAGTCATCTTAACCACATTAAGAGGTAGCTATCATTATTCTCATTTTACAAATCAAGACACTGAAGTGGAGAGAAATTAAAACACCTTCCCAAAGCAGAACAGCAAGTCACGGAGCCAAGATTCCAACACAGCACTTACAATTCAAATCTAATGATCCTTCCCCTACACTTAGACAATCTGGGTTAGCTTATACTAATAAAAATACGCCACATGAATCAACTATTTAAGTTACTGATATGCAAGATGATTCTCGCACTGACATTCGCTCCATAATATGACCTCCTTATCTTTGCTGGTGCCACTCCTTGACAAGAGAAAATGAACCATAATTTTTCTCAGACACAGAACTGAATACCTTATAAACTTCCATACCAACAAATCCATGATGTCTTTATTTTACAGATGTAAAAACAGAGGATCACAATAGGAGGCTAATCTCTGGTGGTTTAGAGGCTAGGAGAAAAAAACAACAAAAAACTAGGAGGCTAAGTAACCAACCTAAGAAGGCCACACCCTGTGAGTGGTGGAACCGAGGTCTAACGTAGCCTATGAGGCTCCAAGCCTGAGCCTGGGACCCGATGCTTAGGGTGCTTCTTTTTCCCCAACAAAACGAGCATGGCTTTACTGGATTCTGCAGGAAGAACACGTATCAAAACTCTAAAGAATGACAGTTCAGTCAATGAAAACGAAGTTAAAAATACAGCATTCATTTCCAAAGCATTTGACGGACAGATCAGACAGAATTCAAAGGTTAGAGCAATGACAGACTGTGCTACAACCTCAAGAAATGTTTCTCTCTCTCTCCCCCACCACCACACACAGAGTGGTGTGAGGAGGGGGATGAGTGAGTGTGAGAGAGAGAGAGAGAGAGAGAGAGAGAGAGAGAGAGAGAGAGAGAGAGAGAGAGAGGAGGGGAGGGGAGGGGAGGGGAAGGGGGAGGGGGAGGGGGAGGGGGGGAAGATGTGGGGGGAGGAGGGGAAGATGGGAGGAGAGGAGGAGGGGAGGAGTGAAGGATGCTTCCAAGTGTGAGCAATTTCACTTCCAAGATCAAGCATGGGTGGAAAACATTTAAAGAACAGTAATGGAGTAATTTAAATTATGCTTCTCTGAAATTAGCAGGCTTAGTTTATAAACATATTCACCAGAAAGGTTTATGACCAAAGATTAATGTAAGTATTAATTTTTTTTTTTTTTTGAGATGGAGTCTCATTCTGTCACCAGCCTGGAGTGCAGTGGCACAATCCCGGCTCACTGCAACCTCCGTCTCTCAGGTTCAAGCGATTCTCCTACCTCAGCCTCCTGAGTAGCTGGGACTACAGCAGCACACCACCAGGCCCAGCTAATTTTTGTATTTTTAGTAGAGATGGGGTTTCACCATGTTGGCCAGGATGGTCTCGATCTCTTGACCTTGTGATCCACCCGCGGATCGTGATCGGCCTCCCAAAGTGCTGGGATTACAGGCATGAGCCACCACGCCAAGCCGTATTAAATTTTTTTAAAAATTCTATATACGTAACATTTTTTGAAATATCCCTACCACATAAAATTATGCCCACCTACATAGTTATGCTAGTGATACACATGAGCAAAGAAATCTTTTTCTTATTAAATTCTGTTAAATTTCAAATAACCATTATCCTCAATTCCAATGGACATTGAAATAACAGTTAAACTTCCACCCTCAATCCTCTTTTGTTAAGTAGTTAATACTCTACACTACAGTTGTTATTATGTGGTTAATCTATTTCTAAAGTGAAAGATGCCTGTGAAATTCAAATGGTACCTCCTAATTTATCCATTTGATAACCTGATTTTCAGTCACACGATGATCACATTCTCCCTCTTTCCTTTCCCACTCTTCCCTTCACCTGTGTCTTTAAAAAAAATTACCATGAAATTAACTATGGACGAATGTGAAACTCTATGGCAGGATTTCAACATCTCATCACTTTTTTTTTTTTTTTTTTTTTTTTTGAGACGGAGTCTCGCTCTGTCGCCCAGGCTGGAGTGCAGTGGCGGGATCTCGGCTCACTGCAAGCTCCGCCTCCCGGGTTCACGCCATTCTCCTGCCTCAGCCTCCCAAGTAGCTGGGACTACAGGCGCCCGCCACTACGCCCGGCTAATTTTTTGTATTTTTAGTAGAGACGGGGTTTCACCGTTTTAGCCGGGATGGTCTCGATCTCCTGACCTCGTGATCCGCCCGCCTCGGCCTCCCAAAGTGCTGGGATTACAGGCGTGAGCCACCGCGCCCGGCATCTCATCACTTTTTTTTTGTAATGATGAAACTGAGATAAGGAGGGACTTAGGAACAGAACAAATGGGACATGCAAAGTCTTCTATGTTCCAAAGCTGTTCTTTCATTTCATGCTAAATCTGCTACTAACAGAGCCAGTCACTACTGAACTGTAAGTCAAATATTCAAGGTTAGCGGCTGAATAATCAAGGATTATTTCAGAAAATCATACTCCCTAGAAATTTTGCAATTCACTTGTTTAAAAGGCTTTTATTAAACACCTGTTGTAGCAACAACAGAAATTTCTTTTATAATACATGGCCACATACCTAGAAGAGTTTGCAATGTAGATGAAATGACCCAATAACAGCAACCACAAATGCAGCTACCAATTTACCAGTTACTACATACCAGCAACTGAACTAGGGACGTTACAGTACATTACCTGCATACTCCATTTTCACAGCAACCCCATTTTCTCCCTGTTTTACAGATACGTAAACTGAGGTTAAGAGTTTAAATAATTTGCCTACTATCACAAACCCTAGGATGACACATGTCAAATATTTTCAAACTCTTTTGTCTCAGGACTCCTTTATAACTCAAAATTATTGAAGACCCCAAAAAGCTATGGTTTATATGGGTTCTATCTTTTGGTATTTATGAAATTGGAAATTAAAACTGAGAAATTTTAATGATATTTCTTTATTCATTTTAAGATAACAATAGTAAGTTCATTTATGTTATAATAAAACCTATTTCTACAAAAATAACTTTCTCAAAACAAAAACTGGTGAGATGATGCTGTTTTACATTTTTGAAAACCAAATGTCTGGCTTAAGAGAAAACAACTAGGTTCCCCTGTCTGCTTCAGCGTTCAATCTGTTTCAATATGTTGCTTTGATTGAAATACAAGAATATGAAGAAAATCACAAAGTCAAAGAATACACTTCACTACCCAGCCTGGTTAGACTGCTAGGACCTGGTAAGATTCTGGTAGAAGGTGACTAGAAACACATTATTTTTGAGCAAAACGAATTTTTAAAATCCCCAACCAAAACAAATATAACAGGAAAAATTATTACAACTAAATATAATGTGCTTGTTCCTCAAATTGTTTAGGTTAAAAAAGAATACTTGTGCCTTGCCCTAAGTAAGGGGCCCAAAGGCTTGCTGCCCTAGAGTGGGTTCAGGGTACTTTCCCAACTTGGTCTTCCTCCACTGTTCCTGCAGTGCATGCAACCATCATCCCATTGCACAAACCAGAACGCAGCACCCAACACATCTCTAAACCATGTCCTGTCAATGCCACCACCTAAATCTCTCTCAAACACATCACTTCTCTTCACTTCCACCATCTTCCACCTAGACCACAACTCCTCCCCACATATCCAGTCTCAGTCATTCTGATCCACTCTCTGGAGGAGCCTGCCAGCTCTGTCTGTCTACCCCATTCTCTCTCTCTCTCTCTGCCTTCACCCTTACCCCTTGCTTAAACCCCTTCAATGGCTTCTCACTCCTCTAAGTAAAAATACCAAAATTATTAATATAGCCTACACAGCCATGTTTAATCTGCTCCTGCCTACCTCTCAGGGCTCACCCTCATCACGCACACACACATGTGCACGCTCTCTCATTCCAGCCAGACTGGCTTTCCTGCAGTTCCTGGATGGCAACAACACACAGGCCTTCCTTCTACTCCAGAACACCCCCTACCACCACTATACACCCAACCACCCTTCAGGTCTCAGCTCAATCACAGTGTCTTCAGCAAAATCTTCCTGGAGCCCCAGTCGGGATCAGGTTCTCTCTGTTTTAGGCAATCAAGGAACATACCTGCCACTCATTGGGGTGGCTTGATCTCGGTTGTGAATGCCCATCTCTCCCATTAGACTGTAAAGAACACAAGAGCAGTGACAGCATCTGCTTTGTTCCACATTTTAACTCAATGCCTGCTATGCAGTAAATACATAATGAATATCCATTAAATGAATGAAAGGACAGCATAAATCTGACAATGTACATACATATGTATAGGAAACAATGAGTCTATAAAGATAGTCGGTCCAATTTACTTTCCTTCATCTTCACCACTAGGTAATAGCTGGTACTTAACAGAAGGAAGGGGAGGAGTTGGATGTCCTGACTAAGTGGCACCCACCAAGAGCCACCACCAGGCCCAGGTGGGGCTAGATCCAGAACAGAACTTGAGGGGCTAGGATCCTCTCAACTGCTGGCAACTGTCAGCACTTGTTTTGCTGCTCTTTCCTGCAGGGAAGGTTTAACTTCACTCTGCTTTACCAAGAACTCTGATAGGCTCCCACAGACATTGTACTTTGTTTTGGAAAATCTCTGAAGCTGGTTTCAACTTCCTTGTGACCTACGTTATTTATTTACACATATGACCCTGTGGGTCACAGCAAATTTTCCTTCTATATATGTAACATATGTATGTGTGTATCTTAATAAATATTATCACATTGAAATACACACATATTCATTCATATTTATGGAGCACTTAGGTGTCACATGCATTCTTTCAGTTAATTCTTACCACAAGGCTTCGACAAAACAGAGGGTTAGAGGGGATGTGTAACTTAAGTGCCCAAGGTCACAAGCCGGGAGGTGGCACAGCCACCACTCAACCTGGCTGCATATTAGACTCACCTAGGAAGTTTTAAAAAACCGTGACATCTGGGTGCTTCCACAGGAGTGGGATGGACTCAGGCAGGACAGACTGTAAAGCTACTCAGGGGATGGATTCCATGGGCGCTATGCCCAGCCAGGTGGCATTATCTCTAACACCTGCCCAGTTCTTCACTCCAACATTCTCCTGCCTCAATCCATCCAGCTACCAACAACGCTCGACTGACAAAACTCACTCTATCCAAGCACCCCAGGGGCAGCTGGTGCTGCAGCTGACATGGTAGATTTTTCAAAGATCATTAATAAATTCGTGACAGGGTCTGTGGCATTTAATTACTACTTTAAAGCCCCCAAATATTAAAAGGATTTCAGTTCTCCTCTGTATAAGACACAAATATACTTTTAAAAAGTGTACTAATGTGTCTTAGAAATTGTTTCTGATACTGTGGTTCCAACCCTGTGGACCAAGACAGGGAGCCCAGAGGCACAAAGGCTTCTTCTCATTATAATTCAATCTAATAACAATGAATGAACCACAAGGCCTATTGTGATATGCAGGCTGTGGAAATTTCACTCCTTCCTCAGAACAAAACCAAGAGGTCCTTTCAGTCAGTGTTGGCCTATGCAGATTTGCTAATTCAGAATACTGCAACAGTGGGGAAGGGTTTCTGAAAGACTTCTGGCCTCAAGTTAATGTTTTATGTTTTGGACAAAGGGTCTCAGGAATATAGATATTGGCTTTAAAGTCATCACTGGTTCAGCATCAGAGAATTTCCAGATAACTGACAATTTAATGTATCACACTGTCAAAGCAATTTTAATAACATTCTAAAAACGTATTACACACAATCCTGCCTTCCTAAACACAGCATTTTAAGCAGTATTTTGCTTCTTCTTGATGGCCACCCAAAGTCATTGTCCTAAACCCCATGGACGGTATTGATGCAATGCAGTGGCTACTGCCTGCAGTGAACTATGTGCACCAACACTAAACAGAGTTTGAACTGTGGTGTTTTCTGGGGTCTCAGCTTATGTTTCTGTAGTTTTTCTGTCTCCTTCTTCACTATCAGGCCTTCTTAATAACCTGCTGACAGCTGGAAAACTGGACAACACAGCATGTTTGCAGAGAAGGTTTGAGAGCAAAGACCTAAATGCCAGTGTGTGTGTGTTTGTGTGTTTGTGTGTGTGTGTGTGTGAATGGGCATGTATGCTTGTGAATGGGTTGTGAGAATGGGTCATGTGCCTGTGTGTGAATGAGAGCACACGCACATCTGTGTGTGTGTGTGTGTGTGTGTGTGTGTGTGTGTGTGTGTGTGTGTGCGCGTGCTGGACCAGTGAAGGGAGAAGAGGAGCCAGGGTTTAATTTGGACAGGAACCCAGATGGCAGAAGACTGAGTGGGCTCCTTGGTGCTGCTGGCTATGGCCAGGATTCAGAGTCTCCCCCAGGGTGAAAAGGAAGCTGCAGTCCTCTCCTGAAGCCTCTGAGCAGCATAAAGATGGAGAGACTGCCCTCCTAGAAGAGAATTGGGGTCAGAGTTGGTCACTAAGGGCACTGGATGAGTCACTAACAAGGGTAAGTTTTTGTTGTTTAGTTTGTAGTTTTTCTGATTGCAAAAGCAATACATCTAACTAAACATTTATACAGATTTACACAGATGTAAAAGTTAGAAAGCAGAAAGTCCTCCATAGCAAGGTTACATTCCCTCCACAAGGTACACTCGTGCTCCCAACTATTACAACACATTTTTCCAGATTAAATCATTCATTTCTCCCTTGGAGTTCCCACACTACATATGCTATAAACAAACATTGGTGCATTCTTACCATACTGTTCTTTGTTATATATTTTTGGATACCTTTCCATATTCACACTTACAAAATTCATTTTAAGCCATATATAACATCCCACTCTATGAATGTACCATAACTCAACTAATATTCTATTACGGAGTTATAATAAACAATGCTATGATGAATCCCTACCTTTGCAAACATGTATGAGTATTCCTGGGATAAACTCTGTAAAGTGGAAATTCCTAGGTCAAAGCACATGAATAAATTTAAACAGCCGCCTTCCAATCAGGAAGTACCAGTTTACGAGAGCCAATTTTTTAATCTAATACAATACCAATGCAATAATCTTCAGGCCTATCCAAGGCTCCTGATCAAAACAGGAGAAAACAACAAAGAGTAAGTCAAATGAACTATTATCACAAAGTGCTGTGGGAAATGGGAACTGCAAGCCTGAAACCAGTCTTGTTTGGAGGGCAGCGGCTCCAACATCGGCCTGGCAGTTTCTGGGGCAGAGGAACAGTGTGTGTCTCCCGTGCATGCAGGAGGTATGACTATACATGCTCACAGCACAAGTGGAATCTTCATGGCCACTCCTGGGAACACAGCACACAGCAGCAGGACCTCTTTGGAAGCAGCCATTGTACCGGGGTGGGAGCAGGTTCTCAGAGGCAGAAACCATGATTCTGTTTTTGTTTTTAAAACCAGTGCCACCCCTTACATCTTCACTTAGACTCCCCAACCTGGTGTGGCTGGAGGACAGTGTGGATTAGGCATTTCCCTAACACAAACAGGTTCTTGGCAACAGCGTCAGGGACTTTCTAAAGAACACACTGTACACAAGTTTTAAAGCATCGATTTTGTATCTTTATGCGCCTGGCCAGGCACACTTGGGAACACGCCTTGGTTCTCAGCTAGACTTAGGAGTTGCAAGACTAGGCTCTGATCAGGCTATGTGAGAGCTGGGAGACCCTGGCAAGCACTTAATAGTATCAGACATGCCTCCCTGTGTTGATTCTGTGAGCATCAAATGAGATGAGTGAGAAAATACTCTGTAAGCCCCAAGGCAATGCAGAAATGCAGGGGGGTGTTTACTACAATTATTAGAAAATAACGGCTGGGCGCGGTGGCTCACGCCTGTAATCCCAGCACTTTGGGAGGCCGAGGCGGTCAGATCACCTGAGGTCGGCAGTTCGAGACCAGCCTGACCAACATGGAGAAACCCCGTCTCTACTAAAAATATAAACTTAGCCAGGTGTGGTGGCGCATGCCTGTAATCCCAGCTACTTGGGAGGTTGAGGCAGGAGAATCGCTTGAAACCTGGAGGTGGAGGTTGCGGTGAGCCGAGATCACGCCATTGCACTCCAGCCTGGGCAACAAGAGTGAAACTCCGTCTCAAAAAGAAAAGAAAAGAAAAGAAAAAAACATTTGAGAACTTATGCTAGGCTGGGTGCTGTCTGAATGCTCTAAGGTATACTGACTCATTCAATCCTCATAACTACTCTGCAGGAGCTATGATTACTAACTTCTCCCTCTTGACAGATGAGAAACGAGGCTCCGAGAGTCCACACAACTTAGTCAAGTCCCCAGAGCCCCAGGCAGTGTGGCCACAGAGCCAGGCTCTCACCCTCTCTCTGTTCTGCCACCTTGTTACTGGTATGGGAATTACCTCTCCCAACCCCAGCCTCAGTTTCCTCATTTCCATGTTGAGGTGATCGTCTCAGATACTATCTGAAAAACTCTTCTCTAACCCCTATCTTCTTATAATTTCTATTAGGTGAAAAGTAAGTGACCTTCGGATAATTGTAAGCTTATAGGAGTTCGGAATAAGCAAATTTGAGAATTTTCAAAGGATTATGTCTACAAAAGAGTTCTGCTATTTTTAATCACTTACCTAATCTGGTCATAGCCAGCAACCCAGGACTGAGGCAGGTCAAAGTTCTTCTTGGACAAAAGGTTTCTTTGCATGGGTCTCTGAAGGATTCAGTTACTGAAACCAAACTGAGACATCCGCCACCATTCAACAAACCCAGGAGGAAAAATCCCTTAATAAAATGTACAGTGTACCAAAATAACCTGCTGCTTACAACAAACACCCTCAATGTACGTCTCCCCACCCCACCAAAAAAAAAAAGCCTCTTTCAGCAGAATTTTTTTTTTTTTTTGAGACAGGGTCTCCCTCTGTCACTCAGGCTGGAGTGCATTGGTATAATCATGATTCACTGTAGCCTCAACCTCCCTGGGCTCAGGTAATCCGCGGACCTCAGCCTCCCAAGTAGTTGAGAATACAGGTGCGCGTCACCATGCCCAGCTGATTTTTGCATGTTTTGTAGAGACGGGGTTTTGCCACATTGCCCAGCCTGGTCTCGAACACCTAGGCTCAAGCAATCCAACTGCCTCGGCCTCCTGAAGTGTTGACATTACAGGTGTGAGCTACCACACCTGGCCGAAAATTTTTAAATAAATGAAAAAAGACTCTATAAAAAAAAGTGGAAATGAATTAAAGGCAAACATCACACAGACTAAACACCACCAAAGGACAACTAGTCATTTTACTTTAGGAGACTGGGGAGGTGGAGAGTTCAGCATACAAAACACTAGAAATAGATTCACAAATCAAGTGATTTTTCAGTGCTATTAACTAAAGCAGTAACTGTGGTTGATTCAGTACCATCTAACAAAATGTAAAGTCAGTTACAAAGACTGCACTTAAATAAAAGCAAATACTATGTTATTGTGCTCTTAGAGAAAAATTTTATAAAGGCCTTTTACTAGCTAGACAATTAAATGAGTCCATGTTTTTTAGCAATAAAACAAAAAAATCATGAAGGATAAACAGACATCCTAACACGTAACTAATGCTAAAAAGATTTCATTTAAATGGCACAATTCTCTCTATTCCTTTAACTCTTAAATGACAAAAAAATAAGCAAATATAAATAAATAAATCTCTAATGGAATGCTGATTAAGAGACCTCTCTTCTTGGCCTAATCAATTATAAACCAGAATTAACTGACTAAATGTAAACATAAAACAACATATCTTGAAAGTCTATAACAGCTTTCAACTTTTTAAATTACAAGCACAATAACTGCCATTTTCTGATTGCCTTTATGTGTCAAGTACCTTGCTACTTACTCACATTTAATCTTCTCAAATGCCCACGAGTCAGCTCATACTACAAGACAGGGAAACGCAGGTCAGAGAGGTTACAGAGCTTAGACAAGGCCACACAATCAGTCATGCACTGCAGCCAGGAGCTCGGATCTAATGCTAAGTCCAATGCTTTTTTCAAAACACAACTGCCTATATAGAATTGTAGCTGAATATCATATGAAAAAGCTAACTCATCCCGGGATCAAGGAGGCCACATAGAAGATTCCAGACAGCTGAGGTGCCACGAGCCAGCAAGAATATAGAATAATGTTTTATTGACGACTGTAGGTTTTAAATTTAAATTTTAAAAAAATTTTAAAAGAATAGAAAGGTGTAAAATTAGATGGAAAAATGAGTCAAAAATATTTATAGAATACAAAATAAGTCAAAAAAATGTTTTAAAAAGAATATAGAATAGCATTTAAGAGTGCAGGCTCAGGAGCCAGCTTTTCTGACTTCAACCCTGACTCCTCCACTTGGCACCCTGATGACTGTGGGGCAGTGACTTTCTCTGTGCTTCAGTTTCCCCTCTGCAAAATGGAGATGAGTATCCACCTAAGATTGTTACGGAGACTGAATTAAAATTCACCCAACACTGAGAACCATATCTGGCCCACAGAAATTACTGTATTTATATTTACTGTCAAGAGAAACCTCTGAAGAGAAAGCAGAATGACTAGATTCAGATCTAACAGGCCTGGATATAAGAGCAAGGGCAGAAAACAGGAAAGTAAGTGAAAACAAGCAGGATGAGCTGTAGGGAACGGCATCCTGGAGGAAAACAAGTGACTCAGCTCAAGAAAATGGGAGTCCATCACAGACTCCAGTCAGCAGGGCCAGCTAGAAGAGCACCAGGCAACACGGACAAAAGCCAGAGAGGCATGAAACTGTCCCTGACAAAAGCCACCCGACGCTTCTAAATACCAAATGAAGGCAAAATAAAATTACTTGGTCTTAAATTGGAGGTGAGAAAATGAAGGCAGACCAGCAAGCTCTGTGTTCCCTGGGTCGGGGGTTCTAGAATAACAGAAACAGAGCACCTGCCCAGGACTGGAAGGCACTGATCCAGTGAACCCGCGTCAAGCTGACCATCAGGAGACTGGAGTTAGGATCCACATAGTTAGAGAGAGAGTGGTGCCAAGCACCCATGATAAACCGTGCCTCTGAACTTCCTGCAGCACAGAGACGGGAGCTCATGTGGAAGAGAAGGTAACAAAAGGGCCCTGAAACCAGGAATGAATTTAACAAAGAAATTCCCTCTCCTTTTACACTTGGCCTAGAAAGGTGATCCAGGAACAACACCTGAGTGGGCTTCTCCAGAAGCGGCCTGTCCAACCCGTGTGGCCGTCCTCAGCCAGGTCCTTTGAACCTCGTCCTACACCCAAAATCCCACCCCAAAGCAGAGCCGGCACTGGCATAGGTGCACACAGCCTGACTTCAAACAGGCCTATCCACTGGGCTGGCTGTGTGACTAACAAATAAATGTTAAGTACGCAAATTTACACTTGGCCATGACTTGCTCAAAATTGGCTTAAAATGCTGCAGGGTATGATTCTGAATCAGTAAACAACAATACATTTTTCACTTCAGTCAGCCAAACACAGAGTTCAAATAAGATTTTGAAATTAGAATTCAGACTCATTGCCATTTAGGCTGTGAATTAACAGTTAAAAATTAGTCTCCGTTCACATTCAGCTTAGGTTTGATGAGCAAAACTGCCAAAAGAAAGCATCTGTTTTTGCGGTTTGAAAACATATTTGCTTTAAAAAAGTTTACTTCATATTCAGTCCCTACTTTTTAGGTGAGAGTCTGATTTTGTTTTCCAGTGAGATTCTGGTGTGAGATTGCGACTTCCTCATGAATTGGTCATTGGGAACTGGGTAAGGTGATCCTAGATCCCACAGTGCACTCTCCAGAATCCCCATCAGGTGCTGAGTTGCTGAGTTGCACAAACATGTTCATCTCAAACTGAAGATATGCAGAAAGAGTAGTTGCAAAGTCACTGAAAAGCTACCTGTGCCAAATCAGAGACCCCAAAATATCACAGCAGCTTCACATTTTCATGAGAAACAAGAGGGCACAAGTGAGAGAGAGCCAGGAAAACCCAGGTGGGCCTGGTTTCTAGGGCTCGCTGCTTTTAGGGCCACTGGGGTCGGATCCCACTCCACCTCCACTGCTCACCAAAGCAAACAACATCAACTTTACCAAATATTCCTCTTGCTACAGAGCAAGACATGATTCATTCAGTATCACTATATCCTCCCACACACAAACAAAGGATGCACCATGATCCAGATTTCTTTAGGAAATTAGCAGCTTAATGAAAACTTCTTGAACTTATATACATGATGATTCTTCCACTATTTTATCTGTAAAAGATAGTCACAGGAAAAATCAGGCAAGCACAGACATAGGACCTAAATTAAGAACAATAGAAAATTAAGAACAGGAGTCAGCAAAACTTTTCATGTAGAGAAAAAACTAGATAAGAAAGAAACCATCTGCAGGACCAAAGGGCACCATTTATTTTGAACTGTACTAAAAAAAAAAAAAAAAAAAATTACAGCCATATCTATTTCTTCTTTTAATTATAAAGTTTGCCTAGAAATTAGTAATCTGTCAGCCTATTTCCTAATTTCAGCAGTCACAATGCTGTATGAATGACCTAAAAGTATCAAAACCTAAAGTATTATATACCACACACACACACATAAATGCACACATATATTTACGTAAACGTATATAAAGAGAGACATGAGATAAAGCAGTTAAAATCAATCTGTAGGACTAATTGAGTTGTATATCAAATGAGTTGATATGCAACTAAAATGAGCTGTATATCTAATGGGGTTTAGTTTTGAATTATCTCCAAATTAGCTATCCAATAACTTCCTCAGACCGATAACTTATCACCTTAAAAATCCTCCAGATTGCTAAAAAAAAAAAAAAAGGAACGGTCTAATGCAACCCAGTCCTTCCCTCATGGTCCATGGCCACCACCCTAGCACATACCCTGGGTCATACCTGGATTACTTTTTCTCCCGTCAGCCTTCCTACCACCTTTCTCTTTCTACCTCGGATCCAACCTGTGCCATTCTGCCAGGGTTTCAATACCTCTAAAACACTTCCTTCATACCATTTCTTTGCTTAAAATTTTTAATGCTCAAAGGATAAGCCCAAATTCCTTCACATCAAACCACATTAGAGATGCTTCACAATAAACTTCAACCTACTTTTTAATTAACTGTTCTTCAAGAATTCCCAAATAATAGTAATACAATTGAGCACCCACAGTATGTCAAAATAGTATCCTAACTACTTCACATGCATTAATTCATAAGGACAATAGGACATAAATACTATTATATCCCACCCGGGTGCGGTGGCTCATGCCTATAATCTCAGCACTTTGGGAGGCGGGTTGATCACGAGGTCAGGAATTCAAGACCAGCCTGGCCAACATGGTGAAACCCCATCTCTACTAAAAATACAAAAATTAGCTGGGTGTGGTGGCGCGTGCCTATAATCCCAGCTACTCGGGAGGCTGAGGCACAAGAATTGCTTGAACCCAGGAGGCGGAGGTTGCAGTGAGCAGAGATAGCGCCACTGCACTCCAGCCTGGTGACAGAGAGATTAAAAAAAAAAAAACTACTATTATATCCCCATTCTACAGATGAAGAAACTGAGCACAGCAGAGTGAAAGAAACCGCCTACATCACACCTCACATGAGCAAGCAACAGGGCCAGGGTTCATACCAGGCATTCTGACTCCAGAGCCTCACTGGGAATTGCTAGGCTGTGCTCGCTCTACCTCCACTGTCCCCCACATACGCCCCCTACACTTGAGCACCCTCTACTCTGAGCAACGGAGGCATATTCTCAGTTACCGCTTACCCCATCTGTTATCATTGTTATGGGGCACCACGACCACACCACCTGAATGCACAGGAGAGGGCCTGTGGACAAGAGGACACATTTAATTCTGTCCGTAGGACATGGCTCCCACTGCTTCATAGATGAAAACTGATTGCCCAATTTCTCCATAGGCTCAAGCAAGGGCATGTTTTTTTCTATCTTGTTCTCTCCATCTTCCCTCCTGGTAGAAGAGAGCTTTGCAGTACAGGTTTCCTTGAGAAAGTGTGGTGATCAAGCCGGGGGTGGGGGTTTCTCAGCCTTTTCATTCCTCCACCCCCGGCTACAGGCAGACACAGCTACACATTTGGTGTAGAAAAAGCTCACTAAACTCTCCATCCAGGTCACTGAAGAAAGTTTCCTACTTCCCTGCTCCCTGCTGTTGATATTCACAAGCCCTGATATAAAAGAGAGCATTTAGGCAGTTCTGTTATATAAACTCTCAGCCCTTCACTAAAATTGAAGCTAAATGATTCAGTTTCTACTTTGCAGCATAAACCCCACTTTATACTCAAAAGTCTTATCCTCAAGCTTTACTGATGATTTTTCCTAAAGGAGACATATTCCAAAAGGCCTGGGCTTAGAGCTTTTTTAGACTTACTGGAAATGGTACCAGCTGAATGTCACACAGCATCTTGCTGAAGGCTTTTGGAAACAGCTGATGAAAAAAAGAGAACAGATTGCTAGAGAGGTGAACTATTCCTGGTAGCTTCCTCTTCACTCTCCCAATTCTGTCAACCCAGAGACAGGATTAGAGACCCCTAAAAATGTAATTTAATCTCTTACAATTCTCTGGAGCATAACAGATTGGGCTCTGATAGATGGCTTGTTCATTATTATTAGAATATGCAAGTTAAAAGAAATTAATGCCATTAAAAGATGCAGGTCTGATTCCTTAAAACACCTAAAAGAAATAACAAAAGGCAAACACCCTAGAATTAAAACTACACGACCAAAAGCTCTACAAATCATCTGGTGTCTATAAACACCTCTTAAGGAGTTTTGTTTTAACCTTCCCCTTTATTAAAACAAAGAAAAACATGCTCAAACATTTTAGCTAAAACTGACCATCATCAACTTCTCTTTCCCTCATACATCATTTCATATTTGTAACAGTCCTATTAGTGACCCCATTATACAGATGGTGACATTAAGGCAGAAAAGTTAAATGATTTGCTCAAAGTCACATGGTAAGTGGTGAATCAAGAGCTGAGACTCAGATGCCAGAGCCCCTGCTCTGGGCCACTCTGCTCCACAGCTAATGGGATCGGCTTGTCCTCTTACTCCCTGAAAGGCACTGTGGAATGAGAACACCTCTTTGCAATCCACAAAGATGACTGATTCTAAATACCTCCTCGACAGAAAAGCTGTACTGAGAGGTCAAAGCAAAGACTGGCATTCCACGTGCTTCCCAGCATTTCCTGGTCATCCTTGCAATCAGCCAGGGCCACAATGGAGCATAAGAAGTGATGTGTTTCATTTCCACAGTAAGGCAGTAAGTATGCCTCTCTCGACTCTGTGTTACTGCTGAAGAAGGTGGCCACAGGATGGAGGAGGGTTAATCTGCATGGTTTTGTTTAAGCAAGAAATACACTTTCACTGTTTGATGGGTTATGAAGGCTAGTATTAATGACCCTAGACTTCAGTTTCTTTCCTGCTACACTCAGGCTGGGCTTTCTCTTCCCTGGTTTCCTCTAGTCTAGAGTGTAGTCCCGCTGCCACCTGTCTGAAGAGTTGATTTTGCCCCCACAGGCCATCAACAGTCACAGCTGGAGTGATCTCCAGGGCAACAGGGCCACAAAAGCAGGTGGTCCGCGGCCCTCCTTCCAACTGGGCCCCATTTCAGCCATCTGTTAAAGGTTGCTCACGTTCACAACCAGACAGTAACAACCAAATAAATCATGCCACATCATTTCATATAATAAAAAAGCACAGAAAGCAACAGGAAATCTTTTGTTCTATGGTATCTTCACCACCATTTGCTCAATTAAGTCCAATTTTGAAATTTAAGAGATAACTAGGTAATTATACGTCATGGTGCTTCCCCAAACTCATGAATTATTTTATGCCCCTTTCCAAAATTAGATTCTAATTTCTCCCCAATCAAAAGGATTCCCCATTTTATTTTATTATTTTTAGAAGACGGTGTCCCACTATGTTGCCCAGGCTGGTCTCAAACTCCTAGACGCAAAGAATCCTCCCGTTTCAACCTCCCAAAGTGCTGAGATTACAGGCATGAGCCACCATTAATGGCCCTCCACTTTAAATAAAGAGTGCTGCATACCTGGCTAAACAGCACATCTACAGAAATCCACCAATGTCAGCATCATCAAAGTACACGGTAGGTAGGCAAGGAGAGAAGTAGCACCCTACAAGGACACACACACACACACACACACACACACACACACGGGTGCCACAAGTTTCCAGATCAGGTAACATGGCACTGAACAGCACCCCACGGGTACCAGTGTCATAACCTGCCAAAAATGCCAGTTTTCTTCTTTGATCTTCTTTGAACATCAGCTGCCAAAAACATTGTATAAAGCTGCTCTTTCAGGAAGGATAGGGAAAAAAGAGCAACTAATTTCTTCCTGACATCCAATACACCAATTCTAAATGAAGAAAAGATGCCTTTTAAAAAATCATTGGTTTTTATCTATAAAACTCTCTGTCGATCTGTGCAGTCAGAGCGGGCACTGCCACCTGCTCGGCCCACAGGATGGCTGAGCCCATGTGTGAAAGGTACAGCAAGAGGGAGCTGGCCTACAGTGATCTGGAAGTAAGCAGCCCAATTCCTGAGTGGGGCCACACATTCCCAATCTCCCCCAAACCTCAGCCTGACCCAGGCTTCTCAGGATGCAACAGAAGCTGGGAAACACATCAGCAGCTCTGACTTCTCGACTCGCATCCTTTCTTGTCTCCTGCCAAGAGCAGAGGAGACAGATGTGAGCAACAAACATGTTCCCAAGCAGCCTCCCCTGCAGACTGAGGAAAGGAGCCCAAAACTAATCCTACCATTACCCAGGCTAAAAGCCCTTCTGCCCTCAGGACCCAGCTCCATCTCCTCTGAGAGTCCACAAAGCCCTTCTGCCTTCAGGAAAGAGTTTCCATCTTCTCAAGGCCCAAAAAGGCTTTCTGCCCTGAGGATTAGGCACCAGCTCCCCTGAGGGCCAACAAAGCCCTTCTACCCTCAAGGCTAGGCTCCATCTATCCAAGGCCTACAAAGCCCACCTGCCGTCAGGACCAGGCTCTATCTCTTCTGAGAAACAACACAGCCCTCCTGCCCTCAGGACAGGGCTTCCATCCTCTCAAGGACCCAAAAGTCTTTCTGCCCTGAGGACTGGGCTCCATCTCCTCTGAGGACCAACAAAGCCCATCTGCCCTTAGGGCCAGGCTCCATCTCCTCTGAGTGCACGGCCTGCCCCCATGCCACTCTCCCAGCTTTATTCTCCCTCCTTTTATATGACTTAAAATCCATCCTCAGGAAACTACTGATCTTCCCCTAAAACTACATCATGCTTTGCCAAGTTCCAGCATCTCTGCTCCTGCTGTTCCCTCCGCCTAGAATGATCCACTTCATCCTGGGTCCTTGTCTCTTCTTTATGGAACTAAGTTTTTGCATCCTTCAGAGCAGGGTCACTCTCAAAGCACGGCTTGACAAGGCTTCAGCTCAATTGCTCAAGCTACTCCAAATACACTGCATTTGTGATGTACCCCGCTTCCAACCAGACTGTTACCCTAACCCTCTTTTATGTGTGAAAATTCTGGAGCTACCACTTCAAAGACCAGTTCACATCTCACCTTCACCGTGAAAATCTCATCTGATAGTGAAGTGAATCACTCCCTCCCACCATGGCCCCCAACTTGCTGAAGTCATGCTGCAAAAGTCTCACGATTACAAGATGTATCACGGAGTCCTACTCTGTGGCAGGCAGGTCTAAGGTTCTCACCCACCCAATGATTCCCGCCTCCTGGTATTCATGCTCTTATGTAATCCCCTTTCCTAAGTGCGAGAGGGGCCTGTGACTTGCTGATAAGCAACAGAATAGGGCACAGGTGATGTCACCTCTGTGCTAAGGCAGCATGAGACAATGACTTCCCCCCTGCAAGTTGTCTCTCTCTGGCTGGCTTTGATGAAGTAATAACTCCCATGGTGGAAAAACCCACAGGACACGGAACGTGGGGCAGCCTCCAGCCAGCAGCCAGCAAGGAACTGTGGCCCTCAGTCTCATAACTTGAAAGAAATGGAATCCTTCCAGCACCCAGGTTCTGCGAGGGATCTTGGAAGGGGATCCTCCCCAGGCAAGTCTTCAGACGAGACCCTAGCCATGGAAGTATCTTGACTGCAGCCTCGTCAGAGACTGGGAAGCACAGGACCCAGCCAAGCCATGCTCCGACTCATGCCCCACAGAAACTGTGATAGAGTCAATGTGTGTTGTCTTAAGCTGCTGAGTTTCTGGTAACTTGTTACACAGCAAGGAAACTAACACAGGAAAAAATAGGCCTATTTTTTAGCCTAGAAAAACCCTGGGTTAAAAAACATATCTTTATTTGCAAATCTACATTTTGACAGCAGCTCAACTGCAGAGGGGAACCAGTGAAGTCCAGGTCAGCCTCAGTGGCTCTGCTTCTCCTCCCTTTGTGAAGTGGGGCAAAAGCGACGTGCCCGATGCATGTCAGAACTCCTCTCTCTCTCCCTCACTTCTCAGTCAAGTTCTGAAAAGTTGAGCCTCCAAATCTCTACCGCATTTCCCGCTTCAGTGCCACTGGAGCCTTTTTCTTCCTCAACTCCCGATATTCCCATAGCCATGGTGCTGGGCCCTGAGCTTGCCTGCCCTGCAGTTAGTGACGGCCACTCTCTCCTGCTGAACGCTCTCCTCCACACAGTACATCACCTTCCCTGGTTGTGCTCTCGCTGTAAGAATATCCCCTCTAAATCTTCAAAAATCTTCCTCCCCTGGCCATTCCTACACTGTATGTCCCAGAGCTTCTGTCCCAGACACTTCCAAGTTTTACAGTCTGACTCTGCAATTTCACCCATTCTAATGATAAAGCTCAAATATACATTTTTAGGGCAGAATCACATATATCCAATGACTCACTGCATATCCTCACCTCAGTGTCTCACAGTCACCTCAAACTCTAAACATAACAACAAAATACATCATCTTCCCTTTCACTATTTTTGCTCTCTGTCTACTGTATTCCTAGCAGTGGTGATTTCAGTCACCAATATCCACTGACTCACCACCCAGTTCACCCCACATTCCTTCCCCTTTAAACTCCCCATATCCAACCACCTCCACCCCTAAATATGTCTGGAATGTGTCCGACCTTTTCCTACCTTCCTTCAGACCTTCACCACTTCCCTCTGCAACTCATCTCCCCGATTCTAGTCTTGGCTTCTTCTAATCTAGCTCCCAAGTGTCCCATGAAAATGGCATTAAAATTACCTCTTGGTGTCTTCCTTTTTTGGTTCCTTCCTTCTTATCTCTCCAACACAATACCAAAAGACTAAACTCACCATTCATTCACCAGACACTGTTCTGGACACTGGAGATACAGCAGCAAGCAAAACATGGCCCCCAGGAAGCAGTCCACTATTTCCAGCCTCCAGCTGCAATTATGCCATCCCCAACCCAAAGCGTGATCCACATCCTCTTGCCCGCCGCGCAAATTCTTTTTTTTTTTTTTTTTTTTTTTTTTTTGAGACAGAGTCTCGCTCTGTCGCCCAGGCTGGAGTGCAGTGGCGTGATCTCGGCTCACTGCAACCTCCGCCTCCTGGGTTCGAGCAATTCTCCTGCCTCAGCCTCCCAAGTAGCTGAGACCACAGGAACACGCTGCCACACCCAGCTAATTTTTTTTTTTTTTTTGTATTTTAGTAGAGACAGAGTTTCACCGTGTTGCCTAGGCTGGTCGCAAACTTCTGAGTTCAGGCAATCTACCCACCTTGGCCTCCCAAAGGGCTGGGATTACAGACATGAGCCACAGCGCCCAGCTGCAAATTCTTCATTAAATCCTCAACAGCTAGGCTGGATGTCCCCCCTCCTCTGAGAACACTGACCTCATACTTCCCTGCTGCCAGCCCTTCCCACCCTCTTCTCTGCAGCCTCTGTACTTGGGAATGCTGTGATTCTTCTATCTGTCAAGTTGTATAGCAATGCATTTGATTATACTCCCTCTGTCCTTCTATACTGAGTTCCTCCAGGGTTTCTATTGATCTCTGAATCCTCCATGCCTTAGCACAATGCCTAATTTTTTATAGGCAATCAATAAATGTTAAAGTAACTGAATCTCCATCTGCTGTAGATTGGATTACTGTTTCCAACTGCCCACTCCCTCCCTGTAACGAAGTTACAACTTCCCCCTCTGCCCCCTAGTCACAGGATGTGCCCTTGCATTAAGTGGGAGGTCACTTCTCCACCTCCCTGACCTTGGCACCCTCAGCCAATTAGATGGAGGCAAACATGGCATCTTCCCCACCTTGCACTCCAGCCCTTTCCCATGAGAACAGCATGTCTCAGACCCACACAGGAGCTGCTCCTTTGGTCTGAGTCCTGAAGGAAGACACTTGGAACCAAGCACAGCCCTGCAGAGCCACAGTTCACCTGCAACCTTCCCATGATATGAGCAAGAAATTAAGGCTTGTTAGGAAAAGCCAGTGAGACAGTGGTGTTGTTATCATAGCAAATCCATTCCAGATTTAAACACCTTGGTCTCTTTCTTCAAGATGCTATCAAATTTTGCCAAAATCTTCAAATGTGGTGCTAGAACTGCACTAAATACAATAGATATGGCCTGACCATGGAAGAAATCTCTTAGTAGAACATAAAACTTGTCTTGGGTTTCTGCATTCTTTCCCAGGTAGGGGTGAGAAACAGGTTGTCAGATGGAAGAGATATAGTCCACCTTAACCTTGTCTCAAACAATACTGAGGTCAACCCAAATTCCTATGCCTTTATCCCAGAAGGTATTGTATTGTAGAGCCTCCTGTAACTAACTGCAGCCATTTTACATGTATCACTGCTAAATCTTTTTTTTTTTTTTTTTTTTTTTGACAGAGTCTTGCTCTGTCACCCAGGCTGGAGTGCAGTGGCTTGATTTTAGCTCACTGCAAACCTCCACCTCCTGAGTTCAAGCAATTCTTCCTCAGGAGAATCCCCAAGTAGCCGAGATCACAGGCACGCGCCACTATGCCTGGCTAATTTTTGTATTTTTAGTAGAGACGGGGTTTCACCATGTTGGCCAGGCTGGTCTCAAACTCCTGACCTCAGGTTATCCTCCTGCCTCGGCCTCCCAAAGTGCTGGGATTACATGCGTGAGCCACCGCACCCGGCCTATCGCTGCTAAATCTAACATACCAAGATCACTTAAACCCTCAACCATTCAACATTATTAGCTAGAATCTTTTTGTGTTTCAGATTTGAGAAACACACCTTTTTGTCGTCTGAGTCCCTGATGAAATTACTTAACAGATGAGGGTCAAGGCCAGAGTATTCTGACAAAATACTAAAGACAACTGTCCGAGTTAAAATAATGACAACGAAGTTGTACACTGTTTAATCAGTTAAAAGCCCTCACCCTTCACACACCACCATTAATATTCCCAACCAATTTCTCAATATTCTCCAAAAGTTACAAGTCTTCCCCAAATCCAACAACACCAAGTATACTAGCAGTAGTTCTCTAGACCAGCGACATCAGCGTCACCTGGAACTCCAGAAATGCAAACTCCCACCCTACTCCAGACTTACTGTCTCAAAACCCAGCCCTCCAATGACACTGATGCAGATGCAGTTTGAGAAGCAGAGCTCTGGTGCACTTGCCTGTCCTTGGAACAACCCTCTCAAAACTGAAGCTGGTATGCTTGCACTGATTTCTTCTTCTTGAACTTAAGCTTGCTTTTAGTTAGTTAGCTCTTCTTTGTTTTCCAAATGTCCAGAAACTATTTAATCAACCTTTCTATCACCTTTGCCTAGAAGCAAAGTTAAGCTCACCAATCCACAGTGCACAGAAACTCTTTCCTCCCTTTTTGGAAAATTAGGACCCTATTTGCCTTACTTTGTGACATTTTTTTCCCATTGTTAACAATTTCTTAAAATTTATCTGCAGTGTTTCCGTGATCACATGTGTTAGTTCTCTTAGCGTCTGGTTCATCATAATTTTTAAAAGAAAAAAATCTCTTAGAAATTTCTCTCCTTATCTGGGTTTCATGCTGGCATGCCAACAGAGCAGGTGCTGGGAAGAAAGTTGGAGAAAACCAAATTGTTCAGTTGATATCCTCTTCCACTTATTGATCATTTCTCTTTCTCGGTGCTGTTTGAAACGTAAAACTATTTTTCCTCTTTTGTTTTGTCTTTAGCATTTGTGTAAGGCTCAGCTTATTCCAAGCTTTGACACTGTTCAAAGTCTGTGCTTACCATGTGTCTGTCTCTGGCTCCCTCCTCCTGGGTGACAGGACAAGGTTGATATTTTTCCTTCCTTTGCTTTTCTGTACCATCTAAGTTGCACAATCTAACAATCACATGGCTGGTGCAGGGGCTCATGCTTATAATCCCAGCACTTTGGGAGGCTGAGGTGGGAGGATCACTGGAGCCCAGAAGTTCAAGATCAGCCTGGGCAACATAGCAAGACCCTGTCTCTACAAAAAATAAATTAGCCAGGCATGGTAACACATGTGTGTGGTCCCAGCTACTCAAGGTGGGAGGACTGCTTGAGCCTAGGAGTTCATGGCTGCAGTGTGCCGTGATCATGCTACTGCACTCCAGCCTGGGCAACAAAGCAAGACCCTGTCTCAACAAAATAAAACAAAACAATCACAGATTGCTTTTTTCACATAGGGGCAGGAAATCTTTACATTTTTACTTATTTTTGTTTTAACGCAAGCTCTTTGGAGTGTTTCCTATACTGTCTCTCACACATGGGAATTATCTGTAAATCACGGTTTAAATTAAGGTTTTCTTTTTAATTTTAGAATTGCATTTTTCTTTTCCCTCTCTGTTCCTCAGCCTCTCATCACTATGCCCAGACCTCCAGAGAGCACGCCTCCAGTCTTTTTTCTGTTCACAGCTGTTATTTCCCAGCTGCCTACAGTCACTTCACAATGACTCACACTTCTTGAAGTATTGGCCCTAACACAGATGCCCAGACAGCAGCTGCAGTGGCAGCACACCCTCACCACAGCTGGTACCCACACTGAACTTAGTGTGGGAGACTCTCCCAGGAACAGGATCTGAAAAAGGGCAGCAAAGGCTTTTAAGCTGTAACTGTTCTGACCTGGGCACACCCCAGCAAGTTCACTGGCTTGCAACTTGATTCCAATGGGATGACAATGGCAGATGCGAGACCTGCCTGGTAAGGCAGCTGGCAAGGCAGCTGGCCACACTGTACCACAGTCCCCAGCTTGGATTAGGATCAGGAGCTTGACAACTCCTGGTTGCAATACACAATCTAACAGCCATTGGAGGAAAAAAAAGGCCTCCTTAATGTACTTCATTTCTTTGCCCAGTAATAAGCTATTACATAGGGTAAATCTGATTTCTGCTTTCATCTTTGCATTGGGTCAAGACAAAATAACTCTTTTTGTTTTTCTTCATAACTAGAATGAAAAAAAAAAAACAAAAACAAGAATTGAGCAGGGTAATGGGAGGAAAGAACAAAGTAGAGGCATTTATGATGAAATAATACAGTTTGTCTACTTGAATCCATTTCTAGCGTAAACCTCTGCTTACCCCATCTTCAACATTCTCCAGTAAAGCTAGAAATTTTTTTGTTCTTTTTCTCTTCTGATAACTTTCCCTCAACCCATCATATTACTGTCAGGCCTCTGAGCCCAAGCTAAGCCATCATATTCCCAGTGACCTGCACGTATACATCCAGATGGCCTGAAGCAACTAAAGATCCACAAAAGAAGTGAAAAGAGCCTTAACTGATGATATTCTACCATTGTGATTTGTTTCTGCCCTACCCTAACTGATCAATATACTTTGTAATCTCCCCCACCCTTAAGAAGGTTCTTCATAATCTCCCCCACCCTTAAGAAGGTTCTTTGTAATTCTCCCCGCCCTTGAGAATGTGCGAGATCCACCCCCTGCCCCCAAAACATTGCTCTTAACTCCACTGCCTATCCCAAAACCTGTAAGAACTAATGATAATCCCACCACCCTTTGCTGACTCTCTTTTCTGACTCAGCCTGCCGGCACCCAGGTGAAATAAACAGCCTTGTTGCTCACACAAAGCCTGTTTTGTGGTCTCTTCACATGCACATGTGAGACATTTGGTGCCGAAGACCCAGGTCAGCGGGACTCCTTCGGGAGACCAGTCCCCTGTCCTCACCCTCACTCCGTGAAGAGATCCACCTATGACCTCAGGTCCTCAGACTAACCAGCCCAAGGAACATCTCCCCAATTTTAGATCAGGTAAGCAGCCTCTTTTTACTCTCTTCTCCAACCTCTCTCACTATCCCTCAACCTCTTTCTCCTTTTAATCTTGGCGCCACCCTTCAATCTCTCCCTTCTCTTAATTTCAACTCCTTTCATTTTCTGGTGGAGACAAAGGAGACATATTTTATCCATTGACCCAAAACTCCAGCGCCAGTCACGGACTCGGGAAGGCAGACTTCCCTTGGTGTTTAATCATTGCGAGGACGCCTCTCTGATTATTCACCCACGTTCCACTGGTGTCTGATCTCCGTGGGGACGTCTGCCTTGGTCATTCATCCACATTCCCTTGGTGGCAAGTCAAGTGCGGAGACGCCTGCTTTGGCTGCTCCCCACCCCCCTTCTCCGTGTCTCTACCCTTCTCTTTAAACTTGCCTCCTTCACTATGGGCAACCTTCCACCCTCCACTCCTCCTTCTTCTCCCTTAGCCTGTGTTCTCAAGAACTTAAAACCTCTTCAACTCTCACCTGACCTAAAATCTAAGCGTCTTATTTTCTTCTGCAATGCCGCTTGACCCCAATACAAACTCGACAGTGGTTCCAAATAGCCAGAAAACGGCACTTTCGATTTTTCCATCCTACAAGATCTAAATAATTCTTGTCGTAAAATGGGCAAACGGTCTGAGGTGCCTGATGTCCAGGCATTCTTTTACACACTGGTCCCTCCCTAGTCTCTGCTCCCAATGAGAGTCGTCCCAAATCTTTCTTCTTTCTCTCCTGTCTGTTCCTTCAGTCCTAACCCCAAGCGTCTCTGAGTCTTTTGAATCTTCCTTTTCTAGGGACCCATCTGACCTCTCTCCCCTCCTCCCCAGGCTGCTCCTTGCCAGGCCAAGCCAGGTCCCAATTCTTCCTCAGCCTCTGCTTCCCCACCCTATAATCCTTCTATCACCTCCCTTCCCCACACCCAGTCTGGTTTACAGTTTCGTTCCATGACTAGCCCTCCCCGACCTGCCCAACAATTTCCTCTTAAAGAGGTGGCTGGAGCTAAAGGCATAATCAAGGTTAATGCTCCTTTTTTCTTTATCTGACCTCTCCCAAATCAGTTAGCATTTAGGTTCTTTTTCATCAAATACAAAAACTCAACCCAATTCAAGGCCTGTTTGACAACAACCCTTAGACGCTTTACCACCCTAGACCCAGAGGGGCCAGAAGGCTGCCTTATTTTCAATATGCATTTTATTACCCAATCCGCTCCCGACATTAGAAAAAGCTCCAAAAAGCCCCTCTGCCTGGCCGGCCGCCCCGACGGGGACGGAGGTGGGGGGGGGTCAGCCCCCCGCCCGGCCAGCCGCCCCATCCGGGAGGTGAGGGGCGCCTCTGCCTGGCCGCCCCTACTGGGAAGTGAGGAGCCCCTCTGCCCGGCCACCACCCCGTCTGGGAGGTGCGCCCAACAGCTCATTGAGAACAGGCCATGATGACAGTGGCAGTTTTGTGGAATAGAAAGGGGGGAAAGGTGGGGAAAAGACTGAGAAATCGGATGGTTGCCGTGTCTGTGTAGAAAGAGGTAGACATGGGAGACTTTTCATTTTGTTCTGTACTAAGAAAAGTTCTTCTGCCTTGGGATCCTGTTGATCTGTGACCTTACCCCCAACCCTGTGCTCTCTGAAACATGTGCTGTGTCCACTCAGGGTTAAATGGATTAAGGGCGGTGCAAGATGTGCTTTGTTAAACAGACGCTTGAAGGCAGCATGCTCGTTGAGAGTCATCACCACTCCCTAGTCTCAAGTGCCCAGGGACACAAACACTGCGGAAGGCCACAGGGTCCTCTGCCTAGGAAAACCAGAGACCTTTGTTCACTTGTTTGTCTGCTGACCTTCCCTCCACTATTGTCCTGTGACCCTGCCAAATCCCCCTCTACAAGAAACACCCAAGAATGATCAATAAAAAAATAAATAAATAAATAAATAAATAAATAAATAAATAAATAAAATAAAAAAGAAAAAAAAAAAGAAAAAGCTCCAAAAATTAGACTCTGGCCCTCAAACCCCACAACAGGACTTAATTAACCTCGCTTTCAAGGTGTACAGTAATAGAGTAATGGCAGCCAAGTAGCAATGTATTTCTGAGGTGCAATTCCTTGCCTCCACTGTGAGACAAACCCCAGCCACATCTCCAGCACACAAGAACTCCAAACGCCTGAACCACAGTTGCCAGGGGTTCCTCTAGAACTTCCTCCCCCAGGATCTTGCTTCAAGTGCCGGAAATCTGGCCACTGGGCCAAGGAATGCCCGCAGCCCGGGATTCCTCCTAAACCGTGTCCCATCTGTGCAGGACCCCACTGGAAACTGGACTGTCCAACTGGCCCAAGGCTCTGATTGACTCCTTCCCAGATCTTCTCGGCTTAGTGGCTGAAGACTGACACTGCCCAATAGCCTCGGAAGCCCCCTGGACCATGATGGAGGCCAAGCTTCGGGTAACTCTTACAGTGGAGGGTAAATCCGTCCCCTTCTTAATCATTATGGAGGCTACTCACTCCACATTACCTTATTTTCAAGGGCCTGTTTCCCTTGCCTCCATAACTGTTGTGGGTATTGACGGCCAGGCTTCTAAACCCCTTAAAACTCCCCAATTCTGGTGCCAACTTGGACAATATTCTTTTATGCACTCCTTTTTAGTTATCCCCACCTGCCCGGCTCCCTTATTAGGTCGAGACTTTTAACTACATTATCTGCTTCCCTGATTATTCCTGGGCTACAGCTGTACCTCACTGCCACCTTTTGCCCCAGTTCAAAGCCTCCTTCACATCCTCTCCTTGTATCTCCCCTTCTTAGTCCACAAGCATAGGACACCTCTACTCCCTCCTTGACAACAAATGATGCACCCTTTACCATCCCATTAAAACCTAATCACCCTTATCCTGCTCAATGCCAATATCCCATCCCACAGCATGCTTTAAAAGGATTAAAACCTGTTGTCACTTGCCTGTTACAGCATGGCCTTTTAAAGCCTGTAAACTCTCCTTACAATTCCCCTGTTTTACCTGTCCAAAAACCAGACAAGGCTTTTACAGGTTAGTTCAGGATCTGCACCTTATCAACTAAATTGTCTTGCCTATCCACCCAGTGGTGCCAAAGTCATATACTCTCCTATCCTCAATACCTCCCTCCACAACCCCTCCATAACTCATTATTCTGTTCTGGATCTCAAACATGCTTTCTTTACTATTCCTTTGCACCCTTCATACCAGCCTCTCTTCGCTTTCACTTGGACTGACCCTGATACCCATCAGGCTCAGCAAATTACCTGGGCTGTACTGCTGCAAGGCTTCGTGGACAGCCCCTACTACTTCAGTCAAGCCCAAATTTCTTCCTCATCCATTACCTATCTTGACATATTTCTTCATTAAAACATACGTGTTCTCCCTGCTGATTGTGTCCAACTAATCTCCCAAACCCCAACCCCTTCCACAAAACAACAACTCCTTTCCTTCCTGGGCATGTTTGGATACTTTCACCTTTAGATAGCCTCGGAAGCCCCCTGGACCATCACGGATGCCAAGCTTTGGGTAACTCTTACAGTGGAAGGTAAATCCGTCCCCTTCTTAATCAATAAGGAGACTACTCACTCCACATTACCTTATTTTCAAGGGCCTGTTTCCCTTGCCTCCATAACTGTTGTGGGTATTGACGGCCATCCTAACAAAACCATTATATAAACTCACAAAACCAAACCTAGATGACTCCATAGATCCTAAATCCTTTCACCACTCCTCTTTCTGTTCCTTAAAAACAGCCCTAGAAGCTGCCCCCACACTAGCTCTCCCTAACTCATCCCAACCCTTTTCATTACACACAGCCAAAGTGCAGGGCTGTGTGGTCAGAATTCTTACACAAGAACCAGGACCACGCCCTGTAGCCTTTCTGTCCAAACAACTTGGCCTTACTGTTTTAGCCTAGCCCTCATGTCTGTGTGCAGTGGCTGCTGCCGCCCTAATACTTTTAGAGGCCCTCAAAATCACAAACTATGCTCATCTCACTCTCTACAGTTCTCATAACTTCCAAAATCTATTTTCTTCCTCACATCTGACACACATACTTTCTGCTCCCTGGCTCCTTCAGCTGTACTCACTCTTTGTTGAGTCTCCCACACTTACCATTGTTCCTGGCCTGGACTTCAATCCGGCCTCCCACATTATTCCGGATACCACACCTGACCCCCATGACTGTATGTCTCTGATCCACCTGACATTCACTCCATTTCCCCATATTTCCTTCTTTCCTGTTCCTCACCCTGATCACATTTGGTTTACTGATGGCAGTTCCACCAGGCCTAATCACCACTCACCAGCAAAGGCAGGCTATGCTATAGTATCTCCCACATCTATCATTGAGGCTACCGCTCTGCCTCCCTCCACTATCTCTCAGCAAGCCGAACTCATTGCCTTAATTCAAGCCCTCACTCTTGCAAAGAGACCACGTGTCAATATTTATATTGACTCCAAATATGCCTTCCATATCCTGCATCACCATGCTGTTATATGGGCTGAAAGAGGTTTCCTCACTATGCAAGGGTCCTCCATCATTAATCCTCTTTAATAAAAACTCTTCTCAAGGCCGCTTTACTTCCAAAGGAAGCTGGAGTCATACACTGCAAGGACCACCAAAGGACATCAGATCCCATGGCTCAGGGCAACGCTTATGCTGGTAAGGTAGCTAAAGAAGCAGGCAGAATTCCAACTTCTGTCCCTCACGGCCAGTTTTTCTCCTTCTCATCGATCACTTCCACCTACTGCCCTGCTGAAACTTCCATCTATCAATCTCTTCCCACACAAGGCAAATGGTTCTTAGACCAAGGAAAATATCTCCTTCCAGCCTCACAAGCCCATTCTTTTCTGTCGTCATTTCATAACCTCTTCCATGTAGGTTACAAGCCACTAGCCCGTCTCTTAGAACCTCTCATTTCCTTTCCGTCGTGGAAATCTATCCTCAAGGAAATCACTTCTCTGTGTTCCATGTGCTATTCCACTACCCCTCAGGGATTGTTCAGGCCAACCCCCCCCACCCCACCCTTCCCTACACATCAAGCTCAGGGATTTTCCCCCGCCCAGGACTGGCAAATTGACTTTACCCACATGCCCGGAGTCAGGAAACCAAAATACCACTTGGTCAGGGTAGACACTTTCACTAGATGGGTAGAGACCTTTCCCACAGGGTCTGAGAAGGCCACCACAGTCATTTCTTCCCTTCTGTCAGACATAATTCTTCAGTTTAGCCTTCCCACCTCTATACAGTCCCATTAACGGACGGGCCTTTACTAGTCATATTACCCAAGCAGTTTCTCAGGCTCTTGGTATTTAGTGGCTCCTGGTTTTACCTCAAATTGCCACCCTTAAGTCTCTCTTGAAGTGGACAGAAGATCTTCAGTGACAAGGTATCCTCCAATACTTTCACCCTGATGAAGTCCTATTCTTTACTTTTATATTTACTCTTATTCTCATTCCTGTTCTTATGCCACCCTCTACCTCTCCCCAGCTATCTCTACCACACTATCAAATTCACTGTCTCCTAGACGTTTCTAATCCTTCTTTAACAAACAATTGCTGGCTTTGCATTTCTCTTTCCTCCAAAATCACGGAGACCTCAACTTACTCACTGCTAAAAAAAGAGGACTCTCTATATTTTTAAATGAAGACTGTTGTTTTTACCTAAATCAATCTGGCCTGGTATATGACAACATAGAAAAACTCAAGGATAGAGCCCAAAAACTCGCCAACCAAGCAAACAATAACACTGAACCCCTTTGGACACTTTCTAATTGGACATCCTGGGTACTCCCAATTCTTAGTCCTTTAATACCTAGTTTTCTCCTTCTTTTATTCGGACCTTGTGTCTTCCGTTTAGTTTTTCAATTCATAAAAAACTGCATCCAGGCCATCACCAATCATTCTATACAACAAATGTTCCTTCTAACAACCCCACAATATCACCCCTTACCCCAAAATCTTTCTTCAGTTTAATCTCTCCCACTCTAGGTTCCCATGCTGTCCCTAATCCCACTTGAAGCAGCCCTGAGAAACATCGCCCATTATCTCTCCATACCACCCCCAAAAATTTTTGCCACCCCAACGCTTTACCACTATTTTATTTTTCTTATTAATATAAGAAGACAGGAACGTCAGGCCTCTAAGCCCAAGCTAAGCCATCATATTCCCAGTGACCTGCACATATACATCCAGATGGCCTGAAGCAACTGAAGATCCACAAAAGAAGTGAAAATAGCCTTAACTGATGATATTCTACCACTGTGATTTGTTTCTGCCCTACTGATCAATGTACTTTGTAATCTCCCCAACCCTTAAGAAGGTTCTTGGTAATTCTCCCCGCCCTTGAGAATGTACTCTGTGAGATCCACCCCCTGCCCCCAAAACATTGCTCTTAACTCCATCGTCTATCCCAAAACCTATAAGAACTAATGATAATCCCACCACACTTTGCTGACTCAGCCCGCCTGCACCCAGGTGAAACAAACAGCCTTGTTGCTCACACAAAGCCTGTTTGGTGGTCTCTTCACACGCACACATGAGACAATTACTACTGCTAATTTTGAGCAAAAAAAAAAAAAATTCAGAGGGAGAAAGGAAGATGCCTTTGCTTGTACCTCCTAAGAAAAAAAAAAAAGAAAAGAAAATTTCTTTGGGAAATTTAGAATTGATCTCTCTCCTGGCAAAATAAATTTTTGTTATAGCTGTTTAAGAAGGAAACTGGCAGATAATCAGAACTGGACGGCAAAGTGTTTTGTGATCCTCCTGCAGATTCCAGGGTTTCAGTATCACCTCCAGCCATGCTGATTTAACCAGACAGACAGACAGCACTATCACAAAAGAGCACACCTGCAGCTTCCTTTCCTGGTAAGCAAATGGTCCTCTACGCAGTCCTCTGCACTCATCTCTGCCTCTCAGCTCCCTATTCTATTCTTATTAAACCTGAGAAGGAACTATCACAAGGGCAGGTAGAGTCCAAC
The DNA here is from genome assembly GCF_000001405.40 of Homo sapiens. Lineage (NCBI taxonomy): Eukaryota > Metazoa > Chordata > Mammalia > Primates > Hominidae > Homo > Homo sapiens. The sequence continues at coordinate 35,401,170 of NC_000010.11, read as the reverse complement.
AATTCTAAGCACACAGAGCTCAGTATAAAATTCTACAAAAAATAGGAACTGCTGATGCTCGACAGAGCTGAAACTCAGCTGCCACCTGGGCCGGGGCCGGCCAGTTGCTGGGCCTCCACCCTAGGTGCTGCTGCACACCCTTCAGAGCACAGTTACTTCAGTAAAGTATTCCACAAAGTGTACATTTGAGAAAGTCTCTTCTCTTCTCTACCACCTTCTATTTCTCTCTCAAAAAAAAAGTGCGCATTAAGATAATAGTTCAATGCCATGGTGTGCCTACTATTAAAAAACACACAGTAGTCTGGGAAGTCATGCTAGAGTTTCCACAGCAACTGCACCATGGCTCAACTTGTAACAGCAACCATTCCATTCCAAAATGCTTTAAGAGACTCTAGAAAAGAGAGAGAGAAGTCAAGTTACAATCCCGGGGGAGGAGAAAACACGCCCTTGCTTTCATGTACTTGAATTCTCCCCATCAAAAATACTGTTTAAGTACATATTGCACCATTAATAAATATTCCTGCCCCTAATTATCTAACGAACAGTAGATAACTCTGGAAACAGCTACTGATAATTCTTTTAGTTGGGAGGTTAGAGAAGAGGTTGGTCGGAAAAAATTACTAATATTTTAAAACAGAAATATGCTTTCTCAACAAAGCATATTCTTAACTAAGCATAAAAGGTTACTTCGGGTAATCCAATCAAGTCAGCAATTACAAGGCTCCATTCCACGACGTGAAGCATCTTCTCTCCCTCTTTGAACCAGCTAATTCAAAGAGACCAACCTAAATGCCCCAGGAATTCATTCCCAAGGTGAGGGGAGGGGGAAAACAGGGAGGGATCTGTGCAGCTTCCTCTCCAAGAGGGGAAACAACCCCACCCCACCACCCCCGCCGCCCCCTGCACTGTGCTAGGGAGATTCTAAACAGAATGCCTTTCATCAAACCACTAGAAGCCGTTTTTAGTATTTTACAAAATCCAAAAGAATTCTTCTATAAAACTGCCTACATCAAATAGATGGTGCTGGAAGAAAATCCAAATATACAGAACAGCTATCCACAGGGCTAAAATCAGGCAAGGGAGATCTGCGATGGGAAGCAGGCAGGTGTCAGAAGGGACCCATTGCATGTCCCTTCTCTGAGACTCCAGCTCCACATATTTTCTGAGTCCCCATGTAAACTGGAGAACATACCTAGCCTTCCATGTCAACAGAACTTTATCTCTACTAGCCATGTATCTTATTCCAAAAACAAAAACACCAGTTTGGAGGTCAATCCTGTGTTCAGCCAGAACATCTCCAATCTACAGGAAGAAGTCTTCTCAGGGTTTGCTACATAACAGTCAGAATTTTCTCCCCCGCATGGCACTGAAGGGAGCATATTACTGGGATCTGCTAAGGGGGAGTCCAGTTATGTATCTCCCTATCAGTACTCCGCACATAAAAGATCTACTGCAGAAGAGAGATAACCCCTTATCTTTTATGTTTATTTTTGTAGAGACAGACTCTCGTTATGTTGCCCAGGCTGGTCTTGAACTCCTGGCATGAAGCAAACCCCCTACCTTGGCCTCCCAAGTGTTGGGATTAACAGCGTGAAACACCACACCCATCCTGCTCCTTTTCAATTGAGGAAGCAGAATAGCCTGTGCCTCCCTTCACACCTTGAATTAAACAGCGTTGTGTCCTGTGTCGGCCACCTGGCAGGCAGGCTGGTCTGTAAGTCATGTCACCTTCTCACCACTTCACACACTAGTACCCAAATTCTGTGGTGGAGTAAAAAGACTTCCAGAAAAGTGGAGTAGACACCCAAGACACCAGTCCCCGAGAAGTAACCTCAAACATGGATAAGCATCCTGGGCAGTCAAGCCAAGAGTTAGCAGCCAGACATGCAGTCCACAGCCTCCACGGCCCAGCAGGGAGCTACGACCTCACCATGCTCAACAGGAACATCCAAAATGCCACCCTCACTTTCAAAGTGCCCTTAGTTGTCTTACCGTCAAGCACACATGGTTAAAAAGCAGGAACTTTATAAAATGTGGGAAGAAACCATGTGAGAAACCCAATCAGCTCATGCTTTCAAGTCAGTTGGGTTCTCAAAGTTCATTTGTACATTTGCTTGGAACTTAAAATGCATTTCTGCAGCGAGTCTGCTACAAGCCTACGCTATAAGGGACTGACATACCAAGCTGAAAGGCCAGGAAAGCAAGCACGGCGTATGTCTGATTCTTCACAGGGGCAGCTCTGTCAGGCAAGGCAGGCCTTATCCCTTCCCAGGCTCCACCAGTTCTCAGGCTAAACCCCTTCTCAGAATAGCCTGGGAATATCTTACCCTCACAAATGTGGTCTGGTTAAACTAAATAAAAATTGAGCATATTTTCAGTGATTTTAAAGGAAGAAACTTGTAAGGGTATTTTATCTGCAAATTTACTTAACTGGTCACTTTACGGTTTTTTGTTTTGTTTTGTTTTTAGACAAAAACTAGTGAGCATTTTGTAAAATGCAGGGAGAGCCCCACCAAGAGCAGTTAGCAAAACTTACAGCCTTAGGAGTTTGAATTACACAATGACATCTCGAGAACCATATGGTAAACGATTTCTACCACCGGGAACTTGGCAATGCCCTAATCACACACAGCTGTTGGTCCCAGCAGTCAAAACATAGGAACTGGACCAGCCAGACACATAAATGACCCCAAGTAGTGACCAAATCATGGGGCTCCACAGTCGTAACAAAAGGACCTGAGAGGATTAGCACAGGCTGCATTTCCGAATCTCCGCCATGCAAAAGGACACGTGTTGGTCACTTCCAAGGAACACAACCTGTATCTATATCATGTCCACCAAGGACCTTGCTGGCTTTTAAGCCACTTCCATGTCTCTGGCAAAATGCATCAGTCCTCTGAGAGGATCACAATCACATCTGTCCCCATACTCACTGCAGAGAATGGAGGGCCAGCTCTGCCCACAGTCGGGGCCCTAGGCTCCAGGGGGTGGCTCTCATGCAGCAGACGGGACCCCCACTGGCTTCCTGGTCATGCTCCTTGATCATATGGCTTTGCTCTCAGCCTCCACGGGCCCCAGGAAGCCCAGCTACTACCCTCCCTGCTGCCTCCATCCATGCCCACTCCACATGGATGAGGGTGTTTCTCCTCCAGCACTGCTCAGAGAACAGAGTCTGGTCTCACTGTGCCTCCCCTTCCCTCGGCCCTGGAAGCAAGCACATCACCAGAGGGGGAAGTCCTGCCTATATTGCACCAGCACTCCTCTGGGAATCCTCACTCAAGGTTAGCAACTGGCAATTTAAGGTCCTCTCTTTAATCCACCTAAGGATCAAAATGAGAAACTGGAAGGACAGCAGAGGGAAAGGACACACATGCATCCAGGCAGGAGAGATGCAGCAGCCCACACACAGCTGGGGCCATTTCTGATAGAGCTCCATAATTCTGGAATCTCCTGGGATGGTTCAGACATAACTCAAGCACTGCCAGCACTGCTGCTCCTAGCCCAAGTTCTCAGTCTTTGGTCCCAGGGACAGGGTTCATTTGGTACCCTGCATACAAGGCTGACCTGACCTTAGAAGAAGTGTTATTCTCTCCCACCGCCAATGTTGTGTCTCTCCCCTACCTCCTAGAATTCCTCCTCCCCAATCCAGGGCCAAAGAGGGAAATGGTATCCCCATCAGAGACTAATTCTGCCCTCCAAAGTAACTGAGTACCTCTAAGGTAGGGTCTGCGACAAGCTACCTCCCAGAGATAAGGGGGGAAGGAAGCAAGAGCTAGCTCCTTAGGATCCCAAAGGTACAATATTTGCTGCTGAATAATTATAAAGGTTAGGGAACTTAGTGGAAGGATTACAGGTACTGTGCTAAATATAATGACATGGGGTAAGTAGGTTTGAAGGGAGGAACCACTAGAGACACCACTGCTGCCTGCACAAGGCCGGCTACCAGAACAACTTCAACACTTTTGTTTTGTTTCCACTTTTCTTCTGAATACAAAGGTTTCCTACTAGCTCCAAGTTTGTTGTATGCGTGTGTTTTGCACAAAAGTCCACAGAGCAGTGGCAGAGGGACCCCAGCCCTAGGAAGAACAGGGCTATGTGGTAAAGTGTGGGGTCCAAGGGGCACCTGGAGCTGCCACGTGAGCAGTGCTAAGAACCTGCTCCCTCTGAGCCAGCCCCCAGAACTGTAACAGGCAGAAAAATTGATCTCTCTCCAGTACTTTGAATTTTCCTTACCCAACAGGAGATGGGATTATAACCCTTTGTAATTGGAATCCTAGAAAACCCAGAGCTTAGAGGAATCCTGCAAGCCAGACAAGGCTGCCTGAACAGTCTGCGCCTCCAGATCCTGCCTTGGGAGCCTCACGGGGAGAGCACGAAGAGGACTGCAGGGGCACTGGGACACAGCACCCAGCAACTCAAGCACCTCCAGCGACTGCTCCCACGCTGCAGGGTAGGAGTGCCTGGCCCAGCAGGAATCCTCTTTTCTCATGGGAAGCGTCCCTGAGGCCTAGGTGAAACTGTCTGGACCTCCTCACCAGCCCTTGGGGCAAGGCTGGAGCGCTCTCTCCCCACCATGGCCTTGCCAGATGCCGAGAACACGCAACAGAGAAATGGTTCATTTCAGAGTCAGTGAGAACATCGGGGCACCCTGGCCCATTAACAGTACCAGAGAGGCAGCATAACATTCAATTACGGAGGGCCAAGAAGGAGGGCTCATTCTCCAACCTGCAGATACTCAGGCTGGCTGCCCCCCACCCCACCTTCTTGCGGCACCTGCCTCTTACAACTCAGCTGTAGGGTGGGGAGCAGAGCACAGATGGGGAGGTGAAACTCCAGTCGGCCTGTCTGGTGAGTGCTTTGGGAAGGTGTGAGAATGAAATGACCTGTTGAGAGAAAGCTTTTAAAATAATTATAGCTTTCCATACTCCAGGCTCTCTCAACTAGTTTCTACACTGTGATCCCCCGATCCTACCACCATGAGTATAAAGAACTGAACCCAATTTTCACAAACAATCTTCATTGCTTCACACACTACATATCAAGCACCTGCTATGTGCAAAACGCCATGCTGGGGACGAGAGGATGAAAGAGCCAGTCAGTATCCCAGCCCTCTGGAGCCCACCATTCACAGAGGCAAAAAGAGGGAGCCACCACAGCATAACACAGTAACATGCACACTGAGACAGACCCAAAGCCTCTCTCGGGGGCCCTATGCACCCCACAACACCCGCACACTGGGCCAGCTGGGGATGCTGTAAAACCTCCGCAAAGGGTGAGTGCTGCCCCCATCCCCAGGAGCCACTGGAGAGGCCCAGCCCTAAACCCAGCCTCAGAGATGCACCCAGGACAGCTGAAGGTGAGGGTTTGTCCTTTCAACTGAAAAAAGACAGTGCACAGGACCTAAAAGTAACACACAACCAGGCGCTGACAGCGTCTCTCTCTTACCAAACTTTAGTCGGACTGCTCTGAAGGCTCTTCCAAAATGGACCTCCACCTTTGGCCCTCCATATCTTTCTTTGCGTCTCCTGACTTTGGCAAAAGCCCTGCTAAGTCAGTTTAGCTGAATTGCCCCCCTCCTCAACATCTGATCACCCTCAATATCTGATGTGTTCCTCGTCCTCTACTGTCCCCCACAACCCCCCAGGTGACATCTGATTCTCCTGACTTATCCTCAGCAAGAATCCTCGTTGGGTCAGTTGAGCTAGAATCCCCCTAACCCCTGAGGTTACCTCTAGTAATTTCCATACAATGACCTTCGCACTGCTCCTTGGTTCTGAATTCCCAGTGGCCCATGCTGCACTTGCCATTGAGCCTGGTTTTATACTGGAATCTCTCCTCCCCTACTGCAATAGTTTTCCTGAGTAAAACTGTTTTCACCACCTTAACTACTACCCAGCTCTGGCTTTTTTCTCTAACAATGGAACAACACATAGCTTTTCCTGAGGAAGCCAGTACTATTACCCATCACTTTCTGGTAAAAACTTCTTAACTGTTAGTACCCCAGGTAGTGAGACCGCAGGGAGAAGACTGAGGGAGTCACCTGTCTGAGTCATCTTTAAGGGAGCACACTACATAGGAAAGTGAGGATAAACTAGAACTATTACTTTATTAAAGCAAACAAGGCTGCTTCATAATACTTCTAGCTTTCTTCTTCAACTCCAAATTTTTAATTCCTATTGTGGGGCGGGGGAGGGTGGGAAGAATATGTGGCGAATGGATGTGAAGTTTCCAAAGAGAAGCCCTCAGTGAGTTTTACAATACTCCCATTTAATTTTCCAAGGCACAGACTCACAGTATTCAGAAGGAGAGGGCCCGTGATGAAACACTTTCTCCTGCTTTCAGCCACTGGGGTCACCTAAACAGGAGAATATGGTGTGGTCACCAAGGCCCTTCAAAACAGAGGTTAAGTAAGGAATGAAAAACATGCCCTAAAAACAAAACAAACAAAAATCTTGAACTAAAAGGCACAAGATGTCAGAGATACTTTAAATATTAACAAGTGTCTATGCGACAGCATACCAAAAGACCAGCCTGGCTGAGAACCAACTCAGCGTGAAAGCCATGAAGTGCCACCCTGCACCTCTGACCGGTCCAAACAATGCCTTGAAGCCGGCCGTGTGACCCATACACTTCAACTTCAGATAGGATCTTAAGCCAATCAACCTAACCCCCCTTGTCCCCATCATGAGTCTTTTAAACAAATGTGAGTTACTCAAGTCTGCAATCAAATGAACGCTTTTATCAAACAATTTAAATCACAATTACTAGGCTTTTCACAGCGCGAAATTCTTTTAAAGAAAAATGCACATGTTAATTGAATCAAGGCAGTTTGGGCAGTTCTTGTATTTCAGCATTTTCACCATTAACCTATCCTTATAAGTTATCTCTACCAGGCTTCTCAAAGTGCAGGCAATTAACTAAAGCTTTAATTAGGAGTGGAGAAATCAGAAAACAGCCAAATGGTCTCTATGAGGAAGACTTGGGCATTACCATAGCCACAAGGCCATTTCTAGCCACAGCTCCACGTCTCTTGGAGAATGCTGTTTCCCAGCAGTCGTTACAGGAGGGGAAACATAAGTTGCACGGAGCACTGGAGAGTGAAGAACGGGTCCACTGAACCAAACACTGGCAAAGAAAGGCTCAACTCACTCCTGCTGTCCAGTCACATCCCTGTCTCTGGACAAACTGCATTCTTTTTTGCTGTTGTTTCATTTCTTTTTTTATATACAGATTAAAAGCCTAGATTTGTAAACTTTTTTGTTTTTTTAGAGACAGGGTCTCGCTATGTTGCCAGGCTGATCTCGAACTCCTGGCTCCAAGCAATCCTCTGGAGTGGCTAGAACTACAGGTGCGTGCCACCGTGCCCACACACTGCTTTAACAGTCCACACACAGCCATCTGCCCTTTCCCTCCTGATGATACTCATCCAATGATGCCTTCGCCATGCACTAAAAGCCTGGAGAAAATGGCCTGGAAATCTACTGAATGCAAAGAAGCTCTAAAGCCACAGCTCACCTAGTGAGCTGCCTCTTCACAGAGAATGGATGGAAGCCAGAGAAGGGAAAAGATGTAAGGAAAAACACAAGGGAGGCAAAACGAGCTGCAGGAGGGCTTCAGGTCAACACCAGCCTTCACGCAAAGTCTCCAGGAACAACCTGTGAGCAAGGCAGGTGTCCCTACAACAGGGTGGAAGGGAAAGCGGAAGGTGAATTTAAAAAGGAAATGCAGGGGTACTAAACGCCACCAATTTGCACTGGTTCACAGACATGCCTTCCCAAATAGTAACCAGGCCACGATTTCTGAGTCAATAAAAAACACAGGACACCACTCAGGACAATGACAACAAAAAGCCCGGACAGCAAGGTTTGAGAAAACACTGTTATTTGATTGCCTCATCTTTCCTCAAGTCAATTCAATTCATCATATACTTATAGGAGCATCTCTTTACTAGATCTGTGTAAAAGAAAAAATTACTCTGACGCTTATTAAAATGGTGAGGAAGACTTTCCCAGGACTACTGTGACAGATGCTAAGACTATCCTAATAGGGGAAGGAGACGGAGCTCAACTCAGAAAACACAGGGCAGCTGGGGACTTAGCACCAATGCGCAGAGGGAGCAGGGTCAGTGGATGGAAAATAACTCACAGGAGACAGCAAGGGGAGGGGGATTCTTGCTGAACGTAGGCCGGGGGAGGAGAGCTCAAGGGTGGGAGGTTGTAGCTAAACTGACTTAGCAGAGCTATGCAGCCTGAAGACAGGACCCAAGAAAAAGGCCTAGTCAAAAAGAGGACTCGAAGGAGACTGAGTAGCATCTGGTCAAGGAGATGGTCATTGTCATCTGGGCTAGGCTCTGTAATGGCCACAACTAAAGTCCTCCTGGCCGCTCCACCTCAAACCTTCCCACCAGTCCTGTCACCTGGTCATGTCACTTCTCCACTCCCAACTCTGCGGTGACTGTACAGCTCTGAGGACTGGCCTGGCATTCAAGGCCCAGCTCCCCAGCTGACCCTCTCCTCTGCTTTCAACCAGTGGGGTCACCTAAACACATCCCACACTTCACTTCCCCACCACTAGAATGTTCTCAGTGCCATCTGGCCATCTGTCAAAATCCTTACTCCCTTCAAGATCTGGTTCTAATTCCAATGCCTCTGAAGCTTTCTCAGATACCCCAGCAGGACTGGACCTCCTCATCCTCAATGAGTCCACGGGACATTCTCTCTGTACCAGTAACTAGATTATTTTTTTAATAGCATTTAGTCCTATTTGAACTATGAGCTCCTGAAGGACAGGAAGCCTGGCCTGGGTCACTCTACATCCTTCACAACACCCAGAACAGTGCCTTCCTCTGGTCTTTATGTTCTCAACTTCATGGAGGACATTCTTTCCTCCTTTGCCATAAAAATAAAAATTTCTTTCAAATGAGTTAATAAAACTCCACAGACTCAAAACTAATAATTGTTTTTTATCTATCAGGAATATTAAGTATGAAATGGATGATTCCCACTATACGCAGCAGGAAAAAAATATAAAAAGAGTTCCTATCTTGAAAGATCTTGTAGTTACATATCTTCTAAATTTTCTGCAATAAACATATATTCCTTTTACAAACATATGTTCCTTTTATAATGACATAAAATGTCATTTTGAAAACATTTTAATGGAACAAATAATAAATGTTATAGGAATAAATGTTATAGAAGGCTGCGATTCCTGTGACTAGGAACAGGCAATGAGACAGTCATGGGAGAAGTGAGGCCAGCACCAGCCAGGCCATGAAGGGTGGTAGATAAAAACAAAAGGAAGAGGGAAGAAGAGGAACGGTAGCAGAGCGGGGAGTAGGAGGGGGATAACAGGAAGAGGGAGGAGGGGCAGGGAGAAGAATCACAAAGTGACAGTTATGTCTACCACTGACTGAGAACCTGCTTGATCCCAGGCTCCTTCCAAGCATGAGCTTGTCTATCCTTGCCGCCATCCAGTAAGGCAGGTACTATCATTCCCATGTTAAAGATGAGAAGACTAAAAACTAGGGTAATGTTAAATATGGTGAACCCCAAGTTTCTCTTCAAAGAATCAGTATGTCAGTAGGTTCAGCTCTCTTATTCTTTGATTCTCCATTTTAAAGTTTAACTTCCTGGTTCTCATCGCCCACTTGCTTCTAGGTTCAGTAAACAACCTTCCGGCCAGTCCTAATCAGTAGTTCACATCTGTTCCCCTGGTCATCTGCTCTGTCCTGACTCATTCCGGTCATCTGCTTTGACCTGAGTCACCCTTGGTCACTTGCTCTGACCTAAGTCACCTTTAGTTACCTGTTCTTAACTGGCCTTCCCGCCAAACTACTCACCCCGCCACTCTGCCTCATACCCATGACCTCTTTAAAATAGCCAATCAGAATTGGCTTAAACTGTGCGGTCCAACCCTAGCCAATAGGGGAACAACATAGCAGTAGGGGCTACCTGCATCAGGAATAAGAACCCCTGCCCCTCCCCTGTCCAGGTGTGCTCTGGCCATTGTTCCATCTGCAATGAGCACCCTTTCTGCAGAAAGTAAAAATTGCCTTGCTGAGAGAATTAAATTTATGTTTGAGTGCTATTTCTTTGCGGCACTGGGGAACAAGCATTTCATTTCTAACAATAACTTGCCCAAAGTCACACATCTCATCCATCTAGTAAGTGGTGGAGTCTGTACTCTTTCCACTTTAAGAATATTTCAACTGGGTTCCGTGTTCCCAGAGGGATTCCTGGACACTTGGCCTCAGGCCCCAACTCAGCAGGGCCCTGGGTTCCCACTCATCTTCAACCTCAGCAATTCCACTTTAATTCATGTTATGTATCTTGAGCATTTACATGTCATTAAAAATAATAATAATAATACAGGAGTTCCATGACTTCCCAAACTAAACAACAGTTTGAAAATCACCGCCCTATGCCACATTGCCAAGTACAAAGGCATCTTTGGCAGCAAGTGTGCTGAGCTGGGGGTTACTGAGGGAAGAAGAGGTCTGCCCTGCACATAGGCTGGGAAGCAGAGGGAAATGAGACTGCAACTCTAAGGCCCAGAAAGTTCCAAGGCACTGAAGTAAGGGAGAGGTAAGGGAGCCCTTTTATCAGGTGACAACTGTCAATCATTGGTTCACACCAAAACCAAATCTGTAGGCACATCCTCAAAGCAGCCAGTATTTAAATAAAAACTTAAGAAAATCTGTTGTTTTCTTTAGGGCTAGCTTTGATATAAAAAATTTCAAATACCAAAATAAACACAACAGATAAGCAGCTCTATTTTAAAACCACCTGAATGTGTGCCAATCTTGCAAAAGAACATGGGTTTCCTCAGCAGCCTGATCCTGGGATGGAAATACCGTCTGCTGGCACACCAGGCATCCTGGGCAACTATTTTGGGGTGTTTTGCCATCCTAGGTTTGCTTCCTACTAATTAATCATTGCAAGGCATTTAGACAAGGTCAAAACTAATTGACAAGAATTTATCTATATTCAGCCACAAGTGCATGGGATAAAGCAAGATCAAATTATGCTACTGTGCTTATTTAATTTGTATGCCATATTTTGTACAAACATAATCTGATAGTTCTCACATTTTGAAAGTATAATCCTTAAAAGCGAGCCAATGAATGCCTGGTAGGAGATCTTCCTCATTTTCCATTTACTAAACACTGAGCTGATTTATGACTAAGTGATACTCTGTTTAGCAGAGAGCAGTCTTCAGATAGATAGGAAATAATTCACTTTGTTCATTTTGTTCTATGCTCATGACCAATATCAGACGATGCCTTTATGAGAGAAGGCAACAATAACACATTCTTATTGCATACCCAAGTTTTCTTCCAAGCATGAAGAATTGAACTTGGCATTTCACAGTTTTATGGAAGTCAACATAAAAGGGTTTTTGAGTTCTCACTACTTTAAGAGTCACAATTCTCAGCCGGGTGTGATGGCTCATGCTTGTAATCCCAGCACCTTGGGAGGCCAAGGTGGGCGGATCACAAGGTCAGGGGTTCAAGACCAGCCTTGCCGACACAGTAAAACCCATCTCTACTAAAAATACAAAAATTAGCTGGGCATGGTGGCAGGCGCCTGTAATCCCAGCTACTTGGGAGGCTGAGGCAAAAGAACTGCTTGAACCCGGGAGGCAGAGGTTGCAGCAAGCCGAGATCATACCACTGCACTCCAGCCTGGCAACAGAGCTAGACTCCGTCTCAAAAAAAAAAAAAAAAAAAGCACAGTTTTCTATTTCTTAGTTTGTTCATAAGTAAAATCAGGGAGTTGAAAGAGTTCCCTTTAGCTCAGCAAACACTTACTAAGCACCATATATGTACACCAGGGGCTGTGGTAATGCCAGGATTCAAAGATGAAACGAACAGTGCCTGACCTTGAGAAGTCTGTAAAATGTAGTAGACTACAGTAGTAGTAGCAGTAGTAGTAGTAGCAGCAATAAAATATATATAAACAGACAACTTCTAATATAATCTGATATAGATGAGGGTTCTAAGGAAACACAGAAAGAGAGCCTGTCCTAGGCAGAATAACGTCCCCAAAGATGTCCTCGTCCTAATCCCTGGAACCTGCAATCTTACATGGCAAAGGGGAATTAAGGTTGCAGATGGAATTAAAGTTGTTAATCCACTGACTATAAAACAGATGTTCCTGGTATTATCTGGGTGAGCCTAAAGCAATCTCCTTAAAAGTGGAAGAAGAAGGCAGAAGAGACAGGGATGTGCTGACAGAAGTACACTCCAGACATGGTAGGCCACTGACTTTGGAAACAGGAGGGGGCCATGAGCCAAGGAACGCAGGCAACCTCTAGACACTGGAAAAGGCAAGGAAACAGATTCTCCCTGAGAGCCTCCAGAGGACCTCAGCACTGCCAGCCCTTTGATTTTAGCCTAGTGATACCCAGGTCAGACTTCTAAACTAGAGAAGTATAAGATAATGCATTTGTATTGTTTTAAGCCAGAAAGTGCATAGCAATTTGTTGTGGCAGCAGCAGAAAATGAACACAGAGCCTTTCTGTTGGAAAATGCAATTATTTATATGTCAAAAGAGAAAACGCAATTATTTATATGTCAAAAGAGAATACTCATTCCATCAGCCACACCCAACAAGGAGAGGAAGCTCATTAAACCTAAAGCTGGGTGCAAAAATGCAAATGTTGAGTGGTATATAGCCATCATGTGACACTAAGTTTCCAGCCTGCTCCCAGAACATCTTTCATAGACTCACCAGTCAACAGAGCTGTGATGTGGAAGACAAACTACTTGCCAATACAAGGCCATTAACTATTCATACAGAAACTGCAGTGCCACCTAGTACTTCTGTGCCACATATATAAGTGTTCATCTGGGCCTTCTGAGATGTCTGCTCTCAGACAATCTATTTTGTTTCAGCCTTTGTCAGCCAACACTCTACAAATATAGCCTACCTATATACTCTACAAATACACTCTCCAAATACAAATGGAGCACAACATTTAAATGTGATACCAGGAAAGGCTGCAGAAGACAGCCCACCCCTGGCCTGGGGCCAGAGCATCTCCTTCTCTAGAATTGCTCTCCAGGAGTCAAATATAGCCCCACAGTTACCTGTCAGGCCACATTCTGAAATGCTAAAGGAACATGAAAACACACAAAGGGGCTGCTTCCTCCTGGACACTGGCCCAGCATTTGTTCACTTACTTGAGATGACTCAACTAAGTCATCTCAAGTAAGTGAACGTGCACAAAGGCAGAAGAACTAAGGCCAGAGGGGAAGGGCCATACCTAATTTGGCTATTTTCAGGAAAGCTGTGCTTCAGTATGGAATCCTACAGCTGTGTTCAGAATCCACCAAAGATCTGTGACTTTAAATATTCTTACGTGGATCTTGGCAGTGAGTTCACTCAGGAAGAAGATGCTTAATTCTACATGCTATACATTAACTACTAAATGTATTTACACAAAACCCAAACATTTATCTTGCTTTATAAAATACACTTAGAAAACTCCACACAGTAAGTTTTTAAATAATAAGCAAACTGTATGTGCATGAGCACTTTTCAGAACACATGCACACCTGCACTCCCCTCCTCCCTTTTGTGGATTCCTTTCCTTTCTTTACCCACCTCTTCTTGGCATTATCCCCTGGCATCCTCCCTTGTTTATCTGATCAATCGACAGTTTGGAAGCCATTCTTCCCACCATCCTTCTCCCACATCTGCCCCACATACAACATGGAGCAGGCAGTCTCATGGCGGCCCAGAGCTCACTACTGTCCAGCTGTAGAGCAGCCTCCTCTGCATTTCTATCCAGAAGGGGCAGAACCCTGAAGCCTCAGAACCACCATCATCACCAGGCATTCTTATGGGAGCTCCCGCAACCCCTCAGCAAGCTACATGGGGAAGGAACTCAGCATCCTGAGGAGGAAAAGGACTATCTCACTGGCAGTAACTTTTTTAAAGCAATCAATCATAAGTTTTGGTGTTTTCCTTTGTTCATAAGTTAATCAAAGAGGAATGGGAGATTTTTTCCTGTGTATTTTTTAAGTCAGTCTCATTTCTCTCCCATAAAAGTTCAGAATAGATTCACCTCTAGAATAAAAGGACAGTGGAATTCCTCTCAGTAGTGTAGTATGTTGGCAGCTCAGGGGGAGCATAAAATGGTACTAGCTATGTTTTGGCCCAACAGCAGGAAATCACTGAAGGCCTGCTGGTGTTCACTGAAGAATGTGAACGTGCACAAAGGCAGCACTGCATTTGGGCCACTGCCAGCTTTTCACTCCCAACGCTTTCAGAGAATTGCACCATCCCCCACCCCTCCATAAAAACCAAACAACAAACAAAAAAACAGGTTTTACTAAAGACCTTCATTATTAAAAATCAATGAAGGAATCTTGACATATCTAAGAATGCATTTTCCACACATAATCAATCCTACAAAAGTAACAATATACTGTAAATGCCTCATTTGAAGATTAGTTCCCAGAAAACCTCCAAGTTTCCTTCAACTCGGTCAATATTGGAAGGCCGTACACTGCAAGATGAGCTCACACAAGTCACCACCATGTGGACTCCCGAGTCCATTTAAGTCATCAGTTTAGGGAAACCTGCATTCTCATATTGTAAAAGCCAATAATAAAGTATAGTATTTTTATAATGGAAACTGACATAATGGGATACTGCTTATATACAATAAACTTTAAAGCTCCAAACAACAAATACTCCCTTAGACTCAGTCACTACTAAAGAACAATCAAGTCTAACTTTGGATATCAGAGGCCCCTTCCTCACCTGCCATCTTCTAAGAACCAGGATGCATAGCTCTCTTAAGAGAGACCTGCAGGATGAGAAAAGCTGCCATGCTTTACCGGGAAATCCCTTTCCATTCTGGACCTGCCTTTTCTCTAGCACAAAGGTTAAAGGGAGCTAAGGACAAAAAAGGTTCCAGAGACTCTGACACGATACGAAGATTTAAAAAAGATAAATTCACAGAATGTAATGTATGACTTCTCAACAAGCCGGCCCCAAGTTAAGCATCCCCAGGTCAGTAGCTCTCTTCTATAGGAACGTGACACAAATTTTTGGCTAAATCTAGCAGAATTACATATCCAGAGGTCCAAAAGCGCACGCTATTCCTATCCCTCTGTTTCCCATTTCAATCAGATTGCTGGGGAAAAAAAAAACAGAAAGACAAAGGAGCAAGACACTTAAAACATGAGACGCATTAGGACAGATATGTAGTGACATTCAGAGCTCACACATGCTTATGGTAAATTCTGTTTTTGTGCTCAATGAAATCCCTAAGATGATGCTGACCTTTTCTCTTTCAAGAGGCTGAGCAAAAGGCTGGTATCACTCCTCAACAAAATAACTAAATATCTCATTCGTGGAAGAGGAGATCACAAAGTTCTCATTTATGGAAGGCACCCCAAGACTGGACGGTTCTGATGACGCACACTGCAAAGGGCAACTGGGTTTTAAAACGTTCTTATCTATTATTAGGAAGATTACAGTGAAACTCAATTTCACGTGTTTTAAAGAAATATCAGGTATTGGTAAGAATATGGGGCAACTGGAATATTCTCACCTTTGCTTCTGGGAGTATACAGTGGCATAACCACTTTGGAAAACTGTGGACAAAGCATTCCATGTGTTAATTAAAATTTGCAGGTACCAAATGATATTATGCCTCAAGTTTAGTTTTTAATTTTAAACACAAATAAAAACTAAAGTGGTCACACAGGGATCACAATCACTGAACTAACTTCATTTACCTGAATCACCCATTTAGTACAGGAGTACCACAGGAGTTGGAAATACAAATGATGTACAAATAATCCTTTATTGCTGGCAAACGGTGAGGGAGGGAGGGAGACCACTCGCATATCCCTGCTCTGGGTTAATCACCTTCTGCAAATTAGGGCTAAAAAGGATAAACAATAAGAGTATGATAATTTGAATTCACATATTGCTATACTTGAGATTTAATAGTATCAAATCACAATAATGAAAGATACAAGTAACCAGATTATGAGCCACTATCAATTCTCAATCCATCGATAGCTGTTATGTACCTGGATCTCTGCTACTATCTTTCTGCCACACTCACTATAAAATACAGATAAGCTCAATCCATATGGTAGGAACGAAGGCTGTAGATCTGACATTGTGCATTAATCTGAGTTCCTAGAGATGACTGCCTTTAGCTGAAATGGTGCCCAAAAGGAACTCATCAGTCACCTGAGCACAGGCAGGAACTTCCTGAGGCAAATGTGGGTATGGACCATGGCAGAAATTAGATAATCCCACCAAGGCATCAATTGAGGAGCCAACAGAATTCTCAGACGGCAGGCCTGCTGTCTCGGAAGCCCACGGAAGCAATTTGTGAGGAAAGCTCTTCCCACAAACCTAAACTGAAAGGGTCCCAGGGGCACCTTGTCCCTGGGGGAGAAGGACAGGCAAACTATGTGCCCAGGACTGGCCTGGAGTCATCTCCACACATGAGTGTATAGACCCAGATGGACTCACCCTATGTGAGTCGTGATGTGTACCCACCCCGCCCCTCCACTGCAGGGCCACTCGAAAGCCAAGTAGCTGTGAAAGGAAAACAAAAACTTGGGACTCCAATTCAATATGTCAAAAGGAGAAATATTAAGCTGAAAGCTAAGTCATGCAAGATGCTGCCTTTCCTTTTGTTCCTACGTAGATAGCTACTGATAAAACGTTAAGTATCTCCACAGGCGGCTACTCTATGTTCACCTTATCTAGGTAAAGTGTTGATTTACTGAGTTCCAGAGGAATACGTAACTGACTATTCCCCTACCTGCTCCTTTTCTCTTGCAACATGTGGATTCAGTAATACCCTACCCTCTTTCCCCTTCAGCCTGCTTTTCCCCTTTGAATACTAATGCCCTCAAAATCATCTTTGGAGAAAAGCACAGACTATAAACTGCTTGTGTGATGCCATGTTTTTTTTAATCCCCGTCATTGTCCTTAATCTTAGCAAAATAAACTTCTAAACTGATTGCGACCTGTCTCAAATACTTTTGGGTTTATATAGCTATTCTGCTAAAATATGAAGGGGAAGGAAACCCTCCTTTAATCAGAATTTATGGTGAGGGAGTTGTAATTGTTTCCCAGTGTGCTGTCTGTGAAACATCATCAGAAAATGTGTTTAACAGAACATTTCATAGTTAAGTTTAGGAAATGTTACTTAATATATATATATATATATTCTTACTCTCATTCCCCACAATGCATAATACAATTTACCATTGACCATATAAAGTGCTTAGAGTAGTGCAGGAAAGAAACCTGCTTTACTCTAAGCCAGGTTTTTCCCAATCTTAGTTGATAAATCTTTTTTCTACCTAAAAGTACTGTCCCCAATCTAGCTTGATCTTAAAAATCATCTAGGACTATTATGTTAAAACAAGATTCCCCGATCCCTTTATCAAAAACTTTAAGGGAGGGGTCAGGTAGCTTAACAGGCACATGAGGTGACACAATCAGAACAGTTGAGAAAATATTGATAAGCTAACATTTGGCCAGAAATACTTTCTTCTTTTGAAAATGTTTCAGGCCAGGCACGAGGGCTCATGCCTGTAATCCCAACACTTTGGGAGGCCAAGGTGGGCAGATCACCTGCGGTCAGGAGTTTGAGACCAGCCTGGCCAATATGGTGAAACTCTGTCTCTACTGAAAATACAAAAATTAGCTGAGCGTGGTGGCGGATGCCTGTAATCCCAGCTACTCGGGAGGCTGGGGCAGGAGAACTGCTTGAACCTGGGAGGCAAAGGTTGCAGTGAGCCGAGATTGTGCCACTGCACTCCAGCCTGGGCAACAGAGCAAAACACCATCTTAAAAAAAAAAAAAGAAAAGAAAATGTTTCTAAAAGTTTCTAGTTCAATTTCCTACTTTACTAAGTTTCATACGCTGAATATTGATTCAACGTCATTATTCTAAGCACTGTTATCCATTTACAGTCACCCCTAGGTCATCTGCAGGTGACTGGTATTTGGACAAACACCAAAATCTGTGCATGCTCAAGTCTCCCCATCGGAGCTGTAGAACCCACAGATACAGAAAAAGGCAGTTCTTGGTCACGCAGGTTTTGCATCCCGAAATATTGCGTTTTCGATCCATGTTCAATTGAAAACAATCCACATATAAGTGGACTAATGTGGCTCAGACCCAAGGTGTTCAGGGTCAGCTGTGTAGTACTAAGGGTACACAGAGTGTAGTATGGTTGACTCTCTACTGGTCATGAGTATATCACAGCAGCAGTTTGTTTGTTTGTTTTTTACCTTTTGGATTTTATTTTCACTAAGTTAATCATAATAATAACAACAATTATAATTACTGAGCTCTTAAATGTACTGTCTCCCATAGTTTTCACAACAACCTTATGAGAAAAGTACTGCTGTTATTTTTCCCATTTTGAGGAAATGAAGAAGCCGGCCATGCAAGTTTAAGTAACTTGCCCTAAGTCAGTGTCTCAAGCTCAGCACTACTGGACAACTGGGCCCGGTAATTCTTTACTGGAGGGGTAGAGGGGCTGTCCTGTGTACCACAGGACAGTTAGCAGGAGTCATGTCTTTACCCACAAGATGCCAATAGCAGCCCCCATCCAGTGGTGATAACTAAAATGTCTCCAGACCTTGCCAAATGTGCCCTGGGGGCAAAATCAATGGAGAAGCACTGTTCTAAGTGATGCTGGAGATGAGAGTCAAGAAGCCAGGGTTCTGGCTGAGGTCTTACCACTGCAAAGGCGCCACGGCCCCCTCCCAAGAGAAGGCATCAAGCCCCCTTTGCATGCTCCAAGCAAAGGAGCCGGCAGGAGCTCTTGCCTCTGTCGCACACACAGTCTGTCAGCACTGCAGACAGGCCTGAAGCTTGACAAATATCAAAGTGAGACAAAGCTGTACCAAGTGCCAGCAATTTCAGACACAGAGTAATCCTTCAGTACAAGTAATGCCCTGTGTAACTTTCTTCCTATCCTAACGGTTCCAGTTGCACATATGAAAGATTCTCAATCTCCTCACTTAAAAACGAATCACAGAAAAAGCCTTCGCCTACAACGGCATATCTAACACATTAGACACCCAGGAAGGAATATTTTTTAACACACCCTCCATGTATGAAAAAAATTATTTTCAGTAATAGTTATGTAAAAATCAGTAACTATTATTTTCTTGATTTGTTCTTTAGTTTTAAAACAACTGTCTTAAATGTGATAAGTTTTAATTTTACAGATATTATTTTTGCACTTACCAAGCAAAAATATTACACCTCATGGTTTGCATTCTGTTTCACTGTTGTAATTTTTAAGGACTCTTGGACAAAAACTCCAAGTGATCAAACAGAGTGACAATTATAGTCATCAGTAACACTATCATTTATTTCAAATCTACTGTTTAAAAACAGATATACGTAATACTACAGAGTTAAATACACAAGACTGTCCTAAGCAAGCTTTCTGAACAATTCTAAAGTCTTAAGAAGTTACTCTGGAAATGAATGCAAGCAGCTGAATCCCCATGTGTTTAGGGCTAATCTGACACCAGGAGTGTCAGATTTAACCTCCATGTTGCATACAGTATTTCTTTTTTTTTTTTTTTTTGAGACGGAGTCTCACTCTGTCACCCAGGCTGGAGTGCAATGGCACAATCTCAGCTCACCGCAACCTCCACCTCCCGGGTTCAAGCAATTCTCCTGTCCCAGCCCACCCCCTCCAGTAGCTGGGATTACAGGCACGTGCCACCACATCCAGATAATTTTTTGTATTTTTAGTAGAGACGGGGTTTCACCATGTTGGCCCGGCTGGTCTCAAATTCCTGACCTCAGGTGATCCACCCGCCTCGGCCTCCCAAAGTGCTGGGATTACAGGCATGAGCCATGGCGCTCGGCCTACAGTATCTATTAAAGGCTAAGTACTCAAGAAGTACTCACTTGAAGCTTACGTATCTATTATTAAAACTCAATAAAGCAATTATTTAGAACACCAACAAAAGATTTTGGGGGAAAGAATATCACCGACATTGTTTAGAACTGCAGGCAAAATTCTAGACATTTAGACTTTACAGGCAGACTTCTGGATGCTTTTATTACTGTTATTAAATCCTCCACAGACAATGCACCCCTCATCACCAGCACTGGAGCAGACCACTCCCACCACCCCAGCCTTGGGATGCCGCTGTCTGCCTATCAGAGTTAAAATGGTACTCGGACGCTTCAAGCCCAGAAAGTCAGTTGCAAAAGAATCAAAAGAATAAAGGAAAGAGAAAAGCCACAGAAAATCACAATAAAAGAAACAACGAAGGAGTGAGATCTCTTGGTTCCACTTCTAGCCTGACCTCAGCTGACCGTGTATGTCAGGCAAACTTTAAAACTTCTCCAGGCAGTGCAGCAGAGAGGGTGAAGTCACAGGCGGCTGGCTGCGGACTGGGAGACCCCAGGCAAGGTTCTTAATCTCTCTGGGCCTGTCAGTTTTCTCATCTTCAAGAGAGGAAATATATTTGTATCTAACCCCAAAAGGCTATTGGGAGGTGATAAAAGTAAAGCATGTGAAGTGCTCTATATGTGATAGTTGTACCTGGGCAATATCTTAAAATTACTAAATCTGGGTGAAATATAGAGACTCATCGTACTATTATCTTTAATTCTGTATAGTTTTGAAACTTTCTGAAATAAATGTTTGAAGTTAGTTATTATCAGGTTCCTTAAATACAACACGTAAGAGAAATAATCACCTCCAAGGTCTCTTTGGGCTTTAAAACTCTCTGATACATTCCACACTGGAAGGATAGGATTCCCAGGTGGAAATCAGGAGTGGGAGAGAAAGGGAAAGACATTAGAGAAATAAGCTGTGACCACCAGTCACCTCCTCAAGTAATCACTGCATAATCAATGTTTCACACATAAATGCTTCAATGATTGGACCCTGAGCTGACTCCAAGCATTCATTACAAAATACAAACCAAAATGGGAGCAGCACTTCCAGATCCAAGCCCTCGAGGATCTAAGACTGGTACCTGGCAGCCTCCTTAACCCAGTATCTGTTGGAGTTCAAGTCCTACTCGCTTCCAAAACAACATCTTCCAAGTGTAACCTAACCAATATCTGGGACAGTGTTCCAAGTCCAAACGTTCGAAACACAAAGTAGTCCTCCCATACAAACTGTTGACTAGTTCACATTTTTTTACTGCGCTGAGTGGAATGCTTCATATGACAGCCTGGGACTGATGAGTACTAAAATTCCTGGAGATGACAGCTATGTTTCTCCTCCTTGTGTGGTAAAGTGGGATTTCAAAGCCTCCAATAGACGGCTCCATCATCTGTTGGCCCAGCTAAGTTTCCTCCCAACAACTCTCAGGGTAAAAGGAAAGAAGGGGTAGGGGGTGGATAAAGGCAAAGGCAAGCACGAGAGAATTCTCAGTAAAAGAAAGCAACATCCCTGCATTCAGGGCCTTCCTGCACCACATTATCTTCTTTTCCCACAAGCTTCGCTTTGTTCTCAATAGGCCAACATTCTAAATCAGCTGAAACACATCACTTCGTCACCAGGAGGAAATGTGGAGTTCCAGGATATGCAGAGCTGTGATCATGCAGACTTCAGCTAAGTCAACAAGTTCTGCCAGTAGCTCACTCAATCACTTCCCTCGCTGGTTCTAAGTCTTGAATTTAGAATCAAATTGCTACTTGCTAGATCCCTTGAGAAAAGATGTCATTTCCTGTAATACAGAGTCTGGCTCCATTTCTGACATCTGACTGCTGTTTTCAGGCCCCACCGCTCCCCACCTTCCCCTTCTGCCCCCATCTGGGCAAGCTGATAAGAAAGCCTGGGGCCCCCTCCTTTGGCACTTGCAGGAAGTTCAAACCATCCAGGTCCAGGGGGGCAGGGAAGGAAGCCTTCGACCAGCCCCAACCCCTAATCATGTAAAAGCCAAGCCAGTCTCCTTTCCCTGCTCTCTCAAGACACTTTTGGACCCGAGAGCCTGCCTGCTCTCCCCCAAAAGCTTTACTATGTGAATAATTCACCTTTTCTTACTCTCTTGGTACATCGTGAGGTCTCATCAGGCTGACACGTGAACCAAACTTTGTGTGGGTCCATCCCACCTCTGTACAGTGGCAACAGCATTTCCCAAAGTAAAAGACCCTGCATACTCCTTTCAACCTTCATCCAAAAATGCATTGGTGCATCAACTCCACCAATGTCTCCCTTGACTCTGGCCATGAGAAACCTCTGTCTCAGCTTCTCACCAATAAAGCAAGCCTAGTGCAGTTGCAAACAAACCAGCATAAGTTAGGAAGCAGAGGCTCAGGACAGGTACCCATTCCACCCCTAACTAACCAGATGACTCTAGACAATTCCACTGCCATTTCTGGGTCTCATTTCCCTCACCTACTAAAGAAGTGTAACAGTACACCCTCTGTGCCTAACTAGTAAGATCATGGTAAGGATCGAACGGGGCAGGATGTGGAACAGCACTCTGCAAGCCATCCTGACTCACACATATTCTAACTCCCCCAGCACGTCCCGGGCTTCATCTCCCTCGCCCAACACTCAGCTCTGCTCTTCTACTGTCCTTCTAGCTCCGTGCTCAAACAGAAAAACCCTCCTAACTTTTCTCAACACACATACACCCCACCCTAGCCAAAAAAGCAACCACCGAGGGCTCCGGTAACCTCTTCTAGGAAGTCACCCATATAGACAACTTAGCACCAGCACTCTATTCTCACAAATTCTCCCAAAAAATCCTTTTTTCTTTTATATTGTAAAACAGTCAAGATCACACCCGCTGAAGCCAACCAAAAAGACACAGGCTCTCATCACACAGAAGTCAGAATTCTGGAAAACTCGTATCTACCACCATGAGCTTGAAAGCTTCCCAATAATTAAGACTTCTGAGGAGGTCAGGGATGATATTAGCAAATGTGATTTTAGACAGAATAATGAAATGAGTCAATATTTGGAAGATCTGCATAAATTAGTGAACCAATACTTTCCCAAATGACAAAGCATGATGACACAAAATCTTGCATGTGGTAAAAGGTCCATTTAAAGTATAAGACAGATCAATAAACTTTAACATAAATGATTTCAGATTCCACAGTGCAACTAACCTTTAATAAATTACCATTTGTCACATTTTGAGGTAGTGTCAAAGAATATCCATGTTATCTTAAAAGTCCATAAAACAATACTCCTTTCTTTTCCAATCACATCTGTGTAAGGCTGAATTTTCTTCACATACTTTCACAAAGCAACATAGCACAAAAGACTGACACAGAAGCACATATGATGTTCTTGCTGCCTCCTACTAACCAGACATTAAAGATATAATAGAAATGTAAGGTAATGCTACTCTTCTTACTTAATTTTTTGTTTTGAAGATTTTTTAAAATAAAAATGTATGTTAACATATAATGGTTACATTATAATGTTATTTTTTAAATTAGTATATTTTTATTACAAGTTTTAATTTCTAATATGATATCTACAGACATAAAAATTCTTCTCTACAATTTCCATTATTGAGTTGTAATTCACATGCCATCAAATTCACCACTTAAATAGGTACAGTCATGCTTCCTTAATGACAGGGATATGTTCTGAGAAATGTATTGTTAGGTAATTTTGTTGCTGTGCAAACGTCATAGAGTGTACTTACACAAACCTAGATAGTCATAGCCTACTTCACACTTGGTTATATAGGACAGCCGGTTGTTCATAGGCTACAAATCTGTACAACATGTTAATGCCCTGAATATTATGGGCAATCGTAACACAATGCTAAGTACTTGTGTATCTAAATATAGAAAAGGTACAGTAAACATATGGTATAAAAGATTAAAAATGGTACACCTGCATAGGGTACCAATCATGCATGGAGCTTGCAGGACTGGAAGTTGCTCTAGGTCAGTCAGCAAGTGAGTGCTGAGTCAATGTGAAGGCTGAGGACATTACTGTACACTACTGTCAACTGTATAAACACTGTACACTTAGGCTACACTAAATATATATTTTTTTAAAAAGTAATTATACTATGACATTACGGCAACACTCAGCGATAGGAATTTTTCAGTTCCATTATAATCTTATGGGACCACCATTGCATATGCAGTCAATCCTTGACCAAAACATCATTATGTGGTGCCTAACTGTACAATTCAGTGGTTTTTAGTACATTCACAAAGTTGTACAATCATCACTGCTATGTAATTCCAAAACATTTTCATCACCCTAAAAAGAAACCCCAAACCCTTTAGCAGTCACTCCCATCCTCTTCTCCCCCCATCTCTGGCAACTACTAACCTACTTCCTGTCTCTATTAGATTTCCCTGTTCTGGACATTTCATATACGTGAAATCGTAATATATGTGGCTTTTTATGACTGGCTTCTTTCACCTACCATAATGTTTTAAAGGTTCACCCATGTTGTATCAGGTATCATTACTTCCCTCCTTTTAACGGCTAAATAATACAGGCTGAGCATCCCTCATCTGAAATGCTTAGGACCAGAAATGTTCTGGATTAAAGGCTTTTTCGGATTTGGGAACATATGCATTATATGCTTATCAGCTGGCCATCCCTAATACAAAAATCCAAAATCTGAAATGCTCCAATGAGTGTCTCCTTTGAGCATCATGTTGGCACTCAAAGTTTTAGATTTTGGAGCATTTCTGATTTTGGATTTTCAGATTAGGAATGCTCAACCTGTATCCCATTGTATGGATATACCACATTTTGTTTATCCATTCATCCACTGATGGACATTTGAGTTGTCTTCACCTTTTGCCTATCACCAATAATGCTGTGTACATTTGTGTATACATTTTGTATAAACATGTTTTCAGTTATCTTCGGCATACACCTAAGAGTGGCACTGCTGCGTCATACGGTAACTTCATGTTTAACTTTTTGATGAACTATCAAACTGTTTTCCTCAGTGGCTGCACCATTTTATACCAGCAATGTATGAGAGTTTCAATAATTTTTAACACTATACATGGTGTCCTGTGACCAAAAAGTTTAATAACTGCTGTGCCAGGTTGAGGGATGCTGAGATAAAAGTCTCCTTCCGTATGAGGTCATCATGTGCTACAGGAGCTCAGGCTTAGAGACAGAATACCTGAGCCACGACCCCTCAGAGCTTCCAAGGCACGGTACAGGGAATGACTTTACTGCACCCAGCCCACCCCAGGTATGAGCAGTCCTCCTTTCGGTGTCTTCCACTGGTGCCTGGGGCTCTCAAGCCACAATGCCCACCACTCTATTCTCACCCTTTTTTACTTCTCACCTCAGTGTGTCTTCTCTCCCTCTTGCTTCTGCTGAGCTCCTTCCACACACCTGTCAGGTCATCACGCCTTCGCCTCCTTTCCCTTCCTGATGCTAAGAACCTGCTTCACCTATAGACACAATTTCTCTCAACTCCTTGTAGGTTTTGTGCTGCTCCAGAATCCCAAGGGTAGACCCTCTGTGAGTGAGGTTTGCAATATTTATTACATCTGTGAGGCAGCAAAAACTAAGACTTCCCTATACTGAAAGCAAGCCTCTGGTGACTTCTGGAGAGAACAGTTTTCCTGAACTTCAGTACCCCACAAAATTCAAACAAGATGACTCAATACTTAGAACATTTCCCCATAACCTGTGAATATATTACCTCATATAGCAAATGGGAATTAAGGCTGCAGATGGAATTAAAGCTGCTAATCTGCTGGCTTCAAGGTAGAGAGATGAGCCCAGATTTTCCAGGTGGACCCAACATAATCACAAGGATCCTAAAAAGGGAGGCAGGAGAGCCAGAGAGAGAAGATGTGAGAACTCCATCTACCACTGCTGGCTTTAAAGATGGAGGAAGGGCCTGAAGCCAAGGAATGTGAGCAACTTCTAGAAGCAAGGAAAAGGCAAGAAAATAGATTCTCCCCTAGAGCCCACAACAGGAAACACAGCCTACTGAAAGCCTGATTTCTGCCCACTGAGTCCTGTGTCAGACCTCCAACCTACAGCACTATACAATAATAAATGTGTGTTGTTTACGCCACCAACTCTGTGGTAATTTGTTATGGCATCAATAGAAAATTAACACAGTATAAGTCCTTCTTTAAAAAAAAAAATGTACTTTAAAGAATCACCCCCTCCCTAGTCTCATACCCCAACTCATTTCATAAGATAGAGGCCCTGACCTGGCCACACTCTTTTCCCTTGAGATTGTCAACTTCCTTTCTTACAGTCTGAGAACCCTTTTTTCCATCAAATGACAAGCATCCGAGAAGCTGCATAGTATCACTTAGTGACAAGTGTTGACAATTTGCCTCTGTCTTCTCTGCATCCTCATTTTAACAATCCAAAATTTCTTCCATGGACAATTAGTTCATTTTCCATCCCCTTTTTTTCCCACTATCTTTAACATATGTAGCTACTTTTCAGAGACACGTATATTAGAATCTCTAGTATGCTATAAATACAAAATGATTCAGAGATATATTCATAAACATGGACACACCTGACAAACCAAGAAACAGTTCACAAAGACCACAGTTGCATCGCCATTCAATGGAATACTTTTAACGGGCTCAATGAGGAAACCATATCCCACCTGCAACTGCAAAACATCTCCATACAATATATTGGTTGAAAGTGTTGTTTGTCCCTAGTCTCTGCAACAAATAAGACACATTTTACAGCACTAAAAATTAATATGTACTCATTTATCACAAGATGAGAGATAAAACCCCTGTGACTGGCCGTGGAGATCAACAGGGCACTCTGATGAAACATTTATATTGGTTTGTCAAGTTCTCCTAGAGAAAGCTTCTTTTCCTGTTTCCTATGAGGAGACATCTGTGTTCCTGAGAAACTGGAAGGATTGGCTACCTGGAAACAATGTCAAATGTATTAAAAATTAATAAAAAAAATTAACCCCATGGTATCATTCCATCTCTGGCTAAACTATATAATATGTACACTTCACACAACTGCTGCACTAAAACTTCTAGGCCTCACCATTTGTTCTACAAAGGAAAGGGCCAAAAATATAAATCATTCAATATGTCCAGAGTTCTGTGGGCAAAAACAATGCAAAGGGGCTTTAATTGGGAAAACGCTGTAAGCTGCACCTCTTGCTATAAATGTTATGAACACCTTATTATGTGTCATTTCCAACCAGTTCCCAATTTTCAAAAAACTGTACAAAATGATACTTCCTTCTATGCAATTAACATGAAAAAAGTTATTTGTATGGGGCACTTGAGAAAACAAGTTAATACAGCTGATCTTTGAACAACTCAGGGGTTAGGAGAAACAACCCCTTCATGGAGTTGAAAATCTGTGTGTAACTTTTGACTCCCCAAAAACTTAACTAATAGCCTCCTGTTGACTGCAACCCTTACCTATAACACAATTAATACATATTTTGTATATGTATATACTATATTCATACAACAAAGTAAGCTACTGAAAAGAAACTGCTATTAAGAAAAATCATAAGGAAGGGAAAATAGATTTACTATTCATTAAGTGAAAGTGGATCATTATAAAGGTCTTCATCCTAGGCATCCACAGGTTGAAGGAAGATGAGGAAGAAGAGGGGTTGGTTTTGCTGTCTGCAGGGGAGCAGAGGCATAAGAAAATCCATGTATAAGTGGACCCAGTTATAAGAGGTATGCCGTTCCTCTTTACTATATATATAGACCCATGTTAGAAATACAAAGTAAAGTACACCATCCTTGCCCTCAACATAAGTGGGGTGGGAGGTGAGCACACTCCTCCACCACTCACCATCCATCCAGGTGCTCAACCCAACACTGCTGGGTGGCAAGGAATCCATTGCTGACAGCTGCAGCATGGTCTACTAAGCACCTACAATGGAGTCAGCCTAGGTCAAATGCTTTACAGGCTTTGTCTCATTTATTCTCCTAACAGCCCTAAGAAGTAGGTTTCATTATCCCCACTCTGTAAATTAATTAAATGAATAGAGAGACAGGATGCAATCACCCAAAACCGCACCAGGAAGAAGCAGGGCCAGGATTCAAACTCAAGACTGCCTGACTCAGGCTTGTCTTCTGATACTTCATTAAGTTTTCTTACTACATTTTATTACATTTAAAATTATCCCTGGATTTTAAAATCCTTTCAGTTTACAATCTAGCAGAGGAAATAAGAGCATGAATAAAAATAACCACAACTGGCCAGGCATGGTGCCTCATGCCTATAATCCCAGCACTTTGGGAGGCTGAGGCAGGTGGATAACCTGAAGTCAGGAGTTTGAGACCAGCCTGGCCAACATGGTGAAGCCCTGTCTCTAAAAAATACAAAAATTAGCCAGGTGTGGTGGCAGGCGCCTGTAACGCCAGCTGCTCGGGAGGCTGAGGCAGGAGAATGGCTTGAACCCAGGAGGTGGAGGTTGCAGTGAGCTGAGATCGCGCCATTGTACTCTAGCCTGGGCAACAAGAGTGAAACTCCGTCTCAAAATAAATAAACAACTGTAAGCAGTAGCTCTCTATGAAATGGGATACACAGTTAACTGACACAGAACAGACACAAAAGAGGAAGGTGGGGCAGGAAGGGCTGATGCCCAGCAAAAGTACAAGCCAGAGTGAGCAAAGGCACGTAATCAGGAAACAATGTAGGGAGTGCTCAGAGAATGACAAGTGGAATAGAGAGTCTGAGAGGGCCAAGAGTGAGAGAAAGGCCAGAGCTGGCTGAGCCACACTTCATGCATGACCTCCGCACACCCTGGAAGGCCCGAGGCTGATCCCAGGGACTCAGAGTGAATCGTCTAAGGATTCACAGGACTAAGACCACAGAAGACTGACTTTTGGAAGAGTAATCTTTGCAGAAACAATTCAGGCTGGCCCATGCGCACTGCTAACGCATTAAATTCCTCTCCCAATCGACAGAAAAAAATGAAGCCACCTGAATGCAGCCACTCCTCCTTGCTGTCCCCTCCTCTCCTTCCTCACTGTCAGGGTGAATGGGAACCCTGGAGTTCCCCCATCCTTTCCCTCCTCCAGAGTGACTCCTTTCATTATTTTGAATCTCTCCCTCTAACCTGGGCTTCATCCTCTGAGCCTTCAAAGCACATATGCATCTGCCAGTTGCAGGAAAATGTAAATATAAAACACAGTACCTGCCTTTTCACACCCCAGTCTCACACAGGAGTGGTCTGCCCTTGTTGCTGCATCCTTTATAACCTTGAACATCAGTAATTCAGCTTCTGTTCCCATTGAAATCTTTCAGAAACACACCAAACTGCCATCAATCACTCATGCAATCACTCATGCAATGAAACTTGCTCAGTCTTCATGGACTTGCTTAAGAACTCAGAATTGCTGATCATCCTCTTCATCTTGAAGTTCTTTCCTCCTCTGACTTCTGTGGCTGCTTCTCCCGGTTCCTGCCCTAGCTCTGACCACCCTTCTTGGTTTTCGCTTCTCCCCGTGCCTCACAGACACAAGTGCCACATGGCCCAGGGCCTCCACCCTGTGCCCCAGCTTCCCATGCCATGGGAACAGTTACAGCATCTCTACTGTGCCCCAGTCCTCCTCCCAAGCTGAGGCCTCACGTTAAAACTGTAGGGAGGATGAAAGCACCTGTCACAAACAGCCAGACTTGGTTGGGAAGGTCAGTATGAGACATTAAGAAAGGCAGGTGGAGGTGAGATCATGGAGAACCTCACATACAAGGGAAGGTCAGTGAAGGTCACTGAGAAGGAAAGTGACTTGTTCAAAGGAGTGTGGATGGACAACTAGCCTGGAAGGATTGTGAAAGATGGACCTAAAAGCAAAGAGATAAAGGCAAGGAAGACAACTAATCCAGGCTCAGTAAATCAAGGCAGGAACTAGTGTGGCCACAATTGAAATAGAAAGGAAGGAGAGGTCTCTTGAGAGTCCAAGTTAAATAACAAAGAAGTATCAGCTGATACAATGTCCAGGTCACCTCTCATCCGTCAGCCACTACACAGGTATCACGTTGCTTCTGTATCCCAGCACTGGGCTGGGCGGTGGTACTACCAACATGATCCATATAGTCCCTGCTTTGAAGGGACATACAGGCTACGTGGAGAAGTCAAGAAAAGAAATCCAGCCCTCTTAAAACCATTTCAAAGAACAGCAAGTAAAATAACCTAACAGACAATCAATAATGAACAAGTTTTAAGAGTTTTAACCTGGCCAGGTGCAGTGGCTCACGCCTCTAATCCTAGCACTTTGAGAGGCCGAGGCGGACGGATCACTGGGTCAGGAGATCGAGACCATCCTGGCTAACATGGTGAAACCCTGTCTCTACTAAAAATACACAAAATTAGCCGGGCGTGGTGGCAGGTGCCTGTAGTCTCAGCTACTCGGGAGGCTGAGGCAGGAGAATGGCATGAACCCAGGAGGCGGAGCTTGTAGTGAGCCAAGATGGCCCCACTGCACTCCAGCCTGGGCGAAAGTGCGAGACTCCATCTCAAAAAAAAATAAAATAAAATAGTTTTATCCAAGATCAGATAGTTAACCAAAGGAAGAAAAGTGTTGTAATAGGGAAATATAAGGCACTTCACACTACCTGGCCAGTCTCTGGAATAACTGCACACAATAAAAACAGAGCCAGAGAAGATTCCTAGTCATTATCATCCAAGGTCTATAGTTAGCTAAATTTATAATGACAATGTTCAATTTAGGCTTCATACTTAGCCTGTTTCCAGGCACAGAGCAAGTATACATAAACACCAAAAGAATATGGATGAGGAACGGCCGGGCGCGGTGGCTCACGCCTGTAATCCCAACACTCTGGGAGGCCGAAGCAGGCGGATCACAAGGTCAGGAGATCAAGACCATCCTGGCTAACACGGTGAAACCCCGTCTCTACTAAAAATACAAAAAATTAGCCGGGCGTGGTGGCAGGCACCTGTAGTCCCAGCTACTCGGGAGGCTGAGGCAGGAGAATGGAGTGAACCCGGGAAGCGGAGCTTGCAGTGAGCCGAGATCGTGCCACGGCCCTCCAGCCTGGGCAACAATGTGAGACTCCGTCTCAAAAAAAAAAAAAAACATGGATATGTGTAACAAACAATTTACTGTACATGTATATGCATATGTATATGCTTGAGGGTACTCTCAAGCTCATACCCTCACCATGAAACTCTGGGGTTACTGTGAAGCCTGTATGAACTAAAGCAGTGATTCTCAAACTTTAAGGCTTACTAAAAAATGCATGTCCTCCCATCTGATCCCTGAATATTTAAATAGTCATCCAGGTAATTAATTCTAATGCAGAGAATAAACAGGTCACCTTTTTAAATGTTCTTAAAAGTGGTTTACAAAATTTGGAGTTAAACGAGTCTTCATTCAAATACACTTTATTAAGGTATTTGGTCACCTCTAATAAAAATATTGATTAGAAATTAAAATTTATGAGGTCCAATTTACAAAATATTCACACAAATTGAGATAATGTGCAGAACAAGAAACATTAAGCAGCATATTAGTAGGCTTAATCTCAGAAACTTTTCCATTGCAAATTTGTATGTATCTTCAGCTCACTTAAGTGGCCGGCTCAGCACACTAATAAAAATCCTATGATAATCTCAGGCAAGATAAACTTAAATAGGGAAGAGCCTCAATAGAGTAGTTTTCTCAAAAAGGATATATTAAGCCAAGAATGTATTCTCTTAATTTATATTCTCATGACTCTTACCCATAAAAAGTTGACTGGAATTTCTTCTGTGTCTTCTGAAAGCAAGAATCCAAGTTCTCAGGGATTACAAAAACAGCTGTTTAAGTCTTTCCTAAGGCCACAACTTCCCTAAACCGTGTGGAGCTTTGCAAATGTAGTAACGAATCCATCACTGAAACCAAACAATGTTCATGCCCTTAATAGTTTGGCAGATGCCTCTGGCAGGAGGAAATACGGTCCAAGGTCACAAGTGGGACCTCAAGCCTCACCATCCTGCTCTGTTCCTGTCCCGCTGATGCTCACACAGGAGTGGAAATCAGGACAGGCACAGTCACCAGCACCTCACACACTCTTAATGAATGCTGTCCACAGTCTACTGCAAGGTCATTTCGGCCTGAATATTTATCAGTTCAGACTGCTTTTTGAATGTTTGGCCCTGGACTACTTCCACAGAGCAAGCAGGACAGATCTCCACGATGTAAATCACCAGGAAGTTCCTCAGAGTAATAGGCAGGTTACTGCTGCTCCTTCCTGTACACCAGAAAAGTGGAGAAACTGAACAACTTCTGAAGCCAAATAGTGATAAGATCTCAGAAGTGAGCAGTGGAAGTACAGAGACCCTGCTCACTAGGCCCAGCCCCACCCTCCCAGCCTCACTTCCTCTGGTACCTCCGAGCACCGGTTAAGAAAAGCCAAGGAAAAGGAACTCTGCAGCCCCTTTGAGGATCTATCTCTGATTTAGGACTCTCCACATCAGAAAGCTTCTACCTTATTCCCAAGTTGGAAGGGCACTCCTATGCCACACCGCCCACCCCACAGCGGCCTGCCCTGACGCCTGGGGCCGGGCTATAGAGCAGTCAATGCCGGAGGGAGTCACCCAGGCGCTGACACCCCCAGGAGGAGTCACTGTGTCTCTGGAGAGCACTCCAAAAACACCACGAAATGTGGATGCGAACAGTCCAACCTGGGAATGCTTTCACTAGCAGAGGTGTGCCTGTGACATCTGAACAGAGTATAAAATGACAACCGCCATGTACCACATACATGAGAATAATAACATGAGCACTTGGTAGCAGATAAAGAATGGCAAAAAAGTTTAATTTTACATTAGAAAAACTAATAAAAGCCTACCAGTTCAGCTGAAAATGCTTTTTTCCCTCTGCAAATTAGAAAAAGATTATGATCATTCCATTTTAGTGCAAAGCAGTTTCTGCAAATGAAAAACACTGCGACACAGTCCATAAATTAATACTAAAGCTGAGGATGGAACTTGAAGCCCAGAAAACTGAACAAGACTCACCGAAGGTCATGCAGCTAAAGACTAAGCACACATTATGCCAGGTCTCCAGATTTCTGGGCAGGTGTTTTTCCACTACAAAGCTGATTTCCCAAATAAGCAGTTCTCGTTGTTCTAACAACCTCCAGGCAGAAAGACTCCACAGCCTCAATTGTAATCAATTGCAGACTCTATCCAATCTTTCAAAAGTTTCCTAGCATATGCACCTAAGTCATTCTTCAGAGAATTTTAACTCGTTTCTAACAGACTTCCAAGTATGAGCCAAACACCTTAAGCCAGCATTTACACTCCAAAGTTTTTAAAGAGGTGTGGGAGAGGGGCAGTATGTATGTGACTACTTCTTGTGCCTCATTAGGAGTATAGGCAAAATTAGAGGTCCCATGA
Source organism: Homo sapiens (assembly GCF_000001405.40). NCBI lineage: Eukaryota > Metazoa > Chordata > Mammalia > Primates > Hominidae > Homo > Homo sapiens. Next base: position 35,367,848 of record NC_000010.11, on the reverse strand, counting down.
GAGTCAGTTTTGTTAAACGAAATATTTCACATCCAGTAATTCAGACATGCCTTTTTCAGGTTTAGGAAAATTACTTTTGTTTAACTGCAGACCTGCAATAGTCTCTAAGGGGAAGAGGCACTGACATGGGCGCACGCTGACAACCCTACCCAGCTCCCAAAGACACTGCTCCAGGCAGCAGCAGGAAGGTGTGCTCTCACAAAGTGACTTCTATGGCGGAAGCCACCCTGGGAAGTCAGCTGCTTTCAGATCTGCATTCCAGAGAGGTTTAACCTGTCCCAACTTTTAAAGTGTCTGTTTTATTCTATAAAATCCATGAGATGTAGACCCATGTTATCTCACAAGAAATGACCTTTACCTAACAATATTATTAATAATAACTAATATCTATTGAGCACATTTACTTTGTACCAAGCACTTTATCTTATTTCATTTTACACCCAAAATAATTCTACAAGGTAGACATTTTTACTGTCCCATTTTACAGAGAAGGAAGATAGGCACCAGGCCCAAGGCTCCCAGCTAGTGCATGGTGGAACACTACAAAATAGAATACTATACAGTCTATAAAATAGAATACTATACAGTCATAAGGTAGTATAAAGTCATAAAGTAGTCTATAAAATAGAACACTCTACAGTCATTAAAAACAATGAGACAGAAGTGTGTTTACTGACATGAAAAAATTTATGTAAAAAAAGCAGGTTTTAAAGTGGTACCCAAAGAGTACCTCTCAAAAAAGGCAACCCAAAAGCAAGGAATCAGCATGGTAACATCATTTCCACACCAAGTCAATCAAAATGCTTATAAAGGGAATTTTATATGAGAACAACAGACAATTCAGTTATACTGTAAATGTCTGTGTCCATTCCCTCCTTCCACACTTAAATTGGCATTCCAGGTAGACCATTCAAGGAATTAGCAATGGTAGCCCTCAATCTGTGCTGCCTAATACAGAAGACTCTAGCCACACGTGGCTATCTAAATTTATTCTTTAAAATTAAGTAAGATTTAAAATTCAGTTCTTCAGTCACACTAGCTACGTTTCAAATGTTTGACTGCCACACGTGGCTAGTGACTACCACATTGGACAGTGCAGATATATAACATTTCCATCATCACAGAAAGCTCTAATAACAGTGCTGCTGTAGAACAAAAAGAGTGAGTTCCAAGAGGGTAAAATGGGGTAGAACTAGCGAAGACTGGAAATGCAGCCCAAATGTCCAGCTGAATGTCCACACTCAGCTACAGCATGGGCCTAGGGAAAGCAACTGCTGAAAAACCTTGGAGTCTCCCATCTCTGTTAATACAGATAGCACTAATAACTTATAATAAACATAAATCAAGAACACAAGTAATATCCTTTAAAGTTGAAATCTGCAAATATTAGACTTAGTCCAATGATGCAGGAACCACAAAAAGATCTGTACTATTCTTTGGAAATAAATTCAGAGCCAGTTCACTTATCTTTTAAAAAACTCATTTCTTAAATTTAGATTCAACTCAGAATTAGAAAGTCTGATCACTCAATTTATACATGAAGCCCCAAATCACATGCTGGTGTTTCCAAAATAAAAGAATCTAATTTATTCTCAAAAGGCAAATGATTGCCACCATCTCATCAAGGAAACAAATGTGTAACAAGCTAAAATGAAATTCTGTGATATTTTTAGAAAGCCAATCACCTCATTTAGAAGCACACACTGCATGTATGTTTGCAAATTGGTATCTGTCGTGTATTTATGCATATATTCATAACACAGAAAAAGAAAAAGAAGTCTGCATTTACTAAACATACTCTAACAGCATCTTCATCCTCATGAGATACAGCAACAACTCTCAATTTTTCAGGTCAATGAAAATGAACAAGGATTTCAACCATCCAAATAGAAGAGAATCTCTGTCCATTCCCTAGACACACACAAATCACTTGTCTCTGGTTTTGCAATATACACTAATAACTTTGTAGCTGTAGAGTTAGTCTAATCATTTTTTAGCTTATTTTGAAATAATTTTCAGATAACAGAAGAACTGTGAAAATAGTTCAGTTCCCATATACCCTTTACCCAGCTTCCTCTAAGGTTAATACCTTTTATAGCCATAATATAAGTTTCTAAACTAAAAAATTAACATTGGTACAATACTATCCACTAAAGATTTTATTTATATTTCTAACCATTTTCTTTTCACCTAATACCATACTAAACTGGCAGTTTCTAAGCATACAAAGATTAAATGGAAAGAAGTGACAATCTCAAAACCCATCAAAGTTAACCAAAAACATCCTAATTTGCGATAGGTAATCCAGGAGCAGGTAACATACAAATAAATGAGAACTTTAGCTCTTGCTGTTTATTCTTCTGCAATTTTTTAATATTCAACATTTTTTCAAGTAGTAGTAGGAAACACAGAAATAAATGTCTCCTCATTTTGAATTTGGAAAACAAAGAAGAAATGAATCTATGTATTGGCTTTAAGATATTAATACTGCAGTAAAAACAGCAACCACTTTTTTAAAGACACAAAGCAAGTCTTTATATCATGAGGACAAGTTAAATATAAATACATCTTCTTCTCTAGCTGAGTATCAAATTTATGTTACTCTTGCTTTCTTTCAATTTCAAAAGTCCTCCAGTGAAGATAACCAATGTCCTACAGAAAAGATAGCCTATCTCATGTATAACTCCATAAACGTTACCAGCTCAATAAACATTACCAGATTAAGTTTGAGACAGGACTGGCTGTTAAGTATGGAGCCCAGTTATAGAAATCTTTCACTTGCACTTGGAATTTTCCACCTTCCAAAGTCCTAAGTCCAAATTCCAACACGAGGAAATACATTTGTTTAAGCCTACTGATAGTTAAACATGCCCTAATTGGTTCATTTCAAAAGCATATACATGGTGAGCTTGGACTTAAACCAGCACTAGGAAAATGCACAACAGAAAATTTCCACACTTAGAGAAGGGCTCAATTCTCACTTAGAACCATTTCCCAATCAGATTTATACAGGCTTTGCTTTGGTGAAGACTTTGGTTTGTAATAGATGGTTTTTAAAATTGCAGTAATTATAAGAATGAGCTATTAGGCTAATCCATAAATAACTCAAACTTCTGAAAAAAACACTAAAGGAGTAGCTGGAAAAAATGAAGTATAAAAACACAATTCACAGAAATGAACTGCCTAATAAATATATTAATGCAGGTAATGTTCCCTATTGAAGCTGACTTTCACAGAAGGCTTCAAAACTCTTTATAAATAAGTATGTCATCTCTTAATATTTTATACTTTTATGAACACACTCAAAGAGCATCCTACTGGCATATGTGCCCCCACCACAACACTATTTTTAAATTAAATACGTAACATTATTTTAAACTAATTTAAAAACATACATCTGATGGTCAGCAGTCAGTCCTTCAATGTATCTAATGACAGGTGGGACAAACAGCATGTAAAATTCAGTTAACTTTCTGTTATTGGTGTTAATGTAGACCAATGCTACCTTGAAAAAGGTAAGAATAACCAAAAAGAAGCTTTTGTTAAATCTATATATTTGAATTCCACTCCTGCTTGCTCCTTCCATTGTTTAGACGGATGGTGAATTACGGGTGAAAGGGCTAAATGACCAGAAGTCACGTGAGAAATGAGATCTAAGGATCCCAAACCACCAAGAACTGCTGTAAATACACATTCTCATCAAGTAAGTTGACTATTAATCCAGATCCTTCCATCATCTCTTTGACACCACTTTGGAGATCAGAACACTCAGATCTTTTTCCATTACTGGAATTAGAAAATTATATTCTCAACAGTAACATATTAAAATAAAGTTTGTAAACACAAATATCCCTTAACATTGAGCAAGACTGTATAAACCTGTTCAAACCCAAAATTATTACCCTGTCCCTCCTCAGAGCCAATCTTTCTCCGCTCTTCTCCAATATCCATACACTAAAAGCATGTTCATTCAGTTACCCTGCCTCCAAAGACTCAGGGTCAACTCTGAATCCTCCCTCTCTCTGCACCTTCAGGCACAAAATTATATTGCTGGTTCACTCACTCTTTCAACAATGATTTCATACCTACTCAGTGCCAGGTAGGCAGGGAATACGAAAACTTTTAAAAGCTTTCCTCTGACTGACAGTGTCAGTCTCGGGGAGGTCGTGGGGCGGAGTGACAACACCAGACTTGCTTCTACAACTCCCTTTCCAATCCAATAACCCCACTACACAGAACCAACAGAGCTGATCTCACTGATTCAGTCTTTTCCCATTCCCATCTAGTTCCCACATCTCCAGCATATTAATCTTCCAGGGTCACTTTGATCAGGTAAGCCTACTACCCCAAAATCTGGTATCCCCGCCTCTACCAGGCCGCCCCACCGTCTGGGAAGAGAGGAGCACCTCTGCCCGGCAGCCCCACCGTCTGGGAAGAGAGGAGCACCTCTGCCCGGCCCCCCAACCACCTGGGAAGTGAGAAGCACCTCTGCCCGGCCGCCCCACTGTCTGGGAAGAGAGGAGCGCCTCTGCCCGGCCCCCCAACCGTCTGGGAAGTGAGGAGTGCCTCTACCCAGCTACCGCCCTGTCGGGGAAGTGAGGAGCGCCTCTGCCGGCCACTCCACCGTCTGGGAAGTGAGGAGCGCCTCTGCCCAGCTGCCGCCCCGTCGGGGAAGTGAGGACCACCTCTGTTGGTCACCCTACCGTCTGGGAAGTGAGGAGTGCCTCTGCCGGCCACCTCACAAGCTGGGAAGTGAGGAGCGCCTCTGCCCGGCGGCCCACCATCTGGGAAGTGAGGAGCGTCTCCGCCCGGCCGCCGGCGGCCCACCACCTGGGAAGTGAGGAGCGTCTCCGCCCGGCCGCCGCCCTGTCTGGGAAGTGAGGAGCGCCTCTGTACGGCCACCGACCATCTGGGAAGTGAGGATCGCCTCTGTCCGGCTGCCGCCCTATCTGGGAAGCAAGGAGTACCTCTGCCTGGCTGCCCCACTGTCTGGGAAGTGAGGAGTGCTTCTGCCTGGCCCCCCCGCCAACTATCTGGGGAGTGAGGAGCGCCTCTGGCCGGCCCCCACACCCTCTGGGATGTGATGAGCGCCTCTGCCTGGCCGCAGCCCCGTCTGGGAAGTGAGGAGCGCCTCTGGCTGCTGTGCAACCCTCCAAGTGTGAAGTGACAGCCTTGTGTGTGATCTTTCTGCCCTCTCCAAAGTTTGCATTTTTGACATTAAAGTTTACTTTTTAATTAAAAGTTTTAAATTGGAGAATTAAAAAAAAAAACTGGTACCCTCTAGCTTGGCATTCAGGTCCCTACACGACATGGACCTCTTAGGCTGCAAGTGGCCCAAGCCTCGTCTGGACTATCCTCCCTGTCTTTAAGTAAATTCAGTTGCCAAGACCCAAATACATCCTGTACTTTGTCACCTGGAGGACTTTCCTACTGCCTTCCCTACTGCCAGAAATGTTCTATTTGCAAGAACCACCCAACCAAAAGACCCAGTACTCAATCTCTCTCTCCATGAAACTGTCCCAGATCACCCAGGCCAAAAGTCACCTGTTCCACCTTGCACATCTTATTGCACACTCTTTTTTATTTGATTTTAGCACCTACTTCTGTACAACATAGTATGTATCACATGCTGCCTTAAATGATAATGTATATATAGGCTGAGTCTCCCTTATCCAAAATGCTTGGTACCAGAAGTGTTTTGGATTTCAATTTTTTTTGGATTTTGGAAGATTTGTTTAAACTTGGGGATGGGGCTCCAGTTTAAACATAAAATTCATTTCTGTTTCACATTCACCTTATACACATAACCTGAAAGTAATTTTATACATTAGTTTTATTTTGTGCATGAAACAAATGTGTGTACAGTGAACCATCAGAAAGCAAAAGTGTCAGGTGTGCAATTTTCCACTTGTGGCATCATGTTGGCATTCAAAAGGTTTCAGATTTTGGGTGCTGAAGTGTGTGTGTTGAGGGGGCAAACATTTTTAAAAGGTTTCAGATTTTGGAGCATTTCTGATTTCAGATTTTCAGATCAGGGATGCTCAGCCCCATACTTCTCATTTTCACAATTACAATTTAGTGCTCCACAAATCAGAGGCCATGTCTTATATATCTTTGTAATATCTACATAATGTAATATGGTTCTCAGTAGATGCTTAATATTTTCTTAGAGAATTAGTGAAGACAGTGAGCAGAATGCCGATTCTCAGACCCATATTAAAAGTTAATCACATGCACCTGAAAAATAACATTCAGTTCCTGCCTACTCAGTAAGTATCAAAAGTTTCATTCCTTTGTCTCATAAAGTTGACTTTTAGAAATAAGGAAATGCCCCCCACAGGCAAACAAAATATTATGTATGAGTTTTTTAAAAAATTAAAAGAAAAAACCTAAAGAACCAAAATCTAAATCTAAGCACTCAATTAATGCTAGTATAATTAGTACTGTCATGATTAAATAAATTGTGGAATTGATGTACCTTGTATTACCTGTGGTAATTAATAATCATGTTTTAGAAGATTGTTTAGAGGCAACACTTTTATAATAAGACAAAAAAATTATAAAGTCATATTTAAAGCATGGTCCCAATTATGAAAGAAATATACATCCACAGGTATATATGTAAACACAGATAACATATCTGAGAGAAAATGAAACAATAAATAAGTGGATGAATAAATACCTGCATTATGGGCCAGGTGCAGTGGCTCATGCCTGTAATCCCAGCACTTTGGGAGGCCGAGGCGGGGGGATCACAAGGCCAGGAGTTCGAGACCAGCCTGACCAACATGACGAAACCCCGTCTACTAAAAATACAAAAATTAGCTGGGCATGGTGGTGGGCGTCTGTAATCTCAGCTACTCATGAGGCTGAGGCAGGAGAATCATTTAAACCCGGGAGGCAGAGGCTGCAGTGAGCTGAGATCGTGCCGTTGCACTCCAGCCTGGGCGACAGGGTGAGACTCCATCTCAAAACAAAACAAAACAATCTGCATTTTGGTAAATCCCCACCATAGAAGCTTGATTAATGTGTCTGACTCAGAGACATATTAATATATTATCAAATTTTCTTTAAGTTATACATTGTATATAATCATATACAGATGAGTATTAATGTTCATATTAATATTAAAATACTAATGTAAAATTTTAAAAACAAGCATTGCTCTGTGTGGTAGGATTACAGGTAATTTTTTCTATATACTTTTTTAAATTTTCTAAAATCAAGGAGGGAAATAATAAATACTACTTTTAAAAGATAAAATTTAGGCAGAGCACAGTGACTCACACCTGTAATCCCAGCACTTTGGGAGGCCAAGGCAGAAGGACTGCTGGAGCCCAGGAGCTCAAGACCAACCTGAGCAGCACGGCAAGACCCCATAGCTACAAAAAAAAATCAGCTGGGCATGGTGGTGCATGCCTGTGGTCCCAGTTACTCAGGAGTCTGAGACAGGAGGATCGCTTAAGCCCAGGAGATTGAGGCTGCAGTGAGCCATAGTCACACCACTACACTCCAGCTTGGGTGACAGAGTGAGACTCTATCTCAAAAAAAAAAAAAAAAGAAAAGAAAAGAAAGGAAAAAAAAGAAATTTAATTTTAAAATTCCAGTCATCCCTTTGGCCTCATAAGGCCCATATAATATGGTGATACAGCTATTAACATTAAGTAACAATACAAATTCACCAAAAACTAAGATTTCAGTCCTTCCAGCAATTCCACTTCTGAGTACATACCCAAAAGAATTGAAAGCAAGAACTCAAACAAATGTTTCAACACTCGTGTGCCTAGCGGCATTATCGACAATCACCAAAAGGCAGAAGCAACTCAACTGTCCAACAAGAGATGAATGGGTAAACAAAATGTGATATATCCATACAATAAAACATTATTCAGCCTGAAAAAGGAAGGAAATTTTCATACATGCAACAACATGGATAAACCTTGAGGACATTACGTTAAGTGAAATAAGCCAGTTCCAAGAAGGCAAATATTGTATGGATCCACTTATATGAGGTCCAAATTTAGGCACCAAAAGAATGGTGGTCACCAGGATCTGGGGGGATGAGGAAATGAGGACTTGGGGTTTTTTAACAACTTAGCACGGAGTCTCAGTTTGGGAAGAAGTAGTTCTGGAGATGGATGGTGGTAATGGTTGCACAGCAATGTGAATGTGCCTAATGCCACTGAGCTGTACACTTAGAAATGGCTAAAATGGGTGTGGTGGATCACAACTGTAATCCCAGCACTTTGGAAGGCCAAGGCGCGCAGATCGCTTCAGCTCAGAAGTTTAAGATCAGCCTGGGCAGCATACCAAAACCCTGCCTCTACAAAAAAAAATAATAATAATAATAATAATAAATAAAGAGTTAAAATGGTAAATTTGATGTTATATTATACCACAAATTTGTTTTTTAAACAAATAAACAAAAAACACAGCCATCTACAAATAATGAGGCAGTATCTGCCACAGTCCAGTGGCTCCAAATATGTACAGGGAGAGCCTGAACCAGGATTCTCAAACCAATGACAGCCATGTTTACATGTCAGATATAAAGAGGAGGCAGACAGAAAACAGGCCCCAAGAACAGCCTGATTCACACAACAGCATCTGTCGACCCACAGAGGGGACAGGACAGGGGGAGGCAAAACAGCTGGGGAGTAACACTGAGAGGTGATGTGATTATCTGTTATGTGGAGACATCAGTCACACTACAAGTCCAAAGAAGTACAGGGGAACAGCTCTGCCACAAATCCCTGGCAGTCCGCACTTACCTAATAAGCCATGTAGGCAAGGCCTGAAGCACAGATGCTTTGTCTGTCTTGGAAGAACACCTTATGACCCTCCAGGAACACAAAAGAGAGGGATGCTATGTCAGCGCCCACTCACCTCCCTACTTCCCTGGCAGCCGACGGGAGACAGGTCCTCATTGCCTCCTGGGTTCTGGTGAAGCATGGGGCTTTCTGGGCATCCCTTCACCTGGCCTCAAATAAGGGTCCAGAACATAAACCCACTTAGCTGCCATCTGGATCTAGCTCCTCAGGAGCCGGAATCCTGTGGCTCACGGTCATCAGCTGTGAGTTTCAGTGTCACCCTTCTTGGTATGCTAGACAAGAACTACAGGAAGCTGGCATCTTTGCCTTCTTCTTCTTTTCTCTGTCTCTATAAGTAATTAACCACCTAAATCTACAAGTGGCTTGTTGTATCTACAGGTCAGGCCTTTTTGGCCCTTGACTTGTCTCAAGTGTGAGCTTGACAAGAAGTGGTCATAAATGGCACCGACTCACTACTGCTACAAATTAAATGGTAATCTTTACCCATGAGCAGGATAAGGAAGACTGTTAGTTGTGAAAATTAATCTTTTCAACTTCATTTGTTCCTATATGCAGTACAGTCTGGTCTTTCTCCACTGAATCCTGCCATCCTTGAGAGCAGATACATAACTCTCTTCTACTCTCTTGTGTGATTCTCTCCAGCTCCAGGTAGAATGCTTTATGCACTGGCAGTATTCAATAAATATGTGGACCACCTCACACAATGCTATTCTGTCCCTGAGCTACAAGCAGACAAGCTGCTCCTCTTAGATTTCACAGAAACAGCAAGAAAAATCATGAGTTTAAAAAAAAAAAAAAAAAAGACTTGCTTAAGGTCACATTTGTAGGTATCATGAATGAGTACAGATGTTATGGTGGTGTTCTGTAAAGGGAAGTATGACATCCATACTTCTTGCGGGGGGCAAAAAAAGCAAAAAAGTGCATTTTCCAAATCAAGAGAAAAATGATTTCTAAAAAGCAAATGTCCTGCCAGAAATTAAGGAAGCACTGAAGGAATGATAAGGACATAGCAAAAGAACACAGCTTGAAAAGAAACCAGTTTGAAGAGGCTCCCACCAGTCAAAGTTTGGACAACTTAAGCAACAAAAAAAAAATAATAGATTAAAACTCAATGAAATAACAATCCATGACCCATACTGATCAATATATAAATGATGAGAAGGGAGAGCTTTTCCTTACAAGAGAATGCCTGCTAATAGATACAGAAGGACCTAAAAAACCGTCAATGGATACTAAAACTTGTGAGTGAAAGTTTGATAAGAAATCGAATATTTACAAAGTCTAAATCTCCCCACAAATTACTTATTAATTACAAAGGAAAAAGCAGCAACAGTACACTGAAGAAACCTAGAATATGACACAGCTTCACAAAGTGATCAAAGTTAGCATCCCCAATGCTGGGATAAACAGACACGTGCCTTCTGACACGAGGCACTGCTTCTACCAAAAATACATAATCTGAATCTAATCCAGAGGAAACACTAGACAAAGTCAAATTGAGGGATATTTTACAAACTGACCAGTGCTCTTTAAAAATGCCAAGGTCTAGAAACACACATACAAAAAAATGTTTGCTATGTGTTAAATGAATGCAGCACTTCTATTCATTCGAGTATTTCCTGAGAACTACTATATGCTAAGTACTGTGTTAGGTGATGGAGGCATCGTAGTGGGCAAGACATGTCCCTGTCCTCATTGTGTTTCTATTCTGGGAGTGGGGGAAACACAAGCAACAGGCAAATAAGATAATTTCAGACTGTGGTAAACATTACCTCATAAAGGTAAAGTGACTGAGCGTGATGGGGCTGGGGCTGGGGCTGGGGCTGGGGCAGGGGCAGGGGCAGGAGCAGGGGCTGCTCTCTCTGGATTATGTTCTTAGGAAAAAACCTGAACAGGTGATGCGGGGTGATGCGGGATGCCCAAAAGCCAGCCAGGTGATGAGCTTTGGGAAGAGCATGCAGGGCAGAAGGAAGAACATCTGTACAGAGCCTGAGACAGACAAAGTTGGAAGCTTGAAAAACACTGGGAGGCCCTTGTGCATGGAGTCACAACGAGAAAGGAGGTTTACATGGCAGGCAGGGGACAGACACCAATGACTCTGAGCCACGGGGAGGAGTATGTATTTACTCTAACCACAACAGAAGCCACTCAGGGATTGTGAGCAGGGCAGTGGCATGATCAACTCCTCATCTGTTAAGGAGAGAGAGAGAGGATTATAAGAAAGAATAGTTTTAAGAGAATGGATCACAGTAAACCATAATAAGAAGCTAGAAAAACTTGTTGCATCTTCCCAGCAATCGTTGCAACTACAAAGCCCAGTCTTTTTTCCCTATTAGGTTCTCAATGTAAGTAGCAGCATTATTGCCAAACCTAAACCCACAATAGCAGAGTATGAGTAAAACATGAAGAGGTTAAGGAGTGGGCGCAGATTTTTCTGAAGAAGCACCACCCAGCCAACCATGCTAGGCTCTGTGGACCCACCCCATGTGAAGCACGCTTCCCGTTGCCACATCCACGTCCTCAAACATGCGCTACAACACCAGCTACCCCCACGCGGAGTCATGGAGAATTGGGGGCTGGGAACAGAGCTGTTTACCATGTGTTAATTCCCAAAACCACTGCACCAGTCTCAACTTTTAAAATCGGATTTTGACCAACAAAGCAACATCTTAAGATGTACAAGCATAAGTGTTTACCATACACTAACATGCTTTAATTGCTGCTACTGCTGTACTGCTCAGATCCAACTCCAAGAACAAAAATGAAAACTACCCAACTATGCAAGTGGTAGACTGTCTTTAGGTTTCACAGGATTCTTCTGACTTATCTACAAAGCAAAAAGAAAAACACCTCCAGAAAAGGCTTTTGGTTTCTATCTTTGTAATACAAGCTTTCTTGCAGCTAAGCCAGAGTGTGCATCATTTTAAAGTGCCATGGAAGTGAACAAGCATGCAAAAATGAAAATAAAAACCTTTTCTGCATCTTTGTCATCTATTGAAATCAACTGAAGCCAAAAGCAAAACCCTATCAACACACTAAATGGGCAGTTTTAGAACAAAAAATGGTAATTTCATTTCAAGTTACATAAGCTGCTAAAAAAAAAAACAATCTAAGATAGGAAAGCTGACAGATGTTCATGGCATAAGAACATTTTAAAAAGTTGTTAAACCTGGAATTTATAAGGGGCAACTAAAGAGAGAGAGAGAAATAGTACTTACGATAATCAGTAAGTTTTCCAGGTTAATACTAGTCTCAGAGACATTTTTTAAATAATTAATATAGAAAACCTTGCTTTTCCACTAACATTCCTCTTTTTTTTTTTTTTTTTTTTTTTTTTTTGGAGACAGTATCTTGCTCTGTTGCCCAGGCTGGAGTGCAATGGCGCAATATTGGCTCACTGCAACCTCTGCCTACTGGGTTCAAGCGATTCTTCTGCCTCAGCCTCCCGAGTAGCTGGGACTACAGGCATGCGCTACCACACCCAGCTAATTTTCATATTTTTGGTAGAGATGGGGTTTCACAATGTTGGCCAGGCTGGTCTTGAACTCCTGATCTCAGGTGATCCACCCGCCTCTGCCTCCCAAAGTGCTGGGACTACAAGGCAGGAGCCACCGCACGCAGCAGGTTCCTGTTTTTAAAAGTGTTTCCTAACTTAGCCTTAACTTTACTTTTACCCAAATTAATTCATTTTAGCTCTACTATGCTTGGGAATCCCTGAGGGAAAAAAATCAAATATGGATTTTAAAAATATATATTTGAGAAAATTATTTCCAAATGCTCTTCTCTGAAATTTGCTGTCCCAACCATTCACTAAACCCCTCCAACTTCATCCCCTTTATCCATCCCTGACAACACACAGGAGAGTAAGGCTCCTGCACTCATGTCCGTACCCCAAACCTAAACCTTGACCCTGCTCACTGGACAACTTTCATAGGGGGAGCCATCCCACTAGTGGGGCAAAGGAAACTCAATCCTCTCTCCTGGGACACAGAAATTCTTCCCATTAGTCTTTTATGGTCCTAGAACCACTGGGGTGGCCATTTTCCACCATGTGTAGACAAAGAAAAATAGCTATTTTATAAAGAATAAAGATTAAAAGAAAAATAAATTTGAGACACCTGAAACATAAGACTGACTTAGAAAGATAGGAGAATTTACTATTAAGATACTGAAGGAGAAAGCTGCCTCAGTTCCTACAGACTGTCCACCTTCCAAGTCCAGTTCCTCATGAGACTTAGTTATGCTCCTCACCCTTTGTCTCCATGAAAAATCCTCAGATCCCATAGTTATTCTCTCTCCCACTCCCCGTCTGTTTTGCGGAAGTCAGTTTTAGTGAACTTCTGTTAAACACAATGAACAGAATCTTAATCCATGTTTGTCGTGGGCAGCATCCAAGATGGGCCCCAATGTATCTCCTGGTATTCACACTCTTGTATTAATATAATACTGTCCCCTCAACTTAATGACTTGATTCTATCAAATAGCAGTGACGAAATGTCACTTCTAAGCTCAGGTTATAAGACTATGGCTTCCAGCCAGGTGCGGTGACTCATGCCTGTAATCCCAGCACTTTGGGACGCCAAGACGGACAGATCACTTGAGGTCAGGAGTTCGAGACCAGCCTGGCCAATTTGTGAAACCCCGTCTCTACCAAAAATACAAAAATTAGCCAGGCGTGGTGGTGGGCGCCTGTAATCCCAGCTACTCAAGAAGCTGAGGCAGGAGACTCTCTTGAACCCAGGAGACAGAGGTTGCAGTGAGCTGAGATCCCGCCAATACACTCCAGCCTGAGCGACAGAGTGAGATGTCATCCCAAAAAAAAAAAAAAAAAAAGACTATGTATGGCTTCCATCTTGTGGGTCTCTCTTGGTCTCTCCTGCTCTCTCTTGGATCACTTGGTCCAGGGGAAGCCAGCTGCCCTATGGAGAGGCCAGTGTGGCAGGAAACTGATGTATCCAGCCAACAGCCAGTGAGCACCTGATGCCTGCATTGGCCACGTAAGTGAGCCTGGAGGCAGTTCCCCTAGTTGAGCCATGAGTTGACTACAGCCCCACCTGAGAGCTCAGCTGTAATCCCAGGAGACACCCTGAGCCAGAGGCTCTCAGCTAAACTGGGAGTCCTGACTCACAAAAACTGAGAGACAACAAATGTTGTTATTTTAAGTTACTAAATGTTGGGGTAATTTCTTGTACAGCTTTTCAACTAATACAATTCCCTAAAACATAATTCTTACTTAGACTAACATCACATTAAAAAAGAAAAACATTAAGATAGGTCAATTTCTTCTTGAGAAACTTTTACCTTGCTATAAGAACTGGTTTAAAAGAGGTACAGTGTGTTGCAGTGAAAGGATCTGACCCCAGTATCAGAAGACTTGCTCTCAGACTGAGAACTGCTGTGAACCAGCTTTGGGGAGCCGAGGAGCAGCTCCTCTTGGCAGCTCAGCTGTCCTATCTGTAACATGAGGATCTCCTACAGTATGAGGTCCTTGATGCTCTGAACAGCCTGTGATTCTACGAAGGCTATCTTCTTCTCATACTCAACAAAAATAGCTTATTCCTTTTACAGTTCTAAAGATGTCTATTCTGTCTTCCACACTAAAACTGAGTGATCATTCTCCAGAATCTAGAGTATATAAAAATATACATGAAACTCCAGTACACATCCATCATTGTGAAATCTCTTTTCCAACAAACGTCCTCTTAATGAGCACAATTCATTAAATCTTTGGGGACTAAGCTACGAACAAGTTCAACTAAACTACCTACTGACTTCAAAAGGAACATATACCCACCACGTGTGGTAGCTCATGACTGTAATCCCAGCACTTTGGGAGGCTGAGGCAGGAGGATCACTTGAGCCCAGGAGTTCCAGACCAGCCTAAGCAACATGCCAAGACCCTGTATGTACAAATAATTTAAAAACTTAGCCAGGCATGGTGGTGCACACTTGTGGTCCCAGCTACTCGGGAGGCTAAAGCAGAAGGACTGCTTGAGACTGGGAGGTCAAGGCTGCAGTGAGCTATGATCTCACCACTGCACTCCAGTCCAGGTTACAGAGTGAGACCCTATCTCAAAAAAGAAAGAAAGAAAGAAAAAAGGAACATATGCCCAGTCCAGCCTGGATCTTTCAGAAGCAAATTACCCTGTGCCTGCCTTGGCCTTACCGGCCTCTGCCTCACTGCCCCACCCCCTTCACCACTCTTTCCCCTCACTAATCAGGCAGCGCTCATTTGCTAACTTACCCTGACCACATCCTCTGCCATCCAGGGGACTCTGGTGTCCCTTCTTCCCCTACACACCGTATTGTAATCCCTTATTTGCATCTGTCTCACCTAATAGATCATTATGTCCTTAAGCGCAAGGTCCAAATAACGTTGACCTTTGTATTCCCAGCATCCAGCAGGGAGGCTGGACGGCAGAACTTGGACTGACCAATGGTTGTTGACCTACTGAAGAACTGAAGCTCGAATTCCCACAGGGGACATCAAATTCTCACATTTCTAGAAAATGGCCCTCTGCTCAGGCTACCATATTTGTGGACCACCTACAATGGCTGTGGCTCTAAGCCTAGTCACCCCAGGCACTGGTAATTCTCTCAGCCAACTACTTGCCTAGTTAATTCTGTTTTCTCTCCAACATCTTCTCTGTGGATGAAGAGAACACATTCCACAAACACTTCAAGGGGATGCAGCCACTTGCTACAAATGTTAGCTTAACGAGAAAGGAAAGGAACTCCACTAACTTCTCAGCTTGTTTAGTTCCTTGGAGTACTAGCATTGTGTTTACATAACCTCTATCTATAGCAAGAATGTCAAACTGAAGAACTGACACCACTCTTGAACTCTGAAAAAAATTTTAAATACAGCTTTGCAATCAGTTTTTCAGCCACTGTCACCCCACACAGTGACCCACCGTCAGCGTTAACACTTCAATGGAATAAAATAAGTGAACTGAAGGCGAAAATATCATATGCCAAACGTCTTAAAATACTTGAAAACTAGGTAGATCACTTACACACTCAGAAGCAAACAAAACAATGTGGCTAACTTAACTTGGAGCTCAGTGACTGCTCCCACCACAAGATGGCTAAATCCAACCACCAAAGTGTATAATAAATGGCTCTTTAGATTATTAGGCTGAAGACATTCAGGAGGAGCACTGGTCTTTGCAAAGAGAATGTGATTTCAGGCTTATTATAAATACTCTCCCTACATATACACTACCCTAATAATTAGCTAGTTACCCTTTTACCAAAAAAGGTCCTGTAAGGGTATCTCATAAGAAGCAGTGCTGTTCATCTTGTTCCAATGGTATTATATACTTAAAATAAAAATTCTTAAAATATTCTGTAAGCATAATTGTCCTTGTTTCAGAAATATATCCCTGTTTCCCACAAACTAAGCACCCACTATGTAAGTAGTATAAAACACATTTTGCCATATTTTTATTTTGTGCAAACAAACTTTCTAGATTAGTTGCATCTGAAAAACAGCTGATAGAACTAAAGAACGTATTTAACTTGGGTTAGGCTGGACCTTCCCTGAGAGACCTCCTATTTCAGGAAATTAGGCATATACTGAGCTTGTTTAAACTTCAGAATCACTCTAAAAACAGTACTTAAAGTCACTTTGAAGGACCACAGAATACCAAAAGAATACAGAGAAAGTAATCAAGGTTTGGCAGCTTTGCCTAAATTGACCTGAAGAGTTCATCTTCCACGTCACTTCCAGATGTGTCGTATAAACAGAAGAGGTTCATTTTCACAACTCCAAATAATCTTCCTGATTGGTTGTGCACACACTGACATAAGTCCTGACAATCACATGCAGGGGCCTTTTTAATCCTGTGGTAATGGCCTGGGCAGTCCCCTTTGAGCTCTGTAATAGCAGTGTTGAAAACCACCTCTTTAATGAATAGCTACTCTCTTATAATGATAACTTTCCTAATAAAAGTTGTGTGCTATATGGACAGGGCAAGAGTTGACTAAATGTTTTCAAACCTCAGACTTTTGGAAGGCACCTTCAATTTCAAGAATCACTTCCATTTGTATATTTATAAACATACTTTCTAAGGAACTGACATTTTTGGTTCAAATATACTTAGAGACAATGTTTGTCAGGAATACTGTGTCACGACATTCTTTGGAGCTTCCTTCACCTAGGCAAGCTGAAAATCAAGACTCGAATTTCTAAACCTCTATTTCAAGAAACCCACGCTGCCATTTCCTCAATCCAGCAGCAGTGCACCTGACTAATGGAAGTGACTCTTGAGATCAAATAATTTAAATGATCTCATCACTATTTTTCCTCAACAGTGCAACAGAGATGCAACAAACCAAGGGTTTTTCTCCCCTTCAAAGTTTTCCACTAAGGATGCCCTTGAATGCCAGACCCCTGAATCAAATGCCTGTTCAGTTCACCACCTGCCTCGGGGGGCCAGGTCATCATGCTGCAGCTGAGATTTCAAACAGTCCACAAAGATACAAAACCAATTCAGCACCTGAACCAAGCCAAAGCTACACACTGTCAGAAAATGTAGTCGGATTAGAACTTTACAGACTCTTAACTGTCATTCCATTTACATATTCCTCATCAGAATAGACTCTCAAAAAAAAAGTCCACTGTGAGTACTCATAAAATATGAAACACACACATACAGAAGTAGCTAATGTGAAAAATGAATAAGAAACAAAACTGCTGGATAAAAGAAGAAAAATTTACTACTCTTTCAATAAAAAAGGAAGAAAAAAGCAAAAGGAATAAGGGCAAAAAATTAAGTGAATTATGAATCTGAGTTAAAGAAATTACACAACTTCCAAGTGCACACAGAAAGCTACCCCACCACCCATTGTCAGAACGGTGGCCAATGTCTTTCCTGTCAACAGTACCATTAGGAACACCATCTTAGAACCTAATGTTAGTTCTAAGGAGTCAAAAGGAACAACGCAGCCCTTTGCAAAGCTGGAGGAGGAGACATAGGGCTCATTCCCATCAAAATCTGATGCTAATGGCAGCCCTGGAGCTGTGCAACCCCTGCAACCCCTGAGGCCGTGATGTGTGCAAGTGACAGATACGAAGAAAGCAGAACCACTGCAAATTGCTCTACTAAATTTCTCTTTCACCTGGAATCCTAGAGCCTGTAAGGCACTGATTTTCAGGCAGAGTAGAGGAGTTGCCCTCTCAGGGGAGATTTCATTTGGCCACATCTGGAAACATTTTTTTGTTGTTGTTATGGAGGGTGCTGTTGCTGCAGCTGGCATGGCATCTGGTGGACAGAGGTGGGAGGCCGCTAAACATCCTGCAATGGATAGGGCAGCCCCCCCTAATGTCAACAGTGCTGGGAGGGAGAAACCCTGCTATAGCTTCCTTATCAATTCCTGCTTTAAAGTGTCCTTGAATTTCACACCAAGAATTGAGATTTAGCAAATACACATTCATATGTGAATATGACTAATCAAGAAAGAAACCCATTTATGAAAATGAGCTTAGGGAACAGAACACTAAGAAGTGTATCGCCAACTTGCACACTGTCCTTCTCTGGTTGGCATCAATATTGTAGTTTAACATCATGTTTCAAACCATGTTAAAGCCAGACAAAGAGGGCAGGGAAATGCACTCATTTGAGGCCTTGACTGTCAACATGCCACTTCCAAAGTGAAGACACAGATGTAGTCTGAGGTTGTGGGAGAGTGGGTAGCAAGGAGAGGCTCTGCTGTGTCCATGAGGCAGCTGGCTGTCTCCTAGCAGACTGCTCACACATCTACACCATCCCTTCTCTAACTCACCTGCTGAGCTCTCCTTCCAGAGGTACCCTTCACTCTTACCTCTACAGCCATCCCTCAGTGTCCGAGGGGGATTGGTTCCAGGACCCCTGCAGATACCAAAACCCAAGCACGCTCAAGTCCCACCGTCCACCCTGTGGAACCCGCTGATACACAAAAAGGCGGCCCTCTATTTTACATCCCGAGAACACTGCATTTTCAACCTGGTTTGGTTGGAAAAAATTCACATGGAAGTGTACCCGCACAGTTCAAGTTAGTGTTGTTCAAGGGTCACTGGATTCCTGTTACAATGCTCCCTTACAAAATATCCTGGATACAAGAGTAAGGTTCATTTTCAAAAAAAAAAAACCCAACTTAGATTTCAACAACTGTTTCTCTCAGAATATTAGTTCCATGAAAGAAGGAAATTGTGTCCAGATTCAGACCATCCCTGACTGAGAATCACTGCCATGCTAGCTGTCCAGCCCGAACCATTCTCCAGGGCACAGCACACAGGCACCCAAACATCGCTAAGAATAAAAGCACCCAACCTACTTCTGGCTGCCTGCTGCTGACCTCTCAGGGCCCTGCCGGGCTTTCAGAGCCCTGCTATCTTGCAATGGGGTCCTCCCTGACTCATCCCACCCTGGACGGGGGCTCCTGCTCATATTCTCTGCTCACATCTTACACTTCCAACATCCAGAGACTGCAGGCAGCTTCGTACTGTGAGTGACGAAGTCGTATCCTCCTGCTTCAGAAGAGAACTCAACCAACAGCCAAGTGTGCCTGCAGAGCACACACGGTGCTTAAGATATGTGCCCTAACGGAACCAACAATCTTCCTCAGAAGCCAGTGGTTCGCAAAGCAGCCCTCAGATGGACCCCTCCGTGGTTATGCCTGGCATCATCCTTTCTGAACAGCAAGGTTGCTAGGCTTCCTCCAGACTCCCTACCACCAAATAGGAGAAATGACAAATCAGACATCAGACTTATCTTACAGAAAAGTGGGAGTCGAATATTTGCTAACATTAGAGTGAATAAACAACTTGTAACTCTTCAATAACATCAGCTTTGGCTTTCAGAATATAGAACACAATCTCTAATGCTATATAAACTGCTTATCATCACTTTGCAAGCAAAAGAGCAACAAGCACTACATGGTGCAATAACGGTTCACAGCTTGAGGGAAAAAAGGCTGTGGAAAAATAAGATTATCCCTAAACTGACAAAAGTTAACACTCACTGTAAATGAAAGGAATCCTTGATAAATATGTGCGTCTGAAATTTTTGAAACTGGATTAAACACAGCACCATGACTTCTTTCTCCTCCGGGACTTTGACAGGATACACAGACGAGGAGCTGTAAAACCTGGACTTTTAAACAACTACACAAATTTTACAAACCTACTGTAAGAACCAGAAATAATTTAAAGGATTATTATCATTGCACTAACTGGAATAAATGTATCCAATAAAATCCTGAAAGTCAATTAAAATCCTAAGATCATATAATCATTAATAGACAGAATTCTAAATTTGGAGTGAAATCTTTTCTTGAGAAGCAAAAAACAGAACTCATCCTACCCACCCATACACTAATTCCTCTGATTCATGTTAAATCTGCAGTGTGAGACAAGGAGCTTACCAAATATAAACAAAATATCCTTAATAACTGCTCTTTTTCCTTATTGACCACCAAGAACAGAAGCATCCACCCAAAATAAAGAACTTGCTTATAAAATGTTGTAAGCACTGCACTCACAGTTTTGAAACATATAGCTATATTACATAGAACTCCCATGCAGAGTATTTCCTAGTCAGCCTTCAACAGTCAGAAGGTCTATAATCAGAGGCATCCAAAATAGAAGTGACTTGCATTTCACCACCCAACTGGGATTTCTGCAAAGCTCACAAAGCAAACTGGCACGGATGTGATTGTAGTTGCTAACAATTCTCCTTACTGTGCCCAGCTGTATTTCTCTCAGTACCAGGAGCCAGCTGACATGTCTAAGCTGCTCACACATCTCTGCTGAGCAAGCCACTCAAATACACCATACCCAGTGAAGCCCCACTATACATCCCCAGTACGGGACAATGTGTCTGAAGCCCCACTACACATCCCCAATAAGGGATAATGTGTCTGCAGTGAAGTACTTTTTAATGCAAGTAGTATAACCATGGGAGACTAGACTCAGCCCAGAGTTGTTACCATGGCCCAAAACATTTTACAATTTCTTTTATGAAACTGCCTCTCAGATCAGTTTTTAAACCATACTAAAAAACAAAACAAAACAAAACAATAACAAAAAAGTTTCTTTACAAACTAATGGGGCAACCCATGGTGGCTCACACCTATAATCCCAGCACTTTGGAAGGCCGAGGCGGGCAGATGGCTTGAGCCCAGGAGTTCGAGACCAGCCCGGGCAACAAGGCGTAACCCTGTCTCTACAAAAAATACAAAAATTAGCTGGGCATGGTGGCACACGACTATAGTCCCAGCTACTCAGGAGGCTGAGGTGGGAGGATCACTTAAGCCCAGGAGGCGGAGGTTTGCAGTGAGCTAACGCCACTGCACTCCAGCCTGGGCAACAGAACAAAACCCATCTCAAAAAAACAGTAAAACCTAATGTATAGAATGTCCATCTTCTGACAAAGGTGAAAAAAACAGATTTACAGGTTTTCCACTTATCTATTTGAAAAGCAACCTTCCTGGCAAGGCAACAAAGTGGCAGTCTGGAGTTGGCCAACCCCTGAAATGACCTCTTCTGCCAGAGTCATCAAGAGACTTTACAGGCAAAATCTTGCTGATGTGTGGGATCCACCAATGTGACTTGCCAGGCTGACATGCTCAATTTTAGCTTTAGCACACCCTTCTTTCCAAGCTGGCAAATAGCAAAGGAAGCCCCTAGAAAAAGTAAAGGGAGACAGAGAGCCTAGCAACAGCTACCAGCAACACACAGAGCCAACAGCAAGAAAGAAAAGGTGGGTGGGGTATCTCCTGAGCTCCCTGCAATTGTGGGTCTAGCCAGTTAGATTCCTTTCCTAAAAGAAATGAGAACAACAGCCCCTAATAACCTGCTGAGGAACGCTTGATCTTATTATTTTAGGTAACCAACTACCCTTTATTAAAAAGCAGTATTTTAATATAATAAAGCATATTTATGCATGCCTCAAAATCCTATTCTTTGAATAAATAAATAAGCAAGCAAGCAAGCCCTGGCTCCAGCTTACACCTAAGGGTGCATGCTGACATTCCTAGGAATGTGGTTCCGGGGACACAGTTAGCAGACAGCCTGGGTGGGTTCCATTACCCCAGGAGTCAGGGAAAGCTTCTTCAAATATTCATCCCACTGCTCCTGTGTGGCATCACACTGACTTCAGAAAGATGCAACTCAGAAGAGTAATGAATCTGAGAAATAGTATTTCTATTCCAAATTCTACAGCCAGCAAGCATCCCACTCAAAGGTCAGACAGCTCTATATAACCTTACCCTACCCAGCTCTAAAATTACAGTTATGCTCTGGGACTGCCTTGAAGCCTGCTTTGATGTCTTTGTTAGGATAAGCTCTTTAGGCTTCCAGCTTCTCCAACTATGGACAGTCCAAACATAATTAGGTGGAGATACTGGAGCACACTTCACATATAATACAAGAAAATCAATATGAGTACCACATTCATAATGACATAAGTTCATCTAGTACTTTGTGGCTTTTTAAGCATTTTAGCCTCATTTGGATCCTCATAGTACTACCTCAATGTGTAAGGCGAGTCAGTTTTTTTTTTTTTTTTTGAGATGGAGTCTCACTGTCACCCAGGCTAGAGTGCAGTGGCGCTACCTCGGTTCACTGCAAGCTCCGCCTCCTGGGTTCACGCCATTCTCCTGCCTCAGCCTCCTGAGTAGCTGGGACCACAGGCACCCGCCACCACACCCAGCTAATTTTTTAAAATGCAAATCAAAACCATAATGAGATACCATCTCACACCAGTTAGAATGGCAATCATTAAAAAGTCAGGAAACAACAGGTGCTGGAGAGGATGTGGAGAAATAGGAACATTTTTACACTGTTGGTAGGACGTAAACTAGTTCAACCATTGTGGAAGTCAGTGTGGTGATTCCTCAGGGATCTAGAACTAGAAATACCATTTCGCCCAGCCATCCCATTACTGGGTATATACCCAAAGGATTATAAATCATGCTGCTATAAAGACACATGCACATGCATGTTTATTGCGGCACTATTCACAATAGCAAAGACTTGGAACCAACCCAAATGTCCAACAATGATAGACTGCATTAAGAAGATGTGGCACGTATACACCAGGGAATACTATGCAGCCATAAAAAATGATGAGTTCATGTCCTTTGTAGGGACATGGATGAAGCTGGAAACCATCATTCTCAGCAAACTATCGCACGGACAAAAAACCAAACACGGCATGTTCTCACTCATAGGTGGGAATTGAACAATGAGAACACATGGACACAGGAAGGGGAACATCACACACCGGGGCCTGTTGTCGGGTGGGGGGAGTGGGGAGGGATAGCATTAGGAGATATACCTAATGTTAAATGACGAGTTAATGGGTGCAGCACACCAACATGGCACATGTATACATATGTAATAAACCTGCACATTGTGCACATGTACCCTAAAACTTAAAGTATAATTTAAAAAGTAAAAAAGAAATAAAGTATACCAACTGAAAAAAAAATTTTTTTTGTATTTCTAGTAAAGACCAGTTTTCACCATGTTAGCCAGGATGGTCTTGATCTCCTGACCTCATGATCCGCCTGCCTCAGCCTCCCAAAGTGCTGGGATTACAGGCATGAGCCACGGCGCCCAGCCCAAGGCAAGGCAGTATTTTTAAGCACTTTTTTTAAGCAGAAGAGGAAGGTGAGGCTCAGCAGGACGGAGGCCCCTCAGTAAAAGTAGAACCTCATCTGGAATGCGGGTCTTCCCATTACAAGGCTTCCTCTCTTTGCCCTCCACCATACTTCACAGAGCTGGGAGCACACCCTATAAATCCCCTGAGAAGAGCCTTCTCTGACTTTACCTTCCTTGAGCCTCTCCTTTCTTCAGGAAAGACAGGCTAGAATAATGCTGAGAATCAGAGAAGAAATGGTCTCCTGACCAAGGCTCCAAGCAACAAACTACTCAACATCTGAAGAGGATGAGAAATGCTGCAGGGAAAGTGAACTCTCACCCTTCTTCCAGCTATAAACTGGAAATAATACTGAAAGGATGAGGGACTTACATCAACTGTCATTGCTGGGGACCTACCCTCACAGCCCAATGTTGAATCATGAAAGGATTCACACTTTGAAGTGTGACAAGTATGATACTGTCAATAGCCCTCTTGTGAAAAATAGCACTGTTTCCTCAAAGTCAATCCAATGTGACACACTTGGAGCTAAATCTCTGACCCTATGTGATTAAAACAGAATTTCAAAGCCACACACATATCCTGCTTCTTGGTATTTTTTGGTTCTGCCCCTTGCTGGATAGAAATAAATTTAATCCTTGCATTAGTTTCATCTAGCCAGAAATGTAAAAGCAAGACCATCAGGCCGGAGACTGTGGCTCACACCTATAATCCCAGCATTTTGGGAGGCAGAGGCAGGCAGATCACCTGAGGTCAGGAGTTTGAGATCGGCCTGGCCAACATGGCAAAACCCCGTCTCTACTAAAAGTACAAAAATTAGCCGGACGTGGTGGCACGTGCCTGTAGTCCCAGTTACTTAGGAGGCTGAGGCAGGGGAATTGCTTCAACCCAGGAGGCGGAGGTTGCAGTGAGCCGAGATGGCATCACTGCACTCCAGCCTGGGCAATAAGAGCGAAACTCCGTTTCAAAAAAAAAAAAAAAAAAAAAAAAGACCATCAGCTTTGTAGAGGAGGGTGAGAAGGTGAGAAAATCTACCACTCCATGGAATTATTTAATTTTCATTACTCTCAAAAAGCAGGCAGGAGACTGGGCGCAGTGGCTCATGCCTGTAATCCCAGCATTTTGGGAGGCCAAGGTGGGTGGATCATATGGACCAGCCTGGCCAACATGGTGAAACCCCATCTCTACTAAAAATACAAAAATTAGCTGGGCAGTAGTGGCGTGCACCTGTAATCTCAGCTACTCGGGAGGCTGAGGCAGGAGAATTACTTGAGCCTGGGAGGCAGAGGTTGCAGTGAGCCAAGATCGCGCCACTGCACTCCAGCCAGGGCGAGAGAGTAAAACCCTGTCTTAAAAAAAAAAAAAAAAAAAAGGCAGGCAGGAAAGTAAAAGTCCTTACACAAAATATTGCTAGACAAAAGCATATAGGCAATAACTATGAATCTCTTGAAACAAAGTGGGCTGGGCCAGGCCATCAGGAGGTTCAGATTCTAGACACGGATCATTCTCTAATTAGCTGTCACAGGGCAGTTGAGGCATGGAGGCAAGCTGACAGCAGACCGAACCCCAGCTGCCACTAACAAACTGAGGAACCTTCCGCAAATGCCTTAACCTTTAAGGCTCAATTTCTTCACCTAGAAAATGGGGAGAATGATAAGAAGACTAAGAAAAACAATACAGGTCAAGTAATTAGCACGGTTGTTGGCCGAAAATTAACAAAGTAAATTCTACTACCATCATCCATGATCTGCATGACCTGGGCAAGAAACTACACCTCTCTGAGATTCAGTCTTCCCACCTGTAAAATGGGTGTGTGGAAGCAAACGACTCCCTGATTCTAAGTGAAAGAGAAACATGAAAAGTAAGCAGAGACAGGTCATGGACCCATGGTCAGTGCTATGGAGAATGGCTCTCTTGACAAATCTTTAAACTGCACTTCTCCACACTGCTAACTAATATGAAGTCACATGCTTGGTCGGGGTGTCTCCACATACCTTGCAGACAGCAGGGCTGATAAGTCTTAGCCTGGAAAGAAAGTCCACGGTATGTTCTGCCCACCAGGGCTGGTAATGTTAATGTGGGACCAAGATTCAAGAAAGAGTGCTGCAGAGGTGATGTTAAATAGATTGTAGAGACTCAAGGAAGCCAAGAGCAATATGCAAGCTCATCCTACAGGCACTTAGATTTCAAATTGCCCTGTGTCCCCACTCTTCTAACGGCAAGCAGTTTTGCCAGTTATCCCTCCGCTGCTTGGGATGAGTCCCTGAGGCTTCTAGCTTCTCTGGCTGTAGACAGCCAAAACACCATGTACCTATATCCCATTAGACACTTCATGTTTCAGACAAGAAAATCAACATAAGTGACTATGTTCATAATTGCAGATGTTCATCTAGTATTTTTTGGTTAATTGAGCATTTGAGTCTCAATTTGATCCTTAAGGATGTAAGGCCACAGCTAAAGTCATTCGTTGAAAGAAACAAGGAAAAAAGACTAAACATACCACATTATTAAACAGATTCCCATTAGCCAGGTTTCCTTTCAGCCTGGGTATGCTTTTTTTCTTTTTAAGCTTTAAAACCTTTAAGTTTCATTTTCAGTACTTCACCCTATCTGCTACCTCTCAGGTTAAACTACAAAGCCAAAAAGTTTCACATCCACGCTACTTTCATTATTACAAGTCCTCTTCATTCTCCTTGCCTCCTGTTTCCCCTCACCCAATAAACATACGCGATGATGTTTTCATTCACATCCTTCAATGGTTGGTTTCACTCAACAAATTCATTCAACAAATATTTATAGTATCTTCAAGGAATCAGGTGCTACTCTAGGCACTTGGTTACATCAGTGAACCAAACAATAAATGTTCTATTGGAACTTACATGCTAGTAGCTAGTAGCTAGTATTTATGTTTATACTTATATAGTATATCATAAAGTGTTAAGGAATAAAGAAACAGGAGTGCAGGGAATATGCATTGGGATTGCCAGTGGGCGGCAGAAAGGATGTTTAAAGGTGATTGGGAAGGCCTCCCTGAAAAGGTCAGGCTTGAACCAAGGCTGCAGGTGATAAAGGGACTCAGCCAAGAGAGCACATGGAGGACACTTCAGGCAGAGGGAGAGAACGGGGTGGAAGTTTGTGTCTGGTATGTTCCAGGAAGGGCAAGGAAGGAGGCCAATGTGGCTGGAATGAGCAAGCGACTGAGTGAGCTGATGGCAGGCAGATCCCAAGGGGCCCCAGCGACCACTGTAAGGCTTTTACTTGTGCAATAACGAGTCACTGCCGTTTTTGAGTGAAGGAATAAGTTCAAGTTTTTTAAAGGATCTTAGCCATGGCTGTTGTGTCGAGAACAGACTGGAGCAGGCAAGGGTGGAAGCAGGGAGACCAGGTGGGCTGGGGGAGATGGCAGCTGCTTAAATCTCCAGAAGAGCAGCAGCAGAGGTCTTGAGAGTGGTCAAAGTCTGATATATTCTGAGGGCAGAGAGCCACATTTTCCTACCAGATATGATACAGGACGAGGGAGAAAGTGAGTTGTCAAGGATGACAGGTAAACTATAAAAATGAAAAGAGTGGGCCAGGAGCAGTGGCTCACCCCTGTAATCCCAGCACTTTGGGAGACTGAGGCGGGCAGATCACTTGAGGTCAGGAGTTCGAGACCAGTATAACAAATATGGAGAAACCCCATCTCTACTAAAAATACAAAATTAGCCAGGCGTGGTGGCGCATGCCTGTAATCCCAGCTACTTGGGACGCTGAGGCAGGAGAACTGCTTGAACCCGGGAGGTGGAGGTTGCAGTGAACCAAGATTATGCCACTGCACTCCAGCCTGGGTGACAGAGCAAAACTCCATCTCAAAAAAAAAAAAAAAAAAGAATGAAGTTGCCATCAACCATTTTAAGGTAAAACCCTACAAGGACACTATGGTACAGCTGTTACAAGTATCCTGATTTATTTGGTCTCCTCACATTTTAAATTCTCTTTAGTCCCTCCCTCCCTTTCTCCTCCCACAGAAATAATCTAATCCTGGAAGTCTGGACTGAATAACTGCTGCAGACAGAAGAAGTTTATCCTTGAGAAAGTATGGATATGACTGCAATGACAAGACACCCTATCCCAGAAGGCAACCCCAGACTAGCTAACGTTTGATGGCTAAGTCAAGCAACAATGGAAAGTTTCCATTTGCCATGTATTGGCTGTGTGACTTTGGACAAGTCATTTCTCCTCTCAGTGACTCATTTCTTTGTCTTAAAGTAAGGGTAATATTACCCATAGGGTTACTGTGAGTTCTAAGTAAATGAATGGAATCCAAGTACTTAGAGCGGCAGCTGGTGACAGCTGCTACAGAGTAAGTAATACATAGGCTGCAATTATTACTATCATTTTTTTATTTTCCTAAAGAATTGTTCTGAAGATTACTATTGTTGTTATGTGTTGCTGTTTTTTCTCAATCTCTGAATGATTTTATAAGAAATAATACCTGGAAAGCATGAGTCCAATATCAATTTCAAAAACATGAATAACCTAACACTAAGATAAACTGAGCAAAAAGACACATTAAGTTGCCATTAAGCACCATAGACACCTAAGTTCCCAGACACTAAAATTACTGAAATTCTACAGGACAAGTATTACCCCTTCATGTGCCTGGTGACAAAGGGAAGAAAGCATGGATACATATGTCATATCTCTGTGATTTAAAGACACTAACCTATCATAGAAGACCCATGAACTTCAAACCTTTCTAAACCAGCTGGGTGGGATGTTTTTCAGGACATAAAAAATATGGTATTTGAGTACTTCAGCTTTTGATATATACTAGAGTCAATGATTCTTAAAATGTAGTTTTAAAATGTTTACTAATAACCTAACAATCAATATAACTCAGTTCAAATACATACAGATATAGATGAGCAAATACAGACATATAGATGTATATAGTGTGTATATATATACACTCTATTTAATTAAAACCTGTTCTCTTCTCTCAGCCTCTAATAATGAATTTCTACCAAAAATGTCCCTGAACGGCAGGTAACACTTCCAAGATTTGCCCAGCCAGCAATTCTCAGGCCTACCTGCATCTCAGAATCACCTTGGAGAGATTTAAACATATTAATGGCAATGTCCAGTACTAGATTTCTGGTTTAACTGAAACCAATGTTGAGAACTGCTGGCTGGGTCAATGCTAGAAGTATTATTTATTGAATTTGAGAGACAGAAGGTGAATTAATATTTCGGGGTTTAAACTAGCATAATCATATGAACTGGGATCTGGGATGAGAGGGCACTCCACAGCCTAGATTGGAAACCTGCCCTATACTCTCTCAAACTATCCTGAATCTGCAAAAGAGTCTTCCAAACATTCTCTCAAAAATTCCTGATGACTGAAACTTAAGATTTCTTTGAAATGAAAGAACACACAATATCATTTCACTGTACTCTGGCAAAATTGTACTGAGCCTTAGTGCCAAATACCTGGTTACACTTATTTTTTCCACCTTATTTCCTTACAATAGTCTATAATAACTGTATGCAGCCTGGCTCTAAGAAATGTAAATCTTCTTTTTTTTCTTTTTTGATCCATCATTCAAAACAAAGCCTCCGCTAGATACTGCACAACATAAAAAGGAAATTTACTGCACATCATAAAGAAGACATTATTTCCAAATGTTTTCGCCTGTCAACATAGTATAGGACTGGGTAATGGCTTTCTGTAATAAACTCATTCATTTATTCCTCCCTTTAAAGTACAATACTTACTGTTTATTATATGCTAGACTTTTCTTTCAGGTGCTAGAGGCTGTGAAAGTGATCAAGACCGATCTGGCCTTCATCCTTCTAGATGCCTTTAAATGCATAAATTTAAGAAGAAAGTATGGCTGTAGTTCAAAGACATCTAAGCGTATGTTTAAAATAATGGAAATCTAAAATAACAACACTAGACACGTCATATGGAACCATAATTTACTAAGCGCGTACTAGAAACCAGACGTTGTGTTACTCCCTTTATACATGGCACTCATTTAATAAAGATGCTCTCCTAAAAAGATTAAACTACCATTTAGAAGAAATTACACGAAGACAAACGAGAAAAATCTTTCCTTTAGCAAAGTTTAAATGTGGCCTTTCCACAGTGGAGAGAATCTTCCATCCTAAAGTGGACAGGAACGAATTATGAAGTTGTGTTCATTCATTCACACAAAAATTTCTTCATATTAGTTCAACCAGATTAACTATGAGAAGATGTTTGGGTTAAAAAAATCACCTTGTCATAAAAAGATACTTCCAATTTCAAATCTTTTCAGTTGAAAATTCTATAAACTATATTTTAAGCATGATGCATAAATATCCCTCTGTCGTTATCACTGAGCAACAGTGCTAATAAATATGTTGCCAAACCAATAAAATAAATAAAACATTACTGCGTGCAGTAATTAGTCTTAGCTTTTTTTCTTTTTGCAAACTCCAGACCAACCAAAAGTCACCTGAATAAATCAGAAATTCATAGGACTGCAATTCGGGCCCATGCAAAAACTGAGACTTAACCCAAAGGTGTCTGACAATCTTTTAAAGAGCATTCTCGGGAGAAGCTATTTGACTAATCCTGGAACCGCCACTCAAAAAAATCATTTTTTAAAAAAAACGGTAGAATGGGAACGGGGGAAGTGGAGTCCATTTGTAAGGTTCCGGGGAACTGACTCAACATGGTTCTCCAACTCGAGGTTGGAGACACCGGGATTCCAAAATGGGAATCCACTCACTTCGCTTTTATAGGACAAACGCGTGCACAACTTGGCTTCGGGCTGCATTCAGGTAGTGCCGGGAACCCCGAGCTCCCGGGCCGCCCCCACCCAGCTCTGGCCGCTCCATTAAGGACGAGGGCCGGCTCCTGTCACCTCGCGACCCACGCGCACACACCCGCCCTAGGCCCGCCGTGCTCGATGCCGCGGGCCTGCAAAGTTTCCGCGGCCGCTCACTTGGGGGTAACCAGCGAGGGGTACGCCCAGAGGCTGCGGGGCCCCGGGCGCCTAGGCTGCGCGGGCGAAGCCCCGGTTATGCACGGGTCGCCGAGACCGGCTGGGCAAGCAAGAGCAGCCGGGCCGCCCCGACGTTGGCTGTGCGACTGTTGCCGCGGGGGCGGGTAGGGGGCTCGGCGGGCCGCACTCACCGTCTATGTTCTCCCGGTCGCTGATGTGCTGCAGGTTGCAGCCCGTGTCCTCGCGGCTCAGGTCCGTGTCTGGCCGGTAGGACTCCAGCCGGGAGTGGGCATTCCTCCGGAGCTTGGGACTGGACGACACGCAGCACGAGGTAGTGTTCCCCATCTTCGGCGGCCCCCCGACTCCTGCTGCTATCCTGTTCTCCCAGTCCCCGGGAGCGGGGCGCGGGTGGACGCGGGGCGCGGGCGGCGGGGGCGTGTGGGGAGGCCCGCCCGCTCGCCGCCACGGGAGGGGGCGGAACGGCGGCCGGCCGCCGGGTCAGCAGCGGCGGCGGCGGCGGGGCCTCGCCATGGGCGGCGGCGGCGGCGGCGGCGACGAGCGGGCGACGGCCCCGGCTCCCCCTCGGCCGGCCTATCCGCGGCGGAGGAGCGCTCGGGTCCGCGCGACTGCGGCCGCCGCGCCTACCTCACCCCGCCGCGGCCATGGCGGGCGGCGCCGCGCAGGCCGCCTCCCCCCCGCGCTTCCCCAGTTGGTGTCCGCTTCCCCGGCGGCTGCGGCGACGGCGGCCGCCTCGGCAAGAGGTTCCGGTTCAAGCCGGGGGCACGCGTGTCCGCGCCGGACGGCGGGACTAGCCGACGAGCGGGCGGGCAGCGGGCGTGGGCGCAGCCCCCGGACTCCTCGCGGCGCGGTGCGGCGCGGCCAGGGAGGATGCTGGCGGCCCTCCCTCGCCAGCGGCGCCCGCCCTCGCCGCAGCCCCCGCCCCGCCCCGTCACCGCCCCTTCCCTCTGCCCTGGAAGCAGATCGGCGGCCGCGGGGAGGTTCGGGGCGGCGCAGCCCCGCGCGGTTGTGGGATCGCTCCCGGGGGCCGCTCCTCTCTCGGGCACTGGGGTCGCGGGAGACGTCGTCGGGAGCTCGGTTTCTGGAGGCCCTTCCCCACCCGGCCTCTGCCTCCTCCACTCCCCCGGGCTGGACGGAACGGGGCCCAGCGCGGGATGCGAGGTGCGTCCCCGGGGCCCGCAGCGGGCGGGAGCGCAGCCAGGGCCCGGTCGGGGACGCAGGCCCAGGGCGCTGAGGCTGCACCTGCCTCTCCGAAACCGGGCTGGCTCTTTTTGTCTTTTTATTTTTCTAATTTATTTTTTTAGAGGTATGATTTCGCTCTGTCGCCCAGGCTGGAGGGCAGTGGCGCAATCTCGGCTCACTGCAGCCTCGAACTCCTAGGCTGAAGCGATTCTCCCGCCTCAGCCTCCAAAGTAGCCGGTACTACAGGCGCGCGCCACCACGCCTGGCTAAGGTGTGTGTGTGTGTGTGTGTGTGTGTGTCTCCAAAGTAGCGAGGACTACGGGTGTGTGTGTGTGTGTGTGTCTCCAAAGTAGCGAGGACTACAGGCTCCCGCCACTACGCCAGGCTAAGGTAGGGTGTGTATGTGTGTTAACTTTTTGTAGAGATGGGATCTCCCTTTGTAACACGGGCGCCCGCCACTAAGCCAGGCTAAGGTGGTGAATGTGTGTGTGTGTGTGTGTTAACTTTTTGTAGAGATGGGATCTCGCTTCGTAACCCGGGCTGGTATCGAACTCCTGTCTTCAAGGAATCCTCCCGTCTGGACTCCTCCCATGGGATTACGGGCATGAGCCACGGCACCTGGCTATTTTTTTTTTCTAAGCATTTAAATAAGCTGGGGCTTGATTTGGGAGTTTTCTATTGTATTTTGAGCTTTGCCGAGGACTTGATAGTGACCTTGCTTTAAGCTGTGAAATAAATCTTGGGGTCCCAGAGCTATTTTAATATTGAATTCGCTGTGGAGTTGTTTTGAGTTCCTTGGAGGTTAACATGAGATAGAAAACTAAGTTAACACAACTCATCGACTGCCCTTGCTTTGCTTTGCTTTGCTTTTAGAATGCCATCGGGTTTTGTCATGTTGGGAACAAGTTAACTTAGGCCAGTTGACTAAGATCAAGGTATGTGAACATGCCTGGCTGGGAGAGAAGTAGAGTAAATGTTGGTTCGCATTCCCTCCCGACGCCCACAATGCCAGCCATCCCTGACTTTTCTTGCCTTTATTGGGAAGAATATAAGGTGGCAGAAACAAACTTCCCACCCTTTTTCCAAATATTTACTGAAGGAGTCTTGAGGAGAGTCTTGTGGGGTGGGGGGGTGGGGGTGGGAGCTGGGAATGTTTTTGAACTAGTTCTTGAAAAAAAAACTAGTACAATAGTACAACTGTCTTAATTTTATATATGAGGAAACTGAGGCCCAGAGATGAAATCATGCCTTGATTTATGCAGACCTCAGTACCTGTTCGTGACAAATCCAGTTACTAAAAGGTAAGAGAAGGAATAAGGGACTTGATATTTATCTAGCATCAGCAATGTGTGGACATCGTGTGAACGGCTTTATAAACATTTCATTTAATTCTCTACATCTAGCCATTTTTTAACCTGTGCTTTCCCTCCCTCTCAAAGTACTGTTTATACATTTATTAGTCCATATTTTAAACGCTCCATGCTCTCAACTGTATTAATGCTATTTGTTAGGATAAGTGGCAGATGTCCATGGAAAATAAGTGGCTGCAAAGTGGTAATGCTGACCAGATGAGAAAAGAAGTGTAAAAGGGAAGTTCTAAAGAATTAAAGCCCTGGAGAGGGTGGGTAGACAACAACAGTCCAAAATAGTGCTCTTCATTGAGGCTGTGTAGATTTTCCTGCTTCCTGGGAAAACTGGGGCATATTTACACTTGCATGTGTGTATTCAGATTGTCTGGGGCTATGGAGTTTGGGTCAGATTGCTGAACCCGTGGGAGAGAAGTTCCCTTGTTGTCTGTTGTTGTCTGTTCTGATTGCTGCTTTGTAATTTGGGCCACATATGAAAGTCAGCATCCAGTCATTGGACCATAGGTGTGTGGCATATCTACTCAGATGCATTAAGCTATTTTTATTTCATTATAAAATGTATAACATTTACATTCAAATTATGGTTTGAAGGGCTTAAGAGGAGAAAGAGACAGTGGCACTAAGGTGACAGCATGGCTGGCTGCATGCTTCCTGTCCAAGAAGGTCACTGGGCAGTGTTAACTGGGAAGAGCATCTGGAGGATGAGAGATCAGTGTAGCCACATACCCTTAACAAAGGGTGGTACAGCCTCTGGTCTGCCAGGATTTTTGTGCCCCGCCCCCCTCCCCCTCTTTCCCTATCTCCTCTTTGACATTTCCACCATATTCCCCTTAGGTATGTACCTGTTTGGACTTTAATTTAGAGTGTAACTTTTGGTCAAGAATCCTGGAGAGAAAAGACGGGTACTAAAGCCTCGCTAGTGATTTACCTGGGTGCCGACCCCCACAACTCATCCACCCTACATGCATACTTCAAACTCCTCCAGGCAGATACTCCCTGCCTGACACACAGTGACACTTTGGGAAAAATTGCAGAACAGTAACCAACTCTGAGCAGATAAATGTGATGTCAAAATGATAGTAATGAGAGATGTCGTTCGTTGAAAGCCTGCTAGCTGCCATGCACTATACTATTTCTTACATCTAAATCTGATTAAGTTATACCCCATTTTATAAATAGACACTTTGATAAGTAAACCTATCTAAGATCAAAATACTGAGAAATGTCCTAATTGGGGATTTGAACCTGGTTCTAATTCCAAAGTCCAAGCTACATCCACCCCAACCTCCTACCTCCTATCTCCAAGACTTTGTGAGTAAAAAAACAAGTGTCACTTCTCTCCTTCTCTTTTTTCTGTCCTAAAGGAAGCTGGGAGCTAACCACTTAGGACTAGTACTAATCTTTCAGAGAAAGGGATGAGGGGAGCCTTGTTATTTCTGTGGGGTTCAGCTCTCAGACCAGAGTAAGACAGGCAACAAGGTTGAGGAGTAGCCATATGCAGAAATAACCTGTGTATCTAGCCACAGGATCTCCAACACTGTGTCACTCGGGAATCAAAATACAGAGACAGTTCCTCAATAGAGTGTGGATCTAGCCCAGAATGTGGACAAGGGGAGTGGAGAAGGGGAGAGGTACACACTGAGCATTGTAACAAGGCCTGTCCTCAAGCTTGAGGAGGATTAGGAAGATGGCTTGAGTCTGGGAGTAGGAGGCTGCAGTGAGCTATGATTGTACCACTGTACCCCAGCCTAGGTGACAGAGTGAGACCCTGTCTCTTAAAAGAAAAAAAAAATTGACCTGGATCTACTCATACCCACCCTGGTCTTTGAGCAGAAAGAATCATTTGGGAATTATTTTGTCTCATCTTTCTCCATGATCACTGTTGAAGAATTTGGTCACTGTAACCAGGTAAATATAAAACTCAGGTGGGCCGGGCGCGGTGGTTCACACCTGTAATCCCAGCAGTTTGGGAGGCTGAGGTGAGTGGATCACGAGGTCAGGAGATCAAGACCATCCTGGCTAACACAGTGAAACCCTGTCTCTATTAAAAATACAAAAAATTAGCCAGGCGTGGTGGTGGGCGCCTATAGCTCCAGCTGCTCGGGAGGCTGAGGCAGGAGAATGGTGTGAACCCGGGAGGTGGAGGTTGCAGTGAGCCGAGATCGTGCCACTGCACTCCAGCCTGGGTGACAGAGCAAGACTCCGTCTCAAAAAAAACTCAGATGAACTATAGCTAAGTCAGTGCTCTTGACACTTTTTTAGCAATAGTAGCTTTGTTTCTCACAGAAAAAACAAAATTTTCTGTGGAACCACACTATTTAAAACATAAGCAATATTAGTATCAACTTGTATAATTTATAGATCTACTGATAAAAACAATCAAGAATAGTCTACCTTAATTGAATCAGGAGGAGATAACTGCAGTCTTACATCAGCCATACTCGTATCCATGAAATATGAGTCAGTCATTTGCACAACTCCCTGAGTCACCTTCTGGAACACAGAAAACACTGAGCCAAGTTAGCCCAGGACCTGAACCTTTTGTGGAAAGGAAAATCTGTAGTGTCTCCTCAGAGTATGGCTGCCCTTTCACCTGGTAGTCAGTTTCTCATGACGGTTACTCGAGCATTTATAAGGCAGTTGTGAAATAACCAAGACATTCTGTGTGTTGTGCTACTGATGCTCCTCCTGTCACCGACCTCCTCTCCAAATGAGGCCTGCCTTTTGTCCTTGGTAGTAGGCAGTCCACAGTGTAACCAGCTACAGGGGAAGTATTTACTTTGATAGCCACTTGACCTTGATCAAGTCAGGTGACTCATTTCTGGATAACATTTTTGAGAGTATACTGAGCCAGGCACCTTGAGGATACGAAAGTGGATTATAGTTTCCATTCTGGAGAAACTCACAGTCCAGTAAGTTAAACAATCACAAGAACAAGTTTCCAGCAATGAGAGTGATTACAGCCACTGAGTGGTGAAATCTGAGAAATGCAAAGCCTGCCGCCTATAAATACCTACATTTATCGCCTGGGCATATACCTAAAATTCCACCATGAGAAATATATTTATATGAAATTAGAAACTACCCAGAAATTGTGCGTCCAAATAAAAATTCCCACAAGAAATAAGGATGGCTAATAGTTTTAAGTAGTAGTGTCAAGTCTTTTGGACCAGAGTAACTGCCAGGGACGTTGTGTTGAGGATTCTGAGGTCATGTTCCAGCTTAGCCGAGAAGGGAGCCACCATGAGGGAACGAGTGAGGGAGGGTAGCACTTGTGCCCCATATTTTTTCCTAAGTAAATCATTTGTTGATGGAATGCATGATGAAACAGGGACAGCCAGGGTCTCTGGCATCTGGGAGAAAGCCCACTTGGAAACTGATTTATCTACCTCACCACTGCAAGTTCACCATTTGTCCCCAGACTAAATGGCCTTAGGAAGCCCAGGCTCTGTCTTGTCGAACTCTACCTTCTTTATCCTTCCATACTTTTCAAGAAGAGAAATGGTATATATATGTGGGATCCTTGAGAACTAGGATGTACCTGTGAGCAGGCAAAGTGTAGCATCTAGCAGGGTCAGGCATAAGTTGGAAGTGAGAGAGGTGGCTACTGTGCTCCCCAATGGCTGTTCTCCCATCTCCCATAGTTTCAAGGCCTGTTTTGTGAGGAACAGCAGTATGCCCAGCTCAAAGATGACAGCTGGCCACAGGACTAAGTCTGGCCAATAAGATGTGAGTGGACGCTTCCAGAAAAGCTCTCTAAAGAGGCTACCTCTAGCCAGGCGCAGTGGCTCACGCCTGTAATCCTAGCACTTTGGGAGGCCAAGGCAGTGGATCACCTGAGGTCGAGAGTTCAAGACCAGCCTGGCCAACATGGCAAAACCCCGTCTCTACTAAACATACAAAAATTAGCCGGGCATGGCCGTGCCGCATGCCTGTAATCCCAGCTACTCAGGAGGCTGAGGAGGGAGAACTGCTTGAACCCAGGAGGTGGAGGTTTGCAGTGAGCTGAGATGTTGCCACTGCACTCCAGCCTGCACGACAGGAGCGAGCCTCCATCTCAAAAAAAAAAAAAAAATAAAAGCTGCCTCTTCTCTGCTTCTTGGAGTATGGTCAGGATAGCTGGAATTCTAGCATCCAGTTTTGAATGCCAAGTGACCTTGAAGATAGAAGCCATGAACTAAGATAATGTCCCTGTGTAAGCTTCTTTTACATGAGAGAAATAAACTGTGTGTATAAATCATTGTTATTTTGAATTCCCAAGTTGTATGCAGGCAAATGTAATCCCGATCTAGCCAGGAATTGGTATTATTCATTGATAAGAGCTTCATATATTCATGTTGACAGTTTTCCTTGATTGGCCCCCAGATGATAGGTATTGTGACCAAGACCTGTGGGGCTATCATGTGTACTTGGCTCCCTATAGGAGAATCCAGGATGGAATGGAATGATACAGTAGGCAGCCTCTGGAGCCAAGATACGGTATAGGTAGGAAAAAGAAATGATTCACCCAAGAGGCAGATTAGGCCCATGAAAATTAGGATTGTCAGATGCATTACTTTAATACAGCACTTCTTCAGTATTCCCAGAACTGTAGCTAATGGTTCCTCTGAATAGGAAGCTCCTTGAATATACCCTGGCAAGAAATCTTTCTATCCAAGGTGACTGGCATTGGGAGGGGATTTATTGAGTGTCTCCCTCGAGCCAGGCACTTTCACATACCTTAATCTTAGTTAACTGGCTTCACTTCAGACCCTGTCCCTAACAGGACAAAACCCAACAGCATTTTGAAAGCAAAACAGGGATAGTTGATGAGTTGTATTAACGTACTTGTCTCTGTCTCACGTTAGTAACCTCCAAGGAACTCAAAACGCACTGCAGCTATAATTCGACATTAAAATAGCCCTGGGCCCCCCAGGAGCAGCTCAATAGACCCTACTGAAGCAGGCGGTCCTGTCCCTCCCCTGCTTAAAATCTGTCAGTAGCTTCTCATTGTTTTTAACTAAAAACCCAGCCCACCTGACAGTCAGGTTGGCCTGCTCGCCAGGCTTTCTCCCCAGCTGCTCAAACCTGCTCACAACTCCCTCTGTGTCTGCCACTCTGGCCTCTCACTTTACTCCTGTGACCTCGTCCCTCTGAGCACCATTCCTCCCCACCTCTGCATGTCTTTAATCTGACTTAAGCTTCAAGGCCTGGCACAAACAATGCTTTTCCTTTGTCCTTCATACTGGAGATCATAAACTCGCATAGATTCTCTCTGAATAAATAAATATTTTCCATGCCAGTTAGCATTTTTTTAAAACTATAATGACTGCAAAATATATTGTATTAGGTGTACTCTAACTTATTTAACCTCTCCCCAAAGAATGGACATTTCATTTGTTTCTTTTTCAGGATGATAAAAAACAGTTACGGGATGAAAAAATTTTTTTTTATTTTTTATTTTTAGTAGAGATGGGGTTTCACCATGTTAGCCAGGATGATCTCGATCTCCTGACCTTGTGATCCACCCATCTGGGCCTCCCAAAGTGCTGGGATTACAGGCATGAGCCACTGCACCCGGCCGGGGATGAACATTTTTATATGCTAATCTTTGTCAGCATCTGCTCATTTCTATAAAAGGAATCATTAGAATTGGAATTCCTAGGTCATTTTGACCAAAAAGGAACATTTTTAAATCTCTTAATATTGCCATATGACATCTTAGAAAGTTTACATCATTTTACACAAATAATTGTTTCCTTATCGATGTTCCAAACCTAGAGAACTTTTGGTCATTCTGTGATCTGTAATTGGAGAAATTTCCATTGCTCTAGCAGCATTTTATACATACTTATCAAGATGTATTATGATTTATACACATTTATCAAGATGTATTATGTTTTACTTGCATTTCTCCAAGTAAGCTCTGAAGTGGAAAACAGAACTTGTTTTACTCTTTGTAGCACAGTACTGAGAACAGTAACACCTAACAGGCCCTTTCTAGGTAAATCTGCAGAAACAGTAATTGTCTCAATCTCAGTTTCCCTGTGGTAGACCAAAATAAAGCTTTGCATACCTAACCTAGGGAAGCTGCATACAGTTGGAGAGCTGGATTCAACTAAACCTGGCCTGACAGCTCTTCAACATGTTTTTCTTTTCCAAGTTCCACATTGCTCACTGTGTCCTTTTAACACTCCTGTTTTTTATTTTATCCATCACACGAAGTTGTAGTTGGTTCTGCCTGCAGTGTTTCTCCATGATGTAATATAACCTCATTATATACACTCAGGAGCCTGAGAAATGAGTATCACAAACCACAGAGTCTTCTTGTTGCTTAGTTACTATCCTGCATTTCCTGGAGACTTTACCTTGGCAAAGTATATGATGCTACGTTTTAATGAATGTTGATTGGTCACTGTATGATAAATGCCAGGAAAAACAATGAATGATAAAAAGAAGTGTAAATCCCACTCTTCTGCCTATATCCCAGCTCCATTTTCACGTCTTTTGGTATCAGCCCCAGGATTTGGGGTCTTCTGTTTGAAAATGAGATCAGTTCCGTAACATCTGTATAGCTTTGCTTGCTATGGTACTGGGCTGGAAAGAGGCAGGTCAAAGCGAGTGCCCCCCTCACTGGTGTGCCCTGAGGATGCAGAGGCCCTCTTTGCCTGGTGATAACACCTTCAATGCCCGTTAGGGGGCCCAAAATTGCCAGTTTATTATCCCTTTGGGACTGATGCCTTAAAATCTCATTTTGTCTTTGAGAAGTGGTATTTGGAATATTCACACATCAAAGTGTTATCGTTCTCTGCTAGCACAGTACCAGCTAGTTTATCTTAGCCAGCTGGCTTACCTCTCAAGGCACTAAAGGAACGGAAAAACACAGGGCAATCTCTGTAAGCCTCGTTCCTTCACTTGGTAACCTCTGAAAAGCTAGAGAGAAAGGACCAGTGAGAGAACAGGATCAGCTCTTGCTGGGGGTCCAGCCAGGAGCCACCATGGAGGGCCTGGAGCACTTAGAGGAAAACATGGGGACATCAGGTATGCAGGAGATCAGGCAAAAAACAGTAAAGTCAGCTTAGGAAAGACTCGTACCTCTCACCCCCACTGCCTCAACCTCCTCCAAAGTGTAGAGTTCATAGCTTTTCCTTGGGAAGCTTCTGTGTATACAGTGCTCAACAGAAGAGAGGAACAGGATTTAGGTTACTATCTTCCATACCCTAAAAGTGAACATTGTAATATTGCAAA
This sequence comes from Homo sapiens, assembly GCF_000001405.40. Classification (NCBI taxonomy): domain Eukaryota; kingdom Metazoa; phylum Chordata; class Mammalia; order Primates; family Hominidae; genus Homo; species Homo sapiens. The sequence goes on along the minus strand of NC_000010.11, from coordinate 35,327,604 downwards.
TACAGTAGCAGAAGGAAAGCACTTCTCAGGAAGTAAAAATACATCTACTCCTGCTAACAGTTTTCTCCATTCACAAAATATTACTGATTTTTTTAAAATTTGGAAAGAATATTAATATTCATAGATGTTAGATTAGTTGGGCAAAATATGCTAAAAATTGCCATTTAATTTATAATAGTGAAAAACAATGCAACCTAAATGCCCATGAATGATAACTAATTACATACAGTGGACTACAATGGAATTCTATGAAGTCATAAAAATAAGGATGTACATCTGTATTTATTGTTATAGAAAGAAAGCCACGAAATATTGTTGAGAGAGAAAGCAGATTGCAAAACTGAATATATATGCAAAGAGATGTTTTTAGGGATATTCACTGTTAAACAGTGATTAACTTAGTTGACTTTTTTTTCCTCTGTTCCTTCTTTTTTCTTTTTTACTTTAAATATTTATCTTTTTTAAAAGAAATAATACATTTCCTCCCTCCAAAAAAGAATAGCCTAGCGAAATATTTTTACTTCAAATGCTTTTCCCCTTATTAATCTTTGTATAAACCATTGTGGTTTGCTAAAACAAGGAAGGTTGTAGAGTAGAATCCATGCCCACGTTAGAACAAAATCCAGGCAGGAAGACACTTCATACGTGGTTATAAGACCAGGAGGACGAGGAGACAAAGGGAAGCAATGGTGTTTGTTTGTTTGTTTGTTTGTTTTAAGAGACAGTGTCACTCTGTCACCCAGGTTGGAGTACAGTGGCACCATCATAGCTCAGTGCAGCCTCCAACCCCTGGGTTCCAGCGATCCTCCCACCTAAGCCTCTCTAGTATCTGGGACTACCGGTATGCACCACCACATCCAGCCAATTTTTAATTTTTCTTTTTTTGAGACAGGGTCTTGCTATGTTGCCCAGGCTGGTCTCAAACTCCTAGGCTCAAGCAAACCTCCCAAAGCACTGGGATTACACGTGTGAGCCACCACACCCGGCCTAGAAGCAATGGTTCTGATCCAGGAAAAGTGCAGCCTGGAAACTCAGCAATCTGTACAGAATCCTAGCTCTTAGACTAAAAGGCATCAACTGGTACAATTTCTTGCCTTTGGGCACTGAACGTGTTAGCTTCTATTTTATTTAACTTACTGTAAAATTATATTAGCTATGCTGCCACTTAAGCCAAGATGCTTTCTGTCTAGTCACTTCGGTTCCATCCTTTTGAGCGCCCTGCCGTTTCATTGCCTCTCCTTTCTCATTCCTCTCCCCAAGGCTGTACTTTGAGTAACTGTATGTGCATTTTCCTGTGCCTTTTCATTATTAAAACACTGTAAAAGGTAATGTCTCCAAAATGCAAACCATAGTCTTCTCCATTGAAAAATATTTTCCAGGCCAGGCACTCCACTGTGCCACTGCACTCCACCTGGATGACAGAGTGAGACTCTGTCTCAAAAAAAAAACAAAAAACTCATTAAACTGTAAAATGGGCGCATTTTATTTTATGTAAACTGTATCTCAGTAAAGTTTATTTATTTATTTTTGAGACAAAGTCTTGCCCTGTTGCCTAGGTTAAAGTGCAGTGGCATAATCATGGCTCCCTGCAGCCTTGAACTCCTGGGCTCAAGCGATCCTCCTACCTCAGCCTCCTCCCAAGTATTTGGGACCACGGGCATGTGCCACCATGCCCAGCTAATTTTTTTTTAAGAGATGGCGTCTTGCTATGTTGCCCAGGCTGGTCTCGAACTTCTGACCACAAGAGATCCTCCTGTCTTGGCTTCCCAAAGTTTTGGGATTACAGGCATGAACCACCAGGCCTGACCAAAGTTGATTTTAAAAAATGAAAGGGGGGCCAAGCGCAGTGACTCAACCCTTATAATCCCAGCACTTTGGGAGGCCGAGGCGGGTGGATCACCTGAGATAGGGAGTTCAAGACCAGCCTGATCAACATGGAGAAACTCTGTCTCTACTAAAAAATACAAAATTAGCTGGGAGTGGTGGCGCATGCCTGTAATCCCAGCTACTCGGGAGGCCTCAGCTTGAACCCTGTAGGCAGAGGCTGCAGTGAGCTGAGATCACGCCATTGCACTCCAGCCTGAGCAACAAGAGCGAAACTCTGTCTCAAAAAAAAAAAAAAAAAGGGTCTGTGCTTGGTGGCTCACACCTGCAATCCCAGCACTTTGGGAGGCCAAGGTGGGTGAATCACCTGAGGTCAGGAGTTCGAGACCAGCCTGGCCAACGTGGTGAAACCCCTCTCTACTAAAAATAAAAAAATTAGCCAGGTGTGATGGCGCACGCCTGTAGTCCCAGCTACTCAGGAGGCTGAGGCACAAGAATTGCTTGAACCTAGGAGGCAGAGGTTGCAGTGAGCCGAGATCATGCCACTGCATTCCAGCCTGGGTGACAGAGTGAGACTCCATCTCAAAAAACAACAAAAATGAAAGGGAAATAAGAGTCATTACCAATATAATTAGGTTTAAATTTTTAGTTAAAATCAAATTTTAACTGGGATTGCCAAAAATGTCCTTAACTTCATATCTCCAAATAAAATGTCTGCAGTTAATTTATGTTGTTTATACAGCTAGCTAATTCTCTATATTTTTATAGTATGTTGACACTTAAAATTTCAATCTCTTCTAGTGGTTCCATGAGTGGGACTGAGGGGATGATGGGTGTTCTCATTATAGCCTTCAGAAGGCTGCCTATATATAAGTGTGCACAAATAACTATTATTCAGAGAATTAGAATCATCACAAAATATCCTTTATGAAGGATAAATATAGGCTAATTTATCCTTTATGACTGTTAAATATAGGCTAATGTTTCTTTTATTCTTCAGACCCATTTCAACTTTATAGAAAAAAAAGTATGCACAAAAGCAGCACTCTATAATTAAAAAAAATTCCTTATTGGTCTTTTGGATTTTGGTTCTGCATAAGTATGAGTTTCTCATCAGGCCTCTCTAGACTACTAAAGCCTAAAGTGATGCTTCCCCCATCTCAGCTCTTAGAGGAATTACTGGGTGTCTTGTTTATTTGGCAATTCCGTGCTTACAAACTCTTTTCAATGAGATCTTCAGCTCCTTGAGACCACAGTAGATACCTACGTATTTGTCGGTGTAATTTTGTTGTGTTGATTTACTGAATTCAAAGGGTTTGTACAAATACTTTGTTTACAGGGTTTCATTACAAATCCAAATAAGCTCATATGCTTAGTAATTCCAAAAATGTTATAGGTATTCAGATTAGCATTGCTCATTCATGCCATTTAATTTACAGAGCTCAGCTGCAGTAATTTTCTCCAGTGGATGATGTAAGGAAGGCATTGGCAGAGGAGTAAGAGACTTGGCTTCAGAGTGGGCAGTAATAGGGCTAAATCTGGTTTTACAAAGCAGGTACTGTAAAGCTCTCATTGCCTTTCTGAGGACAAGGCTTTGAGCTATGAGTGCCAGGGTCGTCTGTCTAAGTGGAGGCTTCTTAAAGGAATTGAGCCTCGTTTCCTGGGTTTGAGGTGTATTCTTTTTCACATTCCCTTTGTACACCAAATATATTTAGTATTTATTATCTTTGAAGTTTAGACCTTTGGAATTTTTTTTTTTTTTTGAGGCAAAGTCTCACTGTAGCCCAGGCTGGAGTGCAGTGGTGTGATCTCAGCTCATTGCAACCTCTGCCTCCTAGGTTCAAGCGATTCTCCTATATCAGCCTCCTGAGTAGCGAGGACTACAGGCACGTGCCCACCATGCCCTGCTAATTTTTGTATTTTTAGTAGAGACAGGGTTTCACCATGTTGGCCAGGCTGGTCTCAAACTCCTGACCTCAGGTGATCTGCCTTCCCTGGCCTCCGGACATGCTGGGATTACAGGTGGGAGCCACCACGCCAGGCCACAGTTTGATGAGTTTTGAGAAAGTAATATACGCATGTAACCACCATCACCACAATCAAGATCTAGAACATTTCCATCACCCCAAAATTCCCTGGTACTCGTCCCTGGTCCCAGGCAAGCCCTGATCTGTTTTCTGTCACTGTGGATCAGATTTGTCTTTTCTAGAGTCTCATAAAAATGTGATCTTATAAAATGTATAGACTCTTGTGTGTAAGGTTTCTTTTCCTCAGCATAATGTTTTTAGACTTGTCTATGTTGCATGAATGAGTGGTTCATTTCTGTTTATCACTGAGTATTTTTCCAGTGTATGTATATACCACAATTTGTTTATATACCACAAATGTTGATGGACATTTAGGCTTTGTCCAGTTTTGTCTATTATGAATAAAGCCATTATGAACATCTATGTACAAGTTTTTGTGTGGACATGTTTTCTCTTGGGTAAATATCTAGGAGTAAGACTACTGGGTTGTATGCTAAGTGTATGTTTAATTTTAAAAGAAATGGCAGCCGAGTGCGGTGGCTCATGCCTGTAATCTTAGCAATTTGGGAGGCCGAGGCGGGCAGATCACCTGAGGTCAGGAGTTCGAGACCAGCCTGGCCAACATGACGAAACCCTGTGTCTACTAAAAATACAAAAAAAATTTGCCACGCATGGTGGCACACACCTGTAATCCCGCTACTTGGGAGGCTAAGGCAGGAGAATCGCTTGAACCTGGGAGGTGGAGGTGAGACTGAGCCAAGCTCACACCACTGTACTCCAGCCTGAGCGACAGAGCGAGACTCCATCTCAAAAAAAATAAAAAATGGCCAAACTGTTTTCCAAAGTCCTGGTACCATCTTACATCCTACCGGTAAAGTTATGAGAGTTGTAGTTGCCCTACATTCTCACCAATACTTGCTATTATCAGTCTTTTTAATTTTCACCATCCTAATGGATACGTAGTGGTATCTCACTGTGGTTTTACTTTGCATTTCCCTGATGGCTAATGATGTTGACATATTTTTGTGTGCATGTTGGATACTAATATATCTTTGTAAAGTGCCTATTCAGTGTCTTTTCCAATTTAGTTGGGTTGCTAAAAAGTCTTCATATATTCCAGATACAATACCTTTGGCAGGTATGTAGATATGTGTTGTGTGACTATTTTCTCCCAGTCTGTGACTTGTCTTCATTTTGTTAGCATTGTCTTTTGAAGAGCAGAAGTCTTTAACTTTGTAAAAGTCTAATTTTTTGCTATCTTCTTTTATAGCTCTTGTCTTTTTTTGTTTTTTTGTGTGTGTGTATTCAATTATCTAAGAACTCTTTGACTCCCTTCAGATCATGTAAATGTTCTCCTGTTTTATTTTAGAAATTTTAATTTTACCTTTTTTTTTTTTTTTGAGACAGAGTCTTGCTCTGTCACCCAGGCTGGAGTGTAGTGACGTGATCTCAGCTCACCGCAGCCTCTGCCTCCCAGGTTCCAGCAATTCTGCCTCAGCTTCCCAAGTAGCTGGGACTACAGGAGGCAAGCACTGCGATGCCCAGCTAATTTTTGTATTTTTAGTAGAGACAGGGTTTCACCATGTTGGCCAGTATGGTCTTGATCTCCTGACCTGGTGATCCACCCGCTTCGTTCTCCCATAGTGCTGGGATTACAGGCGTGAGCCACCGCACCCATCCAAGTTTTACCTTTTAAGCTTAGGTACATGATCCAATTTGAGGTGAATTTTGTGTATGAGTAAGTTAATAATCAATGTTCATTTTTTCCCATATGGATATCCAGTTTTTCCGGTACCATTTGTTGAAAAGACTGTCTTTCCCCTATTGACTTACTGTGGCCACTTTGTCAAAAATTACTTGCCCATAGACATGCGGGTTCATTTATTTTGTTCCATTGATCCAAATGTTGATCCTTTAATAATAATGTAGCTTTATAGTCAGTCTTGAAATTTGATAGTTTGAATATTCCAACTTTGTTGTTCTTTTTCAAAAATTTTTTGCATTCTAAGTCCTTTGTGTTTTTATATAAATTTTAGAATAAGTTATGTAAGTGCCTGCTGGGATTTTCTTTTTTTTGAGACAGGGTCTTACTATGTCACCCAGACTGAAGTGCAGTGGCATGATCACAGGTCATTGCATCCTCAACCACCCAGACTCAAGCAATCCTCCTGTCTCAGCCTTCCAAGTAACTGAGACCACAGGTGCGTACCACCACACCTGGCTATTTTGCTGCTGTTTGTTTTTGTAGAGATGGGGTTTCACCACATTGCCCAGGCTGATCTTGAATTCCTGGGCTCAAGCAGTCTTCCCACCTCAGCCTCCAAAAGTGCTGGGATTATAGGTGTGAGCCATCGTGCCCCACCCCTGCTGGGATTTCAGTTAAGATTACATTGTATCTGTGGAACAATTTGGGAAAAATGGTCATCATCATATTTAGTCTTGTAGTTCATAGACATAGTATATCTCCATTTATTTGCGTCTTTAATTTTCAGCATAACATTCAGCAATGTTTTTATAGTTTTAATTGTATAGGTGCCTTGCATGTATTATGTTAAATTTATCCCTAACTAGTCCATGTTTTTGATACTATAGTAAATGGTGTTTGTGTGTGTGTGTGTGTATTTTTTTTTTTTTTTTTTAGACAAAGCCTCACTCTGTCACCCAGACTGGAGTGCAGTGGTATAATCATAGCTCACTACAGCCTTGACCTCCTGAGCTCAAGCAGTCCTCCTGTCTCAGCCTCCCAAGTAGCTGGGATGACAGTGTGCACCACCACACCCAGCTAATTTTTTTTTTTTTGGTCTTGCTGTGTTGCCCGGGCTGGACTCAAGTGATCTTCCCTTCTCAGCCTCTCAAAGTGCTGGAATTACAGGCATGAGCCACCGTGCCCAGCCAGAGGTATTGTTTTTGATACTATAGTAAATATTTTATTTAAATTTCCAGGTGGTTATTGCTAGTATGCAGAAAATATTTTTTTGCATTAACCTATGCTAAAGTCACTTACTATTTTGATTTGCCTTTCATAAAGATTCCTTAAATGTTTCTACATACACAATCATGTCATCTGCAGATAGACAGTTTTATTTCTTCTTTTCAATCTGTATGGTTTTCTTTGCCTTTTTCTTGCCTATTGTACTGGCTAGGACTTCCAGTGTAATGTTTAATAGAAATCCTGAGACTGGACATCCTTGCCTTATTTTCAATCTGAGGAGAAAGCATTCAGTTGTTCATCATTAACAGACAATGTTAGCTGAAGGTTTTTCAGAGCTTGTGTACTCTACCAGGATGAAGAAGGTCCCTTCTATTTCCAGTTTGCTAAGAGTTTTAAAATTGTGAATGGATGGCGAATTTTGTTATTTTTCTGCATCTAATAAGAGAATCATATATGGTTTTTCTCCTTTGTTCTGTTAATATGGTAGGTATGTTGATTTTTTTAGTGTTAAAACAAGCTTGCATTCTTGGGATAAACCCCACTTAGTCATGATGCATTATCCTTGTTATATATTGCTGAATTCAGTTTGCCAAAAATTTAACTAAGGATGTTTGCATCTGTATTCAGTGAGGTATACTGTATTCAGTGAGGTATTCCTTTCAATGTCATTGTCTGGGCTCAGACAATGACTAGAGAAGTCATCTTTCTTTGTTTTTAGAATGAGTTTGTGTGTGTTTGTTATTATTTTTCCTTAAATATTTGATAGAATTTACTGCTGAAGCCACCTCAGTCTGAAGTTTCTTTGCAGGAAGTTTTAATTCATAATTAAATTTCCTTAGCATATATAGGGCTTTTTTCTTTTTTCTTTTTTTGAGACAGAGTGTCACAGTGTCTCCCGGGCTGGAGTGCAATGGCGCGATCTCAGCTTACTGCAGCCTTTGCCTCCCGGGTTCAAGCAATTCTCCTGCCTCAACCTCCCAAGTAGCTGGGATCACAGGCGCCTACCACCATGCCCAGCTAATTTTTTGTATTTTCAGTAGAGACAGGGTTTCACTATGTTGGCCAGGCTGGTCCCAAACTCCTGAGATGAGGATAATTTTTTGTATTTTTAGTAGAGACGGGGTTTCACTATGTTGGCCTGGCTGGTCTCAAACTCCTGACCTCGTAATTCACCCACCTCGGCCTCCCAAAGTGCTGGGATTACAAGTGTGAGCCACCGTGCCTGGCCTTCTTTCTAGTTTCTTGAATCACTATGGTTAATCTGTGGCATTCAACCAATTTGTCCATTTTATCTATGCCATTGAATTTATTTACATAATTATAATCTTTTTTTGTTTTAATGTCTGCAAGATCTGTGGTGATATCTATTTCATTCCTAATGTTGGTAATTTTTTCTTTTCCTGCTTGCTCTTATTGTTTGTTTGTTTGTTTGTTTGTTTTGAGATAGGTTCTCATTCTGTCACCCAGACCAGGCTGGAATACAGTAGCGATCATAACTCACTCAGCCCCAAACTCCTGGTCTCAGGCAGTCCTCCTGCCTCAGCGTTTCAAATTGTTGGGATTACAGGCATGAGCCACTGTGTTCAGCCTCTTTTAATTCCTATATGTATTAGCCAGTTGAGGTGGCTTGCTTGAACCCAAGAGTTCTGGGCAACACAGCAAGACCTCATCTCTACAAATAATTTTAAAAATTAGCTGGGGCATGGTGGCGCACACCTCTGGTCTCAGCTACTTGAGAGGCTGAGACAGGTGGATCACTTGAGCCCAGGCAGTCAAGGCTTCGGTGAGCCGTGATCCCGCCACTGCACTCCGGCCCAGGTGACACTATGAGACTCTGTCTCAAAAAAATAAACTATAGAAAATCTGAGTAGCCCTATATGTAGTAAGGAAATTTAATTATCAGTTAAACTGTCACCTGGGTAACAGAGTGAGACCACGTCTCAAGGGAAGGGGAGGGGAGGGGAGGGTCTTGTATTTATTATTTCCTTCCTTTTACTTGGTTTTACTTTGGTTTAATTTGGTTTACATTGGTTTAATTTGTTCTTCTTTTACTATTTTTTTTTTACTGAATCATCATTATTGTTCTACCACTCGAATCACCGCATTGCTGTTGCTAAATGACCAATAGACCAACAGATCCTTCCATAGAAACAAAAAAAAGCCCTTGCTTTTCAATATTACCAAAGGGAAACATATAGTCAGAACTGCAAGAAAACTGCCTTGTGATCCGGCTTCTGTCACATTTTAGTTTACAATACAGGAGCATAAAGTAGCTACTCAACTACCTCGAAAATAAGAGAATCATTTACCTTTCTGTATATAACCTAATTAAAACCATGTCAGATCCAGCAAAACTGATTTTCATCTCTCCTCAGTAGATATAGGAGTATATATTGATATTTCTACTTCATGACTAGATAGGGGACTAAATTAAAATTCGCTACTCAGTTCTCAGTTGTAAGGCCCACAGTTGCACATGGGTAGGTGGGTAGTTGCACATGCACAGAGTTGGTGGTCACAACTCTGCTTTCTTGCCCTTCTGCTTAACATGGAGCTATTTAATCTTATTTATTTATTTATTTATTTATTTATTTAGAAATAGGGTCTGCTCTGTCACCTTGGCTGGAGTGCAGTGGCACAATCATGGCTCACTGCAGCCTAGAACTCCTGGGCTCAAGTGATGTTCCCACCTTAGCCTCCTGAGTAGCTGGGACTATAGACACACACAACCACGCTCTGCCAATTTTGAAATTTTTTGTAGAAATGAGGTCTCCCTATGTTGCCCAGGCTGGTCTTGAACTCCTGGCCTCAAGCAGTCCTCCCACCTCAGCCTCCCAAGTGCTAGGATTACAGGCAAGAGCCACAGCGCCAGGCTGGAACTATGTAAGATAGCACTTAGCCCTGCATGTATGTGTTACTAACAATGGTTGTGTAGATCACTCCTCCAAAGGGAAAGTCTCTCTAGATGGGTTTTTGCCCCAATTAAGCAATAGCTTCCTCCAAACGGTGCTCACCTATCCATTGACTGCGATATTTGAAGACAAAGTGAGTCTTCACTCACCATCACCATTCCCCACGTCCCCTTTCCCTGGGAGCGCACACACTTAGGAGGGCAGTGCTGCTTCCTCCACAGCAGTGACAGCTGGCCAGGATTTATGAAATGTCTCTCAAGGAAATGTGCTCTCTTCCATGCTCAGAGATGCCACGTGGTCACAGTGCAGTCTTCATGCAGTTGTAGCTTAGACTTCCAGATTCAAAGGTCAGAAACCAGCTTGGAATTTTCCTGGTCCTAACTCAAACCTGGCATAAGTCAAAGTTTAAATCCAACAGGTTCCAAAGGAAATCAGATTAAACACATGTGCTGCTTGGTCATGCAAGGACCCTGGAGTAGAAAAGTAGGTATTGCCGTCTTGGTCATGAAAGCCACAACATCACCAGCAAGAGGACAGGCACTTAGATCTGTTCACTGCTGTGCCCTCAACTCCTGGAATAGGACCTGGTGCAGAGTGTGATCAGAAAGTATTTATTGAGTTTCAGGTACAGTGGCTCATGCCTGTAATCCTAACACATTGGAAGACCAAGGTGGGAGGATCACTTGAGCCCAGGAGTTTGAGACCAGCCTGGGTGACACAGGGAGACCCTATCTCTATAAAAAATAAACTTAAAAAAAAATTGGGCCCTGCACAATGGTTCACGCCTGTAATCCCAGCTCTTTGGGAAACTGAAGCGGATGGATCATCTGAGGTCAGGAATTCGAGACCAGCCTGGCCAACATGGTGAAACCCCCATCTCTACTAAAAATAGAAAAATTAGCCGGGCGTGGTGGCGGGCACCTGTAATCCCAGCTACTCGGGAGGCTGAGGCAGGAGAATCACTTGAACCCAAGAGGTGGAGGTTGCAGTGAGGCGAGATTGCACCACTGCACTCCAGCCTGGGCAACAGAGCGAGACTTGGTCTACACGCTTTGTAATCTAAAACATTCTCTACCAATACCTCAATCAGTGAATTCTTGCTTTATTGATACATTCTAGTATTCAGTTGTGATTTTAATATGCTATTTTGGTACTTTCTGCTTTCAGTTTTCATTGCTGTGGCTATTGCCTTAAACAGAAACAAAAAACTAAAACAATTTTACAACCATCCAAAAGAGGCTTGGAAACTTTTTTTTGGCTGGATATCCATAGCACAATTTAATTCAGTAAACATAAACAGTTAAAATTATTCCAGTACACAACCATGTTTTAAAAAAGAGATTACACCCAATTTTGGCAACAACACCCAGGAAATAAGCATTCTTTTACATTTGGTTCAAACTTTCTGAATGGCAGTTGTGCAACACTTGTTGTGAAAAACTTTAGAATATTATAAACATGTTAATCCTGTATTTCCATTTCTGTGAATTCATCCAAAAGAAATAACCATGGATATGGGTAGAGACAGAGCCATATGGAATGCACACTGCAGTGGTGAACACATGGCCCAGCTCTGCCATCAAGGAGAAGGTGAGAACATGGGGGAAGATTTTATCGAAGTTTCTTTTCTGGGGCATATGCTCAGGTTAAACACCTGCTCTGTATCTCTAGCTTCTGACTCCTACCCCTGGCCAGCTCTGTTACTCTAGTACACTGCTAGGCAGGCAGAGTATGGCCAAAGTATTCACAACAGTGCATCACTAAATCAACTGGGATCCACACAATGGAATATCCTAATGCATCATTAAAAATCACATTGTAAAAGAAGATTTTATAACAGAAAAAAATGCACTGTATATGATACATTTTTAAAATGTTACTTATGCCAGTCACAATAAAAGACAATTACACTTATATGGGATAGAGTAGTCAATATTATAGAGACAGAAGGTAGAAATGGGTCTGGGTGGAAATTAGAATGAGATGTTCTTAGCATTCCAGTTTTACAAGATGAAAAGAGTAACGGAGACAGATGGCAGTGGTGGTTGCATGACATTATGAATGTACATAATTAAAAATGGGTAAGATGGCACAGTGAGATACCATCTCACACCAGTCAAAATGGCTATTACTAAAAAGTCAAAAAAATAACAGATGCTGGGGAGCTTGTAGAGAAAAGGGAATGCTTATACACTGCTAGTGGCAGTGTAAGTTAGTCCAGCCACTGTGGCAATTCCTCAAAGAACTTAGAACTATCATTTGACCCAGCAATCCCATTACTGGGTATATACCCAAAGGAATATAAATTGTTCTGCCTTAAAGACACATGCATGTGATTGTTCATTGCAGCACTCTTTATAATAACAAAGACATGGAATCAACCTAAATGCTCATCAACAGTAGACTGGATAAAGAAAATGTGGTTCATATACACCATGGAATACTATGCAGCCATAAAAAAGAATGAGATTATTTCCTTTGCAGGAACATGAATGGAGCTGGAGGCCATCATCCTTAGTGAACTAACACAGGAGCAGAAAACCAAATACCACATGTTCTCATGTGTAAGTGGGAGCTAAATGATGAGAACACATGGACACAAAGAGGGGAACAACAGACACTGAAGCCTCCTTGAGGGAGGAGGGTAAGAGGAAGGAGAAGATCAGAAAAGATAACTACCAGGTACTATGGTAGCTTAGTACCTGGGTGATGAAATAATCTGTACACCCAACCCTCATGACAGAAGTTTACCTGTGTAACAAACCTGCACATGTATCCCTGAAACTAAAAGTTTTTTAAAAAGTTATTTAATATATATATATTTTTTTGAGACGGAGTTTTGCTCTTGTTGCCCAGGCTGGAGTGCGGTGGCGCAATTTCGGCTCACCACAACCTCCGCCTCCCAGGTTCAAGCTATTCCCCTGCCTCAGCCTCCCTAGTAGCTGGGATTACAGGCTTGTGCCACCACGCCGGCTAATTTTGTATTTTTTGTAGAGACGGGGTTTCTCCATGTTGGTCAGGCTGGTCTCGAACTCCCGACCTCAGGTGATCCACCCCCCTCGGCCTCCCAAAGTGCTAGGATTACAGGCATGAGCCACTGCGCCCGGCAAAAAGTTATTTAATATTAATGGGACAATACTCATTGCAAGAATCAGACTTCAATTGCTAGCATAAGTAAATGACAGGCAGGAGATATTGAAAATGCAATCTTATAGACATTCAAGGAGAGGACGCAGGACATTTCTGTGTCATAAATGTACTATGGAAAATAAAAATGAGAAAAATGGAAATAAAATACAAGAAAAGGTTATGATAAATTTCATATTATTTTACCACAATAAAAAAATTTTAATAAATTATAAATGGTGTGATATGTTTTGCCTGTGTTCCACCCAAATCTCATCTTGAATTAGAGCTCCCACAATTCCCACGTGTTGTGGCTGGGACCCTGTGGGAGATAATTGAATCATGGGGGCAGTTTACCCCATACTGTTCTCTTGGTGGTGAATAAGTCTCATGAGAGTTGATGGTTTGATAAGGGGTTTCCCCTTTTGCTTGGCTCTCATTCTCTCTTGACTGCCACCATGTAAGATGTGCCTTTTGCCTTCCACCATGATTGTGAAGCCTCCCAGCCACATGGAACTGTGAGTCCATTAAACCTTTTTCTTTACAAATTACCCAGTCTCGAGTATGTCTTTATCAGCAGTGAGAGAACAGACTAATATGAGTGTGATCTAATTAACATAAAGGGAGAATGAGGACTATTGACACCAAAATATGAGATTGGGATTACAGCTCGTTTTTATTTTCTTTTTCTGTTTATCTTTCCAGTTTTCTAAGATGAATGTTTCATAATCAGAAAACAAAATTAAATGTTTCCAGCCCCACAAAAAATAACCAGTATTTTACTTTTTTTTTTTTTTTTTTTTTTTCCGAGATGAACTCTCACTTTATCTCCCAGGCTAGAGTGCAGTGGTGCAATCACGACTCACTGCAACCTCCGCCTCCCAGGCTGAAGTGATCCTCCCACCTCAGCCTCCTGAGTAGCTGAGACTGCAGGAATGCACCACCACGCCAGGCTAGTTTTTTTATCTTTTTTGGTAGAGACGGTGTTTCAACATGTTGCCCAGGCTGGTCTCAAACTCCTGGACTCAAGCAGTTCACCTGCCTCAGCCTCCCAAAGTGTTGGGATTACAGGCATGAGCCACCGTGCCCAGCCATTTACTTTTAATCTTAGTAATTTATACAGAACCAGTTGTCTGGTGTTGTGGTCTCTCCCTACTCTGAGTTGACTGGATGGTTGTGTAGATTGGGCTTGGGCACACTGGGTGGAGCCCAGAGCAAGGTGAACCACCTGGAGGCTCCCGTGCCTCAATCCTGCAGCAGGCACAGGCACGGGACTTTGTTGACAGTGAAAAAGTGCTTGTTGCAGAGAGCCTGAAACAGACGCAAACTCGGGGAAGTGACAGTTACATGCGCAAAGAGACCTGAAGGAATCTGTAAGTATCACCAGCTAACAAGCGACACAGCTCTACCTGTACATCCTACTTCAGTGCCTTAATATAAAGAAAACAAATACTTCACAATCAAATAATTTGCTGCAATGTAAAGAAATTTGTGAAAATGGTATATACTATGTGGAATCTATATGTCCCCAGAGATGAGACTGGAAAGACAGTTATCATGAAACCAGTCTTTGGCCTTTGGCGGTTTCCAGTTTTTCCACACTTTCAAACACGAGTCCACGTGAGCCAGCCGCAGCCATTTCAGGATCATGTGAAAGGGATCATCATCCCTGGACTCTAGGAAATTGAGGTGTGGGAAAGGTGAAGGAACTGGCCCTAGGGTGTTGTATGCAAGTTGGAAGCAAAGAGACAGCTAAGACCACATCTCCTGATTCCCAGTCCAAGGCACTTTTAATGACCTACAATGCCTGGAAGGAAAGGTGGTAAGAAATGATAGGAAAAAGCCTAAGAGCTAAGCTAAAGGAAAGAGGCTGGGAGCACTGACTCATGCCTGTAATCCTGGCATTTTAGGAGGCAAGGCAGGAGGACGGCTTGAGCCTAGGAGTTTGAGGCTACAGAGAGCCATGATCACACCACTGAACTCCAGCATGGGCAACAGAACAAGACCCCAACTCTAAAAAAAAAAAAAAAAAAAAAGTAAAAAGGAATACTCTATTGGGATAATGATAAGGGTAATTTTCCCATTTCCTCAGCATAGTGCCCTCTGAAGATGTGTTCTACAAGATGGGGGGCAGAGGCACATACCCCAGGATGAGATGGTTTACTAGGAGGTAAAATAAAACCTTCTATGGTTCATTTTGTCGCAAAACGGAGAATGACTTGGTACCCTCACATCGTACTACATTAGACAGCCCATGGATCAGGAATGATCCATGTGGTGCCCTGAATTGGGTGTGAGGGCACCATAGTGAGAAGGATGTAGGGCCCACATGCATTAGTTTGCACAGACAGGGGTTTACAAGTACCTAATTAACATTTTTTTTTTTTTTTTTTTTTTTTTTGTGACACAGAGTCTCACTCTGTTGCCCAGGCTGGAGTGCAGTGGCGCAATCTCGGCTCACTGCAAGCTCCGCCTCCTGGGCTCAAGCGATTCTCCTGCCTCAGCATCCCAAGTAGCTGGGACTACAGGTGCCCACCACCACACCCGGCTAATTTTGTTTTTGTGTTTTTAGTAAAGACAGGGTTTCACCGTGTTAGCTAGGACGGTCTTGATCTCCTGACCTCGTGATCCGCCTGCCTCAGCGTCCCAAAGGGCTGGGATTACAGGTGTGAGCCACCGCGACCAGCCAATATGAATTATCTTACATAGCTTTACTAAACCCTTAGTCAAGTGCAAGGTAAACATAATGGCAATATAATTGATTCTAACAAGAAGGAACCAAACAAAAAAATTTTTTTTAGACAGAGTCTTGCTCTGTTGCCCAGGCTGGAGTGCAGTGGCATAATCACAGCTCACTGTGGCCACAAACTCCTGAGTTCAAGCCATCGTCCCACCTCAACCTCTCAAGTAGCTGGGACCACAGGCACACACTACTATGCTTGGCTAATTTTTAAATTTTTTGTAGAGAGGGGGTGTCCCTACCTTGCCCAGGCTGGTTTTGAACTCCTGTGCTTAAGCAATCCTCCCACCTTAACCTGCCAAATTGTTGGGATTACAGGCGTGAGCCACCACACTCAGCCAAAAACTTTTTTTTGGGGGGGTGGGGGGGACGGGGTCTCCCTCTGTTGCCCAGACTGGAGTGCAGTGGCACAATCTTGGATCACTGCAGCCTCAAACTCCCTGAGCTCAAGTGATCCTCCCACCTCAGCCTCCCAAGTAGCTGGGACTAAAGGCACATGCCACTATGCCTGGCTAATTTTTGTATTTTTTGGAGAGACAGGGTCTGGCCATTTTGCCCACACTGGTATTGAACTCCTGGGCTCAGGTGATCCACCCGCCTCAGCCTCCCAAAGTGCTAGGATTACAGGCATGGGCCACTGTGCTCAACCAAAAATAATTTTTTAATTATCAAGAACATTTGAAATATAAAATTATATCCTGTATTTTTTTGTTGTTGTTGTTAATTGAGACAGGGTCTTGCTCTGTGGCCCAGGCTGGAGTGCAGTGGTACAATCATAGCTCACTGCAGCCTCGAACTCCTGGGCTCCAAGGATCCTCCTGCCTCAGCCTCTCAAGTAGCTGGGACTACAGGAATGCACCACCGTGTCTAGCTAACTTTAATTATTTTGCTTTTGTAGAGACAGGATCTGGCTATGTTGACCAGCCTGGTTTCCAACTCCTGGCCTCAAGCAATCCTCCTGCCTCAGCCTCCCAAAGTGTTGGGATGATAGGCATGAGTCACTGTGCCTTCCAATCCTCTTGTTTTGTTTTGTTTTGTTTTGTTTTGTTTTGTTTTGTTTTGTTTTGTTGAGACAGGGTTTCACCATGTTGCCCAGGCTGGTCTTGAACTCCTGGACTCACGCAATCCTCCCACCTTGGCCTCCCAAAGTACTAGGATTACAGGCGTGAGCCACGATTCCCGGCCAATCCTCTGTTTTTAATAGTGAACTCGCCCTGGTGAATAATATAACTTAAGATGTTAGCTAATCATAGTAGTGTGTATGTATAATTTAAAACTATACATATATTAAGACTGCTCAAAAAGTAATCACACTACAAAGGCTAAGCAATCAAAAAAGCTTGGAGAAGACACACAAATGACCAACAGTTGTATGAAAAATGCTCAGCATCACTCATCATCAGCAAAATGCAAAGCAAAACTACAGTGAGATATTGCACCCCAGTTACAATGGCTATTGTCAAAAAGACAAAAAATAACAAATCTTGGTGAGGATACAGGGAAAGGGGATATACACTGTTGGTGAGAATGTGAGTTAATACAGCCATGGAAACCATATGAAAGTTCCTCAAAAAACTACAAATCAAAACTACCTTTGATCTAGCAAGCCCACTGCTAGTATATATCCAAAAGAAAGACGCATATCAAAGAGGTACTGTACTTGTATGTTTATTGGAGCACAATTCACAACAGCCAAAATATCAACCCCAGTGCCTATCAGCAAATGAATGGATAAAGAAAATATGGTACATATACATGATGGACTATTATTCAGCCATAAAAGATGAAATCCTGTCATTTGCAGCAACATGAGTTGACCTGGAGGACATTATGTGAAATGAAATAAGCCAGGCACAGAAAGACAAATACCACATGATCTCTCTAATATGTAGGAAACTTGAAACAGTTGATCTCATGGAGTTAGAGAAAAGAATGGTGGTTCCCAGCTGGGTGCAGTGGCTCGTGCCTGTAATCCCAGCACTTTGGGAGGCTGAGGCGGGCGGATCAGAAGGTCAGGAGATCGAGACCATCCTGGCTAACATGGTGAAACCCTGCCTCTACTGAAAATACAAAAAATTAGCTGGGCATGGTGGCGGGCGTCTGCAGTCCCAGCTACTCGGAAGGCTGAGGCAGGAGAATGGCGTGAACCTGGGAGGTGGAGCTTGCAAGTGAGTGGAGATTGCACCACTGCACTCCAGCCTGGGCGACAGAGCGAGACTCTGTCTCTAAATAAATAAATAAATAAGTAAATAACACATGTACTCCAGAAATATGTATAACTATCATGTATCAATAAAAAATTAGTTTTTAACAAAGACTTGGAGGTTGGGCACAGTGGCTCATGCCTGCAATCTCATCACTTTGGGAGGCTGAGACAGGAGAATCACTTGAGCCGAGGAGTTCGAGACCAGCCTAAGCAACATAGTGAGACCTCATCTCTACAGAAAATTCAAAAATTAGCTGGGTATGGTGGTGTGTGCCTGCAGTCCCAGCTACTTGGGAGAGTGAGGCAGAAGTATCTTGAGCCCAGGAGTTCGAGGCTGCAGAGAGCTTTGATGGTGCCACTGCACTTCAGCCCGGGTGACACCCAGATTCTGTCTCTGAAAAAGAAAAACAAAAAACCCACTGCTCTTCCTCTCCACCTGTCATCCACAAGCCTCCCAGGTAGATTCTCCATCACCCAGAGGCAGGTGGGGAATTCCTCCACCCTCACAGTCCACTGAGTCCGAGTGTGCTTCCTCACAGGACCTGAGTGATTGCTGACCTATCTCATGTGGAGGGCCATTCTTCCTTGAGACACTGTTTCTGTTTTCCTGATTTTCCTGTAACCATCCAAACCACTCTTTTTCCCTTTGTGGCCACTTTTCCTTACTTTAGCCGTGAGCCACTGCCTTGCAGATGTAGCCTTTCCCTCTGCATGGCTGATTCTCAAATCTTTGTCTCCAGGCTTGGACTCCCCCATATACCCCAGTCTCTGTCTGTCCAAATGTTTACAAGATTCCCACACATTCCCCTAAGCTTAATGTGTGTAAAACAACACCTCCTTTCCCACCCACCTTCCCTGTTTTCCTGGCCTGGTTGAAGATCACTATTTTCAGGACTGCTGAGGCAAGGACTCTGAGATCACTCTCACCCTCCCTCTCTAATTGACCATCGTCATCCAAGCTGTCACAGACACCTGTCAATATTGCCTTCCAGGGGTCCCCTAGACTTCACTGTTTCCTTTTTGTTCTTTTTGCCCCGACTCTGAGCCCTCACCAGGTCACATCCGCATGGCTGCTACTTCCTTTTGTCTGGCTGCCTTCTCTCAAGCTGAAATGAGCTCTTATCTGCCGGTAGCCCATTAGTCTCACATTATATATGTCACTCAGGCTCCCCCACAGATGCCCTGTTCCCACTAGAATATTGGCTTCATTGGGTCCCTGCCCTCCACACCTCTTCCAGGCTCCCTCTCTGTCCAGACTGTCACACCTCACACATCCTCTTCCCTCCTCCCCATGGGCTCACTCTGTCACGCAGGCTGGAGTGCAGTGACAGGATCATAACTCACTGCAGCCTCAAACTCTCAGGCTCAAGTGATCCTCCCACCTCAGCCTCCCAAGTAGCCAGGACTACAGGTGCACATTACCATGCCCAGCTGTTTTTTACTTTTTAGTTGAGATGGAGTCTCACTGTGTTGCTCAAGCTGGTCTTGAACTCCTGGGCTCAGGCGATCCTCCCACTTTGGCCTCCCAAAGTGCTGGGATCACAGGCATGCATGAGCCACTGTGCCCAGCCTCCCACCTCCTCCTCTTTTGCGTGCTCTGCCATCAGGCAATCTGTGATCCTGCTCCATTCTAAGCTCTGCCATGTGTTAGTGCTTTGATCTTAGACAAACTAACAGCTCCAAAACCTCAATTTCTTTATCCATAAAATTATTACTACCTCGGCCGGGCACGGTGGCTTATGCCTGTAATCCCAGCACTTTGGGAGGCCGAGGCGGGTGGATCACTTGAGGTCAGGAGTACCAGACCAGCCTGCCCAACATCGTGAAACCCCGTGTCTACTAAAATACAAAAATTAGCTGGACGTGATGGTGGTCGCCTGTAATCCCAGCTAGTCAGGAGGCTGAGGCAGGAGAATCACTTGAACCCGGGAGGCGGAGGTTGCAGTGAGCCAAGATTGCGCCATTGCATTCCAGCCTGGGCAGCAGAGCAAGACTCCATCTCAGAAAAAAAAAAAAAAATATATATATATATATATACACACACACACACACACACACACACACACACACACACACATATATACACATCAATATGTATATATATACATATATGTGTGTGTGTATATATATACATATATACACGTGTAGATATACACGTATATATATATATACATATAACCTTATTTCGGGGTTGTTGAAAGGATGAAAATGGCATCATGCATGGAAGGTTATTTAGCCCAGTACCTAGCATAAAGATCTGAATTGTGCCTCGTTTTAGGATTAGCAAAACGTGATTGGCAAAATCAGAGTCATATGGCAAACACCCAGTTGGGTGAGTGAGTCACAGGAATAGGTGCTTAATGTTTGTTGGCTTAACAACTTGCAAGCTCTAACATAATCTCCGTCCTCTGCTAACATTATCTGATAGCTCAGATGCTGAAACATTTCATTCTTCTTTAAACTCCATGGCGTTTATGCGCGTGAGCCGCCACACCTGGGCTGACTCTTTTTTGTAATTCTTTCACAGATGTTCCATCTGTCTAACTAGTTTTCAAGTTCCTTGAGGACAAGGATAATGATATTATTACAGCTGACATTTCTTGAATGTGGACTATGAGCTAGCATTTTCAATTTATAAACTCGCTTAACCCGCACCACAGCCTGATGAGGGAGCTTGCTGTCGTCATCCCTGAGTTATGAATCAGGAAGCAGAGGCCCAGGTTGCCAGCGTGTTACCCGAGGGCACAAGGTTAGTGAGCAGCAGCACTGAAGCACTGCAGCCCAGCCCAGCAGCAAGGTATGTTGCCGTGTACTGCTTCCTAGGGTGCGGGACTGCACGCCCTCAGGTGAGTAGGAGAGAACTTACTGATTCCCTGACTGATAGAAACCCTTATCTTTGCAGCTACACGTGCTTTTCTAGCAGATGCCTGGGCTCCTGGACATATTGCTCTGAGGCTATTTGACAGCACTCCTGCCATCCTCCTGGCCCCCTAAGATAAAACTTTCTTTAAAGAGCGTCCTAAAAACCAGATTTACACACAAAAGCCAGGATGACTCCTAGCAGATGTTTTGCTACCTGAAGGTTGTTATGTCATGTAGAAAATGAAGGAGGAAAGAAAGAAAAGGAGAAGGAGGGGAGAGGGCATGTGGGAGAAGGGGAGAGGGCATGTGGGAGAAGGGGTGAGGACAGTGAACAGACCGGGGAGTACCAGAAAGACCAGCTCTTCCCAAACAGCTTCTGCCATGATGCTTGCTTCATGCTAAATGACCCACAAACTTCATTCATGTGTGGGTTTGCCCTTGTGCCTTCTTGGTCCCCCAAGCAGGGACAGAGTTCTGTTCGGAGAAGCTGGAATGGACCGAAAGCCAGGGAAGGAGCTGGTGGAAACCCAGGCAGGCCTCCCTCAAGTGGCATGATCTCAGGAAATGGAAATATTGTACAAAGAAGCAAGATGCCTGGCGCCAACTTCCATGCTGTGCTGAATGACAAATCCAAGATGGTTGGCCAGGTATGGTGGCTCACGCCTGTAATCCCAGCACTTTGGGAGGCTGAGGCAGGTGGATCACTTGAGGTCAGGAGTTCAAGACCAACCTGGCCAACATGGTGAAACCCTGTCTCTACTAAAAATCCAAAAATTAACCAGGTGTAGTGGCGTGTGCCTGTAATCCCAGCTACTCAGGAGGCTGAGGCAGGAGAATCACTTAAACCTGAGAGGCAGAGGCTGCAGTGAGCCGAGATTGCACCACTGCACTCCAGGCTGGGCAACAGAGTGAGACTCTGTCTCTCATAAAGAAAAAAAATGGCATATGAAACATGAATTTTAAGTAAAAAATTACACAGGATGTGTTACTGTACTGGAAACTAACTTTGGAAAATAGGAGTAGATTTCCTGCACCTTATATCAACTCCTTCTGTGATAGAAATGAAACCCACTCTAATGATCCCAAGCATATCTGTGAAGTCTTACAAGGGGTCAGACTGGCAGCACCATCCACAGGGACATTACCTCTAAGGATCATATATCAAGAGCCAGATCCCAATCAGGAAATTTCTTCCACCATTGTCAGTACAAAGGGCACTCAGCAAGCATCTTTTCCAAATGGACATCTACCCAGAAGTATCCACATAACCCAATCATCAATACTCAGAAACAAGAAGATATTAGAACTGTTCTTTCTTGCAGGGGTAAAAATAAGGAGGATTAGGAAGATGAAGCCATGGCAATGAACGATAAGTAGCACAAACCTTACCTAATCTCTGTCTCATTTAACTGGGTAAACAGCAGCTCTGACACAATTATATGCCCCCAGATGCTGCTGTGACATTACTAGGTTACAGTGAACACAGTATCAGCTGATGCCATTGGAATAAACATGCAGATTTCCAAAACCAAAGTGTTTGCATGTAATATATATTTCATGTTCTTGTCACCTCAAGCCTGTCTTGAAGCTGATTTCATGCAGCATCCTCTAGACTTGAAGGAACATCACTCCACATTTCAAAGAGTAACAGCATGTATTTTTACAATTTACTCCTTAGCAGGGGGGAATTAGAGCATTAACTGTAGGAAATTTTTCTCTTGTACAATAAACCGAAAGCTTTGTAACCATAAAATGACAATTTTCATTAAAAAGCACGCTTACTTTTGGTATTGCCAGTTACGTAAAGGATAAATGTCTTCGGGCAAAAGGACACGTGGCCATAACCTTTTCCTGACAAGTCTGTCTCCGGTTTTCTCCAAGCAATGTCAGATTTTATATTTTTCCAAAAGAAACAAACGGGAATGCCTCATGAATTGTTCCTGTGGATTTTTAGTTCAATACTACATGACACTTGTATATTAGGCTCCTAAATACTGTGCAACACGGCAACAGTGATGAGAATCACTACTCTTAGACCACACTTGAATTAGTGTCTCTTCCATCCACCCACGTTTTTTGGCTCTTCTTCCTCTGATCTCCCCTGCCTTGAGGCTCAGCACTCCCCCTAACACCCTAGTGGTTCTCAACCTGGGCAATTATGCCCCCAGGAGACATTTTTGGTTGTTGCAACTAGGGGATGCCACTGGCATGTAGTGGGTAGAGGCTAGGGATTCTGCTAAACATCCTACAAGGCACAGGACAGCCCCCCAAAACAAAAATGATCTAGCTCCACATGCCAATAGTACTGTGGCTGAGAAAACCTGCAATATGCTAACCAAACCACTTTTAATTAAAAGGAGAAAAAAGGCCGGGAGCGGTGGCTCACGCCTGTAATCCCAGCACTTTGGGAGGCCGAGGCGGGCGGATCACGAGGTCAAGAGATCGAGACCATCCCGGCTAAAACGGTGAAACCCCGTCTCTACTAAAAATACAAAAAAATTAGCCGGGCGTAGTGGCGGGCGCCTGTAGTCCCAGCTACTTGGGAGGCTGAGGCAGGAGAATGGCGTGAACCCGGGAGGCGGAGCTTGCAGTGAGCCGAGATCCCGCCACTGCACTCCAGCCTGGGCGACAGAGCGAGACTCCGTCTCAAAAAAAAATAAAAAATAAAAAAAAAAAAAAAATAAAAGGAGAAAAAAGCCTTTTCAAGATCTTACAACGGCTCTTATTAGATTATAAATTGTAACCTCCTCAGCCTTACTTTCAACACCTTTCCCAATCCATTTCTAACCTACCTGTCACCTGAACTGAGCAAACCTATGCTGAGCTCCCCCATGTGCAGGAGGTGCAAAGCTACTGAAAGACGAAGAGGGGTTGGTGCTTTCCAGAAGCCCATTCACGGGTGCAGGAGACGGAGAAACTGGAGCATGTGGCTAGCACCCAGCAGGTATCAGGAATGGTCTTTCCTTTCTTCCTAATTAGCTCTAATTCCAGGCTGACTGTGATGGGTGGATAAAGAGTGGTGGATCTTAGTGTTTTCCCCACATCGTAATCTGTGCTCTTGTTTGTCTTTTAATCTATTAGGAAAATTTGAAAGACTAGGTTTTTTTCTATTTGACATAGATCTACCTTTCTTTCTTTCCTTCCTTCCTTCTTTCCTTCCTTCCTTCCTTCCCTCTTTTTTTTTTTTTTTTTTTTTTTGAGACGGAGTTTCGCTGTTGTCGCCCAGGCTGGAGTGCAATGGTACGATCTCGGCTCACCGCAACCTCCGCCTCCCAGGTCCAAGGGATTCTCCTGCCTCAGCCTCCTGAGTAGCTGGGATTACAGGCATGCACCACTACATCCAGCTAATTTTGTATTTTTAGTAGAGATGGGGTTTCTCCATGTTGGTCAGGCTGGTCTCGAACTCCCGACCTCAGGTGATCTGCCCACCTCGGCCTCCCAAAGTGCTGGGATTACAGGCACGAGCCACCATGCCTGGGCTTCTTTCCTCTTTCTTTTTAAGAAACATGGTCTTTCGCCTGTAATCCTAGCACTCTGGGAGGCTGAGGCGGGAGGATCACCTGAGGTCGAGAGTTCAAGACCAACCTGATCAACATGGAGAAACCCCGTCTCTACTGAAAATACAAAATTAGCCAGGCGTCATGGTGCATGCCTGTAATCCCAGCTACTCGGGAGGCTGAGGCAGGAGAATTGCTTGAACCCAGGAGGTGGAGGTTGCGGTGAGCCGAGGTCATGCCATTGCACTCCAGCCTGGGCAACAAGAGTGAAACTCAGTCTCAAAAAAAAAGAAACAGGATCTTACTCTGTCACCCATGCTGGAGTGCAGTGGTGCAGTCATGGCTCACTGCAGCCTGGAATCCCTGGGCTCAAGTGATCTTCCTGCCTCAGCCTCCCAAATAGCTGAGACTACACATCCCAGGTAATTATTTTTATTTTTATTTTTGTAGAGACAGGGTCTCACTATGTTTCCCAAGCTGGTCTGGAATTCCTGACCTCAAGCAATCTTCCTGCCTCGGCTTCTCAAAGTGCTGGGATTACAGGCATGAGCCACCGTGCCCAGCCTCCTTACCTTTATAATTTCTAATAAATATTGTTTTGGTTATACTGAATAAGCATGCCATACTAACAAGAAGCTTTTAGGCTAGCATGTCTCAAAATGTTTTAGCAATTTTCTACTCAGCCTTATGTGTTCATGATCTCTCTGCTCTTGCTACTAATTGAGAAATTAATATTGTTCTCAGTGGCTATGATGTAGATTGAATTGTTCAGCCACAGATTTTTCATCCTGAGATGCCCTTGGGTGCCTGCTAGTTGTTTTTCTTAGGTTGGCTGTTTTGTTCTTCATCTTAAAATATTAACATGTCGGGGCGGGCGCAGTGGCTCATGCCTATAATCCCAGCACTTTGGGAGGCTGAGGCAAGTGGATCGCCTGAGGTCAGGAGTTCGAGACCAGCCTGGCCAACATGGAGAAACCCCGTCTCTACCAAAAATACAAAAATTAGCCAGGCATGGTGGTGCATGCCTGCAGTGCCAGCTCCTCAGGAGGCTGAGACAGGAGAATCACTTGAACCCAGGAGACGGAGGTTGCAGTGAGCCGAGATCGCGCCACTGCACTCCAGCCTGGGTGACAGAGCAAGACTCTGTCTCAAAAAAAAAAAAAAAAAATTAAGATGTCAAAGTATTAACCTGCTGTTTTGATAGAAAAATAGCAATGAGGATGGGCGTGGTGGCTTACACCTGTAATCCCAGCACTCTGGGAGGCCGAGGCAGGTGGGTCATGAGGTCAGGAGATCGAGACCATCCTGGCCAACATGGCAAAACCCCATCTCTACTAAAAACACAAAAATTAGCCAGGCGTGGTGGCGTGTGCCTGTAGTCCCAGCTACTCAAGAGGCTGAGGCAGAGAATCGCTTGAACCTGGGAGGCGGAGGTTGCAGTGAGCCGAGATCACGCCATTGCACTCCAGCCTGGACGATAAGAGCAAAACTCCGCCTCAAAAAATAAATAAATAAATAAATAAATAAAATAAAAAATAACAATGAAGGCTGGGCGGGGTGACTCACACCTGTAATCCTAGCATTTTGGGAGGCCGAGGCGGGCAGATCGCTTGAGCCCAGGAGTTTGAAACCAGCCTGGGCAACATATTGAGACTATGTCTACAAAAAATACAAAAATTAGCTAGGCATGGTGGCATGCACCTGTAGACCTGTCCCAGCTACTCAGGAGGCTGAGGCAGGAGGATCACTTGCGCCCAGGGAGATCAAGTCTTCTGTGAGCCGTGATCATGCCACTGCTCTCCAGGCCTGGGTGACAGTGAGACCCTGTCTCAAAACAAAGCAAAACAAAAGACAGCGATGAAAACAGGCTTCCAATAAAAAAAATAAGAAAAGACTGCTAATTTGTCAGGCTCAAATATCCCATGTGTTCAGGGAGTAAGAGAAATACCGTGCATAAAAGCTCTATACAGCCAAGAACATCTGCAAATTGATTATCACAGTTTGCCATGGACTACATGGAAGTGAAGTGACTTCATTTTACCTTCACTCTCCTAGGTAGGATATAAACAATTCTATTATGAAACATTTCCAGGAAAGTCTTCACACTGTCTCTCAGACAACTCTTTCTAGTGTTAATGGAAATAGATAACACATTTCAACCCATATTCAAAACTGGACCTTCCATCATGTCTACACACATTGGCCATATATTTGTTAAACAAGGAATATTATGCTTGTATTTAGGCAAAAATAGCTCCGAAAGCTAATATATGTTGTAGTTAAGATCTCAGCCCTGGTGCCAGATTATCTGAGTTTGAATCCTTGTGTGATCTCTCTAAAGCATCTTTTCTCCTATTTAAATGGGTATAATAGTCGGGCACAGTGGCTCACCCCTATAATCCCAGCACTTTAGGAGGCCGAAGCGGGCGGATCACTTGAGGTCAGGAGTTTGAGACCAACCTGGCCAACATGGTGAAACCTCGTCTCTACTAAAAATATAAAACAAATTAGCCAGGCATGGTGGTGGCCGCCTGTAATCCCAGCTACTTGGGAGGCTGAGGCAGGAGAATCACTTGAACCTGGGAGGCAGAGGTTGCAGTGAGTTGAGATTGCACCACTGCACTCCAGCCTGGGTGACAAGAGCAAAACTCCATCTCAAAAATAATAATAATAATAATGGAATGAATATTAGAATACTAGCTTGAATAAATAATAGAGCTTACATTAGAAGTCTTAACAAACAGCATATTTACTTTGAAAATGCTCTAAGCAGTATGTCTGCAAGCACATGTAACCCACTGAGTAAAGCAGTTGTTAAGCAGAAAATAAACATAGATTTTTAATGAACCATGTGGCAATGATACATAAAAAATAAATTGTATAAGCGAATGCAAAAATAAAGATCTAAGAAAAACAAATATGAGACAAGACTACTGCTTCTGGCCATGAAGCAGTAACTGGTACTGGACTTGCCCTACTGCAATAAACAGCAGGACGCTAGAGAAGATATATGAAACAATTGTTTCAGACTCTGAACAACAGACAAAGCAGAACTGTAACCCCCGAGAGAAGTGAAACAAGGCAAGACCCACGATCACCCCAGCTTTCTTTCTGAAGCTGCTTTGCAGATTGTGATACAGGAGGGGAACTCAGGCAGGGCGTGGCATCTCAGGCAGGGCGTGGCAGCCTTGCTGCTTTGATGAGACAGAGCAGAAGTAGGGATGAGGGAGGGCAGCTGGAATTTCCAGGGCGGGGTACCACAGATGAGTAAGCTAGACAGAGCAAGAGCTCGAAATCCACATGGGAGCCCTCTTACATCTTTGGCTCACGCACAACGTAAAACTCTGCGAGGCCAAGCAAAGAGCATCTACTAGGAAACTGTAAGAGGAGCAGTCCCCAGAGATCTGAGAGATGTTCAGGTTCTGAAAAGACAAAGCCTAAAGACCTCGAAAGGATACTGTTCTGAAAACTTACGTGATTGTAGGAGTGGCATCATATTATTTGAAGGTACACTGATAAACTGAAGATGTATTCTGTAAACCTACAGCAACAATTGTTTTTAAAAAAGGAGTGTTATTCACCAATGGAGAATATAAAATGAAATACTGAAAAATACTCAACTAATCCAAAAAGGCAGGAAAAGAAGAAAAAAATAAAAACATATGGTATAAATAGAAAACAAACAGCAAGACAGTAGATTTAAACCTAACCGTATCAGTAATTATACTAAATGTATATGAATTAAGCATTCCAATTATAAATCAAAGATTATCCAATTGGGTAATAAAGTAAGGTCTGACTCTCTGGTGTCTACAAGAAATCCACTTTATACAGACACAAGAATGTTAAAAGTAAAAGGATGAAAAAAGGTAAACATGAGACATAAGAAAGGTGGATTGACTGTATCCATTTCTGGCAAAACACACTTTAGGACAAGAAATATTACCAGACATAAGGAGGGACATTTCACAATGATAAACTATCAAGTCACTAAGAAAAAATAACATTCCTAAATGTGAATGCACCCAGTTGTAGAACTTCAAAAGACTTGAAGCGAAAACTGACAGAATTTGAAAGGGGAAAAAGACAAATCCATAATTTAAGTTGCATATTTCACCACCTTCTCTTGTATTGATAGAAATAGCAGACAGAAAACTGGTATGAATACAGAAGACTTGAACAGCACTATCAACTAACTGGATCCAATTAACTTTTACAGAACGCTCCACCCTGCAATGGCAGACTAAACAGTGTTTTCAGTGCAGATGGAACGTTCATCATATGCTGGGCCATGAAACTAGTCTCAATAAATCCAGCAGGATTGAAATCACATACCGGGCTTCTCCAACAAAATGCAATTTAATTAGAAATCAGTAACTGAAACTGGAACTCTTCTACACTGCTGGTAAGAATGTGAAATGTTACAATCACTTTGAAAACAGTTGTCAGTTTTTTTAAATAATGAAGTCAAACATATAAACAATTGCACTTCTTGGTATTTACCTAAGAAGAATGAAAACATATGCTCATACAAAACATACACATAAATGATTTTAATCATCTTTATAATTTTCAAAAACTGGAAACAACCAACCAAATATTCATCAATAGATAACTTGATAAACTAACTACAGTTACAAAAAAACAACAACAACAAGGCCAGGTGCAATGGCTCATGCCTGTAATCTCAGCACTTTGAGAGACTGAAGTGCAGCACCACATGAAGCCAGGAGTTTGAGACCAACCTGAGCAACATAGTGAAACCCTGTCTCCGCAAAAAATTAAATAAAAAAAATTAGCCAGACGTGGTGGCCCTCACTTGTAGTCCTAGCTACTCAGGCGGCTGAGGCAAGGAAGAGTGCCTGAGCCCAGGAGTTTGAAGCTGCAGTGAGCCATGATTGTGCCACTGTACTCCAGCCTGAGAAACAGAGCAAGACCCTGTCTCTGTTTTTTAAAAAAGAAAAGAATGGAATAATACTCAACAATACAAATGAGCAAAGTACTAACACATACAACATTGATAAATCCCTGAAACATGCTGAAAGGCCAGACATAAAGAGTATATTGTTATGATTACATTTATAGAAAATTCTAGAAAATGTAAAACTAATCAATAGTGACACAAAGCAAATCAGTCATTCCCTGGTGCCAAGAGTTGGGTTGGGATTGTTGCAAGGAGATATGAAGGAACTTTGGGGGATGATGGAAATGTTCTATATCTTGAATATGGTGAGATTATATTTGTGAAAACTCATTGAAAGGTGCACCTAAAATGGGTGTGCTTATTTTACGTTAATTACACTTCAACAAATTTCTGTTCCATTGGTCTATGTGTCTGCTTTTGTACCAGTACCATGCTGTTTTGGTTACTGTAGCCCTGTAGTATAGTTTGAAGTTGAGTAATATGATGCCTCCAGCTTTGTTCTTTTTGCTTAGAATTCCCTTGGCTATTCAGGCTCTTTTTTTTTTTTTCATAAGAACTTCTAAATAGTTTTTTCTAGCTCCATGAAGAATGTCATTGGTAGTTTGATAGGAGTGATGTTAAATATGTAAGTTGCTTTGGGCAGTATGGCCGTTATAATGATATTGATTCTTCCTATCCACAAACATGGAATGTTTTTTCCATTTGTTTGAGTCATCTCTGATTTCCTTGAGCAGTGTTTTGTAATTCTTCTTGTAGAGATCTTTCACCTCGCTGGTTAGCTGTATTCTTAGGTATTTTTTTCTTTTTGTGGCAATTGTGAATGGGATTGCATTCCTGATTTGGCTCTCAGCTTGGATGTTGTTGGTGTTTAGGAATGCTATTGATTTTTGTACGTTAATTTTGTATCCTGAAACTTTGCTGAAGTTACCAGATCAAGGAGTTTTAGGGCAGAGACTATGGGGTTTTCTAGATATAGAATCATATCATCTGTAAACAGGGATAGTTTGACTTCCTCTCTTCCTATTTGGATGCCTTTTATTTCTTCCTCCTGCCTCATTGCTCTGGCCAGGACTTCCAGTACTATATTGAATAGGAGTGGTTCCTTGTCTTGTGGCAGTTTTCAAGGGGAATGCTTCCAGCTTTTACCCAGTCAGTATGATGTTGGCTGTGGGTTTGTCATAGATAGCTCTTATTATTTTGACGTATATTCCTTCAATGCCTTGTTTATTGAGAGTTTTTAACATGAAGCGATGTTGAATTTTATCAAAAGCCTTTCTGCATCTATTGAGATCATTATGCTTTTTGTTTTTAGTTCTGTTTATGTGACGAATCACATTTATTGATTTCCGTGTGTTGAACCAATCTTTTTTTTTTAATTTGTATATATTTTTTCTTTTTTTATTTGTGTATTGAACTAGCCTTGCATCCCAGGGGTAAAGTCTACTCAATCACGGTGGATTCGCTTTTTGATGTGCTACTGGATTCAGTTTGCCAGTGTTTTGTTAAGGATTTTTGCATCCATGTTCATCAAGGATATTGACCTGAAGATTTTTTTGTTGTTGTGTTTTGCCAGGTTTTGGTATCAGGATGACACTGGCCTCATAAAATGAGTTGGAGAGGAGACCCTCCCCTCAATTTTTGGAATAGTTTCAGTAGGAATGCTACCAGCTCTTCTTTATACATCTGGTAGAATTCAGCTGTGAATCCATCTGGTCCTGGGCTTTTCTTGGTTGGTAGGCTTTTTATTACTGCTTCAATTTCAGAACTCATTATTAGTCTGTTCAGGGATGCAATTTCTTCCTAGTTCAATCTTGGGAGGTGGTATGTGTCCAGGAATTTATCCATTTCTTCTAGATTTTCTAGTTTGTGTGCATAGGGTTTTTGTATTTCTGTGCAGATGGTGGTAATTTCATCTTTCTCATTTCTAATTGTGTATATTTGGTTCTTCTCTCTTTTTTCTTTTTTCTTTTTTTTCTGACAGAGTCTCACCCTGAGGCCCAGGCCGGAGTGCTGTGACGTGATCTTGGCTCACTGCAACCTCTGCCTCCCGGATTCAAGCAATTCTCCTGTCTCAACCTCCCAAGTAACTGGGATTACAGGTATGCGCCACCACACACAACTAATTTTTGTATTTTTTAGTCGACATGGGGTTTCTCCATTTTGGCCTGGCTGGTCTCAAACTCCTGGCTGCAAGTGATCCACCTGCCTCGGCCTCCCAAAGTCCTGAAATTACAGGCGTGAGCCACCCCTCCCAAACTCTTTTTTCTTTATTAGTCTAGCTAGTGGTCTATCTTACTAACTTTTCCAAAGAAACAATTCCTGGGTTCATTGACCTTTTGTATAGTTTTTTGCTTCTCAATTTCCTTCAATTCAGCTCTGATTTGGGTTATTTCTGGTCTTCTGCTAGATTTGGGTTTGGTTTGCTGTTGCTTGTCTAGTTCCTCTAGTTGTGATATTAGGTTCTTAATTTGAGATCTAACTTTTTGATGTGGACGTTTAGTGCTATTAATATAAACTTCCCTCAACACTGCCTTAGCTATGTCCCTGGAGAGTCTGATATGCTGTATCTTTGTTCTCATTAGTTTCAAATATTTCTTGATTTCTGCCTCAATTTCATTATTTACCCAAAAGTCATTCAGGAGCAGAACAACCCAAATATCTATCAACAGAGGAATGGATAAACAAAATGTAGTTTGTATATACAGTGGAATATTATTCAGCCTTAAAAAGAAATGAAGTTTTGACACGTGATATGATATGGATGAACTTTGAAAAGATTAAGCTAAGTGAAATAAGCCAGACACAAAAGGACAAATATTGTATGAGTACAATATTTGTACTTTGAAAAGATTAAGAGAACTTTGAAAAGATTAAGCTAAGAGAAATAAGCCAGACACAAAATGACAAGTATTTTATGAATATTCATAAAGACATAAAGTAGAATAGAGGTTATCAGGGGCTGGGGTAGGGTAAAATGGTGATTTGTTGATTAATGGGTATAGAGTTTCTGTTTGTAATGATGAGGCTGGGGGCGGTGGCTCAAGCCTGTAATCCCAGCACTTTGGGAGGCAGAAACGGGCGGATCACCTGAGGTTCGGAGTTCAAGACCAGCCTGACCAACATGGAGAAACCCTGTCTCTGCTAAAAAATACAAAATTAGCCAGGCGTGGTGGCACATGCCTGTAATCCCAGCTACTCGGGAGGCTGAGGCAGGAGAATCGCTTGAACCCGGGAGGCAGAGGTTGTGGTGAGCCAAGATCACACCATTGCACTCCAGCCTGGGCAACAAGAGCAAAACTCCATCTCAAAAAGAAAAAAAAAAAAGTATTATAGGGGATAACTTATTTATCAATATCTGTATGCCAACAAATTAGATAACTTTTATTTATTTATTTATTTTTGGAGACAGGGTCTCACTGTTGCCCAGGCTGGAGTGCAGTGGTGCAATCTCAGCTCACTGCAGCCTCTGCCTTCAAGGCTCAAGCAATCCATCTGCCTCAGCCTCCCAAGTAGCTGGGACTACAGGTCCCAGCTGGCTAAAAGTTAAATAGCTTAGATGAGATAGACAGATGGCTAAAAAGCCACAACTACTGCAACTGGCTCAAGAAGAAAGGGACAATTTAAATAAATCTATAACAAAGAGATTAAATTAATCATCAGAAAACTACCACGATGAAAATTCTAGGCCCAGGTAACTTCACTTGTGAATTCTACCAAACACTTAAATAGTAATTAATACCAATTCTTCACCAACTCTTCCAAAAATAAAAGGGTATAAAATGCTTCCCAAATCATTCTATTATGCCAGTATTTCCCTCATACTAAACCCCAACAAGAATAGCACTAGAAAACATCTGTGGAGTATAGATGTAAACATCCTGAACAAAATACTAGAAAAGTGAAACCAGCCACATATAAAAAGATTTATGCCTCATGGCCAAGTGGGATTTATCCCAGAAATGCAAAGGTGGTTTAACATCTGAAGATCAATTAATGTAATACATGATACCAATAGAATAAAGGACAAAAAAACACAAGATTATCTCAATAGCTGTAGAAAAAAAGCATTTGATGAAATGTAACAATCTTTCATAATAAAAACATTCAACAAACTAGGAACAGAAAGGAACTTTCTCAACCTGATAAATGACATTTATGAAAAACCTACAGTTAACATTACACTTAATGGTAAAAGACTGAATATTTTCACTCTCAGATCAGGAATAAGACAAAGATATCTGCTCTCATCACTTCTATTCAATATTATACTAGAGGTTCTAACCAGGATAATTATAAGAAATAAAAACATCCAGATTGGAAAGGAAGAAATAAAATTATTTCTATTAGCAAATGCAATGATCTTGTATCTAGAATATCCTAAGGAGCTTAATTTAAAAAGCCTTAAAACTAAGCTATGAGTTCTGTAAAGTTTCAGGATAAAAGATCAACATACAAATATCAATTGTGCCAGACGCAGTGGCTCACGCCTGTAATCCAAACACTTTGGCAGGCTGGGATGGGCAGATCATTTGAGGTCAGGAGTTCGAGACCAGCCTGACCAACATGGTGAAAGCCTGTCTCT
Source organism: Homo sapiens (assembly GCF_000001405.40). NCBI lineage: Eukaryota > Metazoa > Chordata > Mammalia > Primates > Hominidae > Homo > Homo sapiens. The sequence continues at coordinate 35,293,972 of NC_000010.11, read as the reverse complement.
ACTAAAATACAAAAAGTAGCCGAGTGTGGTGGCAGGTGACTGTAATCTCAGCTACTCGGGAGGCTGAGGCAGAAGAATCACTTGAACCCAGGAGGCAGAGGTTGCAGTGAGCTGAGATCATGCCACTGCACTCCAGCCTGGGTGACAGAGTGAGACTCTGTGTCTCAAAAAAAAAAAAAAAAAATCAATTGTATGTCTGTACATTTTTAGTGATCAATCTGAAAATGAAACTTAGAAGACAATTCCATTTATAATAGCTCAAGAAAAAGTGATACTAAGGAATAAATTTAACAAAGTGCAAAACTTGTATTTTGAAAACTATAAAACATTTTTGAAAAAAATTAAAGATGATCTAAGTAAATGGGATAACATCCCATGTCCACAGACTGGAAGGTTTAATATTGTTTAGATGGCAGTACCCCCAAGTTGACCTACAGATTCAGTGCATTCATTACCAAAATTCCAGCTAACTTCTTTGCAGAAACTGGCAACCTGATCCTAAAATTCATCTAGAAATTCAAGGGATCTAGAATTAGCTAAAATGATCTGGAAAAACAAGAACAAAATTGACAGACTCACTCCTCCCAATTTCAAAACTATCTAGAAAGCTAAGTAATCAAGACAGTATGGTTTTGGCATAATGAACCTTACTGTCCTGAGAGTTCAGAAATAAACTTTCACATTTATGATGACTTGATTTTTGACAAGGGTGTCAAGACAACTCAATGGGGGAAAGAATAGTTTTCTCAACAAATGGTGCTGGGACAACTGATATTCATATGCACAAAAATGAAGTTGGATTTTCTACTTCACTCCATATACAAAAATTAAACCCAAATAGATTAAGGACTTACGGGTAAGAGCTAAAACTATAAAACTCTTAGAGGATAACAGGCCGGGCACGGTGGCTCACACCTGTAATCTCAGCACTTTGGGAGGCCAAGGCGGGTGGATCACCTGAGGTCAGGAGTTTGAGACCAGCCTGGCCAACATGGTGAAACCCTGTCTTTAATAAAAATACAAAAATTAGCTAGGCGTGGTAACAGGTGTCTGTAATCCCAGCTACTCAGGAGGCTGAGGCAGGAGAATTGCTTGAACCCAGGAGACTGCAGTTAGCCAAGATCGCTCCATCGCACTCCAGCCTGGCAGACAAGAACAAGACTTCGTCTCCAAAAAAAAAAAAAAAAAAAACAAAAACAAAGCACTCTTACAGGATAACATTAGGCACTGGTTTCTTAGATACGATGCTGAAAGCAGAGGCAATGAAAGAAAAAAAAGATAAACTGGACGCCATAAAAATTCAAAACTATTGGCAGGGCACGGTGGCTCAGGCTTTGTAATCCCAACACTTTGGGAGGCTGAGGAGGGTGGATCACCTGAGGTCAGGAGTTTGAGACCAGCCTGACCAACATGGCGAAACCCTGTCTCTACTAATAATACAAAAGTTAGCCAGGCACGGTAGTGCACGCCTGTAATCCCAGCTACTCGGGAGGCTGAGGCAGAATTGCTTGAACCCAGGAGGTGCAGGTTGCAGTGAGCCGAGATCGTGCCACTGCACTCCAGCCTGGGCGACAAGAGTGAAACTCTGTCTTCAAAACATAAAAATAAAAAAATTAAAAATTAAAAACTATTGTTCTTCAAAAGATACCATCAAGAAAATTAAAAAACAACCCACAAAATAGGGAGAAAAATCCCAAATCATTTCTTGGGTAAGGGGCTTGTATATAGAATATATAAAGAACTCTTATAACTCAATAATGAAAAGACAAACCATCCAAGTAAAAATGGGCAAAAATTTTGAATTTCTCCAAAAAAGATGTATAAATGGCCAATAAACCATGAAAAGATGCAACACCGTTAGCTGTCAAGGAGATGCAAACCAAATCCACAATGAGGTGGCACTTCACGCCCACTAGGATTGCTGCAATCCAAAAGATAAGGTGGCAAATATATGAAGAAACTGGAACCCCACTACGCTACTGGTGGGAATGTAACATGTTGCAATCTCTTTGGAAAGCAGTTTGGTAATTTCTCAAAAGGTTAAACATAGGGTTATCATATGTATGGCCCAGCAATTCTATTCCTAGATATATGCCCAAGAGAAATAAAATCTTAGTCCACACAAAAAGTCATACACAAGCTGGGCACGGTGGCTCATGCCTGTAATCCCAGCACTTTGGGAGGCCGAGGCCAGTGGATCATGAGGTCAGGAGTTCAAGACCAGCCTGGCCAACATGATGAAACCCCATGTCTACTAAAAATACAAAAATTAGCTGGGCATGGTGGTGCGTGCCTGTAATGCCAGCTACTCGGGAGGCTGAGGCAGGAGAACAGCTTGAACCAGGACCCGGGAGGTAGAGGTAGCAGTGAGCGAGATCGTGCCACTGCACTCCAGCCTGAGTTACAGAGTGAGACTCTGTCTCAAAAAAAAAAAAAAAAAAAAAGGAAGTCGTACACAAATGCTGTAGCAGCATTACTCATAAAAGCAAAAATGTGGACACAGCACAAACAACTGACAGAGGATTAAGTGAATAAAATGTGTTCTGTTGATACAATGGAATATTGTTTGGCAATAAAAAGAAATAATGTACTAATAATGCTATAACATGGATGTACCTTGAAAACATCATGCTAAGTGAAAGAAGCTAGCTTTAAAAGACCTCATATTAGGCCGGGAATGACTCACACCTGTAATCCCAGCACTATGAGGGGCCAAGGCAGGTAGATCACCTAAGGTCAGGAGTTTGAGACCAACCTGGCCAACATGGTGAAACCCCATCTCTACTAAAAATACAAAAAATTAGCTGGGCGTGGTGGCGGGTGCTTGTCATCCCAGCTACTCAGGAGGCTGAGGTGGGAGAATCGCTTGAACCCAGGAGACAGAGGTTGCAGTGAGCCGAGATTGCACCATTGCACTCCAGCCTGGGCGATATAAGCAAAATTCCATCTAAAAAAAAAAAAAGTCATATTTCATGATTCCATTTAAAGGAAATGTGTGGAATTATCAAATCTCTAGAGATAGAAAGTAGATTATTGTGTGCCCAGGGCTGGAAAGGTTAGGGGTAAATGGGAGTGACTGTTAATGAGTAGGGAGTTTTCTTTTCAAGTGTTGGATTTATTTTTTGCTTGTGTTTTTGTTTTATGTTTTGTTTTTTTCGTTGTTGTTATTTTTTCGTATAGACAGGGTCTCACTATGTTGCCCATGCTGGTTTCGAACTCCTGACCTCAAGCAATCCTCCCACCTTGGCCTTGGAAAGTACTGGGATTACAGATGTGAGCCACTGCACCTGGCAAAAGTGTGGTAATGTAAAATTGTATGTGATGATGGTGGGACAACTCTGAAAACATACTAAAAACCATTGAATTGTATACTTCAAATGAGTGAATTGTATAGTATGTGAATTTTATCTCAATTGTCTTTTTCAAAAAATTATAAAAAACAATAAAAAATAAATCAACGAAATTTAGCACATTAACAGGTAAAATAGAAAAACATAATTCTCTCAATAGATGCACAAAAACAAAATTTAACACCCTTTTATGATTTTTTTTTTTTTAAGACAGAGTCTCACTCTGTTGCCCAGGCTAGAGTGCAGTGGCACAATCTCAGCTCACTGCAACCTCTGCCTCCTGGGCTCAAGTGAGTCCATGCCTCAACCTCCCAAGTAGCTGGGATTACAGGCGCATACCGCGATGCCCAGCTAATTTTGTGTGTGTGTGTGTGTGTGTGTGTGTGTGTGTGTGTGTGTGATGGAGTCTTGCTGTGTTGCCCAGGCTGGAGTGCAGTGGTGCGATCTCTGCTCACTGCAACCTTTGCCTCCTGGGTTCAAGAGATTCTCCTGCCTCAGCCCGCCGAGTAGCTGGGATTACAAACGCATGCCACCACGCCAGGCTAATTTTTTGTATTTTTAGTAGACAGCAGGGTTCCACCATGTTAGCTAAGATGGTCTTGATTTCCTGACCTCGTGATCCGCCTGCCTTGGCCTCCCAAAGTGCTGAGATTACAGGCATAAGCCACCACGCCCAGCTGATTTTTTAAAAGCAATGTTCATAGTCAACAAATAATTGAAGGAACTTTTTTTTTTTTTTTTTTTGAGACAGAGTCTCACTCTGTCACCCAGACTGGAATGCAGTGGGGTGATTTCAGCTCACTGCAAAACAACCTCCACCTCCTGGGTTCAAGTGATTCTCCTGCCTCAGATCCCCAAGTAGCTGGAACTACAGGCACCTGCCACCATGCCCAGCTAATGTTTGTATTTTTAGTAGAGTCTGGGTCTCACCATGTTGGCCAGGCTGGTCTCAAACTCATGACCTCAGGTGATCCGCCTGCCTTGACCTCCCAAAGTGCAGGAATTACAGGTCTGAGCCACTGCTCTCGGCCAGTTTTTTAAAAGCAACATTCATAGTCAACAAATAATTGAAGGGAACTTTTGAGACCTGATAAAAGTTATCTACCAAAAACAAATTTAAATAAAACATACTTAATGGTAAAGCACCAAATGTTTTTACTCTAAGATTGGGAACAAAGCAAGAATGTTTACCTTCCCACTTTTCTTCCTTTTTCTGGAGGGCCTAGATGATGCAATAAAGTAAGAAGAAGAAAAAGAAAGGCTTACTGGTTGGAAAGAAATAAGTAAAACAGTCTTTATTTATAGGTCATGACTACATGTGTGGAAAATCCTAAAAAATGTACATTGTTAATCAATGAGTGATATTAACAGGATCATTTGATAGTCAATATACAAAAACCAACTGTATTTTTTATACTACCAGCAAATAATTAGAAAGTAAATATTAATATCATTTATAATAATATACAAAATAAAATTTTTAACCAATTCAAATGTATGTGCAAGATCTTTACACTAAAACTCTAAAATACTGAAATTTTTAAAAACCTCAGTAAATGGAGAGATATCTATGTTCATGAACTAGAAGACATAATATCAATGTAAAGATTCAGTACAATCACTATTGCAGTCTCAGAAGGATTTTTGAAATGGAATTTCTGATTCTAAAATGTACATTGAATACCAAAGGATCTAAAATGACCAAAATAATTCTGAAGAAGAATGAACTTGGAGGTTTTACACTGCCTGATTTTAAGACTTACTATAAAGCTACAATAGTCAAGGCAGTGAGGAAAAACTCAAAAATGTATTCATACATTGGTGAATATTGATTTGGCCAATTGATTTCCAACAGAGATTAAAGGTAAAACTGAATGGAGAGAAGATATTCCTTCTAACAAATGGTTGTGGCACAACTGGGCATCCTTATGGGGAAAAAAGATGAACCTTGACGCTTAACGTCACTAAACACACAAAACTGAATTCAAAATGGATTGTATACCTTAAATGTAAGTGCTAAAAGTAGAAAAATACTAGGAGAAAATCTTTACAACCTTGGGATAGGCAAACATTTCTTAGGGCACAAAAGCACAAACCATTAAAAATGATACTAAATTGACTTCATTGGAACTTAAAACTTCTCCCCATCTAAAGATAGCAAGCCACAGACTGTAGAAAAAAATACATATATACATATATATGACAAATTATTCATTTCTAGAATATATAGAAAAATTTTGATAACAATAATAAGACAAATAACACAATTACCCAATAATACAAATAAACACAACCCAGTAAGACACATTGGCCATTACAGAAAAGATTTGAAGAAGCATTTCTTCAACTATCTTCAGATAAAATTTAGAGAACATATATGTGTTAATAAGCACATGAAAGGATGTTCAATGTATTTAGTCATCAGGGAAATGGAAATTAAAATCATAATAGGATTAACTACTCACTCAATAAAATAGCTAAAATTTTAAGCCTGCCTATACCAGTAATAAGTTACAAGGTGGAGCAAGTGGAACCTTTATACATTACTGGTGGGATGTAAATGATACATCCATTTTGGAAAACAGTTTTGCATTCTCTTATAAAGTAAAACATATATTTATCATATGGCCTAGGAATCCCTCTCCTAGGTATTTACCCAAGAAAAGTGAAAATACACATCCATATAAAGACTTTTTTTTTCCACTTTGGGAGGCCGAGGTGGCTGGATCACTTGAGGTCAGGAGTTCGAGAGCAGCGTGGCCAACATGCTGAAACCCCATCTCTACTTAAAAAACAAAAATTAGCTGTATCTTTTACATGAATGTCTATATCAGTTTTATTCACAATATTCAAAACCTGAAGACAAACCAAAAGTTCATCAACAAGTGAAAAGACAATCAAATTATGGTATATTCATATTAAATACAATGAAATAGGAGTCAGTAAAAAAAGAAATGAACTACTGATAGACCCAACAATGTGGATAAATCTCAAAAATATTATGCTGAGTGAAAGAAGCTAGACACAAAAAAGTACACTATATGATTCCAATTGCATGAAATTCTAGAACAGGCAAAATTAATACGGAAAGAAAACAGATCAGTATTTGCTTGGATTCAGGAATGGTGGAAGGATTGATTGAAACAGTACATGAACTTTTAGGGGTGATAGAAATATTCTGTGTCTTGATTTTGGTGGTTATTATGCAGATGTGTTTATTTGTCAAAATTTATTTTACTGTATGCTTAAAATGGGGCTTTATATTATATGTAAATTAATGAACTGTTTATTCTAAAAAGTAAATGTGTGTGTATAACATTTAAAGAACCCTAAAATAATTTTAATTATTTAAATTGGGAACACAATATCCTCAAAATAATTTTAGGCTTTCTCCCCTTTTGAAGAAACATACAACGCCTCTATTTGGACAAACTATAGTAGAACACATTTTTATAATAATGAGTGCTCCAATCCTTTAAAGAGATTCTAACCTTTGAGTTTGAGTCTCAGTTAGGAATAAATCCTTTTAAGTTCTACATAAAAAACACTCTCTTGAATTATGTAAAAAGAAAACACTGCTCACTTTCAGAATTTTTCACTGCCAAAAAGATTGCAGCTAAGAGGTTGCTCTTTTTGATAGAGAAAGGACACCTTCAAAAATTTCTCTACTTTCTATGGCTTGCGCCTGTAATCCCAGCACTTTGAGAGGCCGAGGCAGGTGGATCACTTGAGGCCAGGAGTTCGAGACCAGCCTGGCCGACATGACAAAACCCTGTCTCTACTGAAAATACAAAAATTAGCCAGGCTTGATGGTGCTCACCTGTAATTCCAGCGACTTAGGAGACTGAGATGAGAAGATCTCTTGAACCCACAAGGCAGAGGTTGCAGTGAGCAGAGATTGTGCCACTGCCCTCCAGCATGGGCAACAGAGCGAGACACTCCATCTCAAAAAAAAAAAAAAAAAAAAGGCTGGGCACGGTGGCTCACGCCTGTAATCCCAGCACTTTGGGACGCCGAGGCAGGCAGATCACCTGAGGTCAGGAGTTCGAAACCATGGCCAACATGGCGAAACCCTGTCTCTACTAAAAATACAAAGATTAGCTGGGCACGGTGGAGGGTGCCTGTAATCCGAGGTACTTGGGCGGCTGAGGCAGGAGAATCACTTGAACCTGGGAGCTGGAGGTTGCAGTGAGCCACAATCATGACACTGGACTCCAGCCTGGGCGACAGAGTGAGACTCCATCTCAAAAAAAAAAAAAAGTATGGTAAAATACTAATTCTTAGTAAACTGAAAAGTTAAGTATGTATATCATAGTATCTAGAGTTACCACTAAATAAATAAAAAGAAGGAAAAAAGCTGTATGGAGAGATATCATCAAAAAGAAATCATAAATTAAATTGGAATAGTAGAAAATAGTCACATAATCCCAAAGAAGTCAGAAAAGAGGAAACAAGCATAAACCAGAGGGAACAAACAGAAAACAAGTAATAAAATGTTAAACCTAAATCCAGGCCAGGCGTGGTGGTTCACGCCTGTAATCCCAGCACTTTGAGAGACTGAGGTGGACGGATCACCTGAGATTGGGAGTGCAAGACCAGCCTGACCAACATGGAGAAACCCTATCTCCACTAAAAATACAAAATTAGCCATGCATGGTGCCACGTGCCTGTAATCTCAGTTACTTGGGAGGCTGAGGCAGGAGAATTGCTTGAAACCGGGAGGCAGAGGTTGCAGTGAGCCCAGATCGTGCCATTGCACTCCAGCCTGGGCAACAAGAGTGAAACTCCATCTCAAACAAAAACAAAAACAAAAACACCTAAATCCAACCACATCCATAATTTTTAAAAATGCAAATGGTTTAAACACAGCAATTTGAAGTCAGAGATTACTGGCCAGGCGTGGTGGCTCACGCCCCTAATCCCGCCACTTTAGGAGCCCAGGAGTTCAACACCAGCCTGAGTAAGTAACATAATGAGACCCTGTCTCTACAAATAATAAAATAATAATAATTATGATAAAGAAATAAAATTAGCCAGCTGTGGTGGCTCACATCTGAGTAGTCCCAGCTACTCAGGAGTCTGAGGTGGGAAGATCACTTGAGTACAGGAAGTCAAGGCTGCAGTGAGCTGTGATCGCACCACCACACTCCAGTCTGGGTGACAGAGCAAGACCCTGTCTCAACATATACAAATAAATAGAGATTATCAAAATGGATGTTAAATGAACCAAATACATGCTGTCTACGAGAAACTCAGTTCAAACACAATGATATAGGCAGCTTTAAAGTAAAAAGATGTGTGGCTCCTGCCTGTAATCTCAGCACTTTGGGAGGCCGAGGTGGGCGGATCACTTGAGGTCAGGAGTTTCAAGACCAGCCTGGCCAACATGGCAAAACCCTCTCTCTACAAAAAATACAAAAAATTACCCAGGTATGGTGCTGGGTAATTACAGGTGGTGTGCACCTGTAGTCCCCAGCTACTCGGAAGGCTGAGGCAGGAGTATTGCCTGAACCTGGGAGGCGGAGATTGCTGTGAGCTAAGATCATGCTGCTGCACTCCAGCCTGGGCAACAGAGCAAGACTCTGTCTGGAAAAAAATAAATAAATAAAACAAACTGTAACAAACTTAGAAGAGTTGAAATCATACAAAGTATGGGCTCTAACATAATGAAAGTAACCTGGAACTGAATAAGAGAAAGAAAAATCCCCCAAATGCTTAGAAATTAAACAACACACTTCTAAATTGTTCATGGATCAAAGAGGAAGTTCCAAGGGAAATTACAAATTATTTTGAATTGAGTGAAAATGAAAATAGAACATATCAAAATTTGTGGGATGCCCTTGAAATAGTGATTGGAGGGCAATTTATGCCATCAGATGCTTATATTAGAAAAAGAAAAAGGTCTTAAATCAATAGCCTGAGCTTCTACCCCAAGAAACTAGAAAAAGAAACTAGCAAAAGAAACCTAACCAAGCGGAAGGAAGGAAACAAGGATCAGAGAAGAAATCAACAAAATTGAAAATAAACGAAAAAAGAAGAGCGAAAATGAACACTGGTCCTTTGAAACAGCAATAAAATTAATGAACTTCTGGAAAGACTGACAAAAAAGATAAAACACAAATTACCCATATTAGGAATAAGGGAAGGATATCCCTCCATATCCCACAGACATTAAAAGGCACTATAAGGAAATACTATGAACAACTATATCCACATAACTTCAGGCACGGCAGGAGGAAGCGATTACACAAAGGGGCATGAGGACACTTTGGGAATGAGGGATATGCTCATTTTCATGATTATGGTGATGGTTTTACAGATGTATATTCACATCTGCAAACCTGGGCAGCATAACCCAGGCAATGAGAATACCTGGAAAAAAGTTCAAAGCCTGAATCCTGGGTACTCCTTCATGTAAGGCGCAGGAAGACAAGGAAGATCCATTTGTCAGACTACACACTTGAAATATGTACAGTTTATGATCTGTAAAGCATACCTCAATTAAGCTATTTTTTATTTTTGTTTTTATTTTATTTTATTTGAGACAGTCTCATTCTGTCTTCCAGGCTGGAGTGCATTGACCCGATCTCAGTTCACTGCAGCCCCCATCTCCCGGGTTCAAGTGATTCTCCTGCCTCAGCCTCCCAAGTAGCTGGGACTACAGGTATGTGCCACCAAGCCCGGCTAATTTTTGTAGTTTTAGTAGAGACGGGATTTCACCCTGTTGGCTAGGCTGGTCTCGAACTCCTGACCTCAAGTGATCCGCCCTCCTCGGCCTCCCAATGTGTTGGAAATACAGGCCTGAGACACCTCGCCCGGCCCAATTAAGCTATTTTTTTAGAAAAACCGTTATGAAGCAGTACACTATTCCTTGTAGGTGGTTACGGCGTCCATTACCTACCATCAAAACTGTTCTTACCGGCTGGGCGCAGTGGCTCACGCCTGTAATCCCAGCACTTAGGGAGGCCAAGGCTGGTGGATCACAAGGTCAGCAGATGGAGACCATCCTGGCTAACACAGTGAAACCCCATCTCTACTAAAAATACAAAAAATTAGCCAAGCGTGGTGGCACGTGCCTGTGGTCCCACCTACTTGGGAGGCTGAGGCAGGAGAATCACTTGAACCCAGGAGGCAGAGGTGGTTGCAGTGAGCCAAGGTCACACCACTGCACTCCAGCCTGGGCGACAGAGCGAGACTCAGTCTCTAAAAAAAAAAAAAACTGTCCTTACACTTGTACAATAAGCTTTTATTATTTTTCCGCTATTGTCTTTCCTCAAGTCACAGTGTGTCCCTAACATTTCTACTGTGTGCAATGAAATATTGATATTTTTATCCACATATCTCATCTTCTATACACTGAATTATAAAACCAGAAGATTTTAGTGTCTTCTGCTGCTCGATTCACTTAAGTAGAGGATAGTTTTTATCATCTAGTGTCATCAATGATAGTACACTAAATTATTCAGAAATATGTTCACCAGCAGAGTTCCTAAAAATACATGAATCAAAAGCTAGTTTGGGCCTCAAGGAGAATCCACTGCCTTCATTAATGCTACAGACTCAAGAACTGTACCCTCAATGATCCCAGTGGGGTGGTGACACCCAGGTGAAGTTCGCTCAATGTGCAGCACATCTCAGTAATCAAAGGAATACAGACGTGGAACACATTATAGCATGTAATTACAAGCTGGAACTCTCTCGGGCGCACTAAGCTTGGGCACCGTAAGATGTATCTCTTTGCTGTCATTTGTTGTTAAGCAGGGATATACAATTTATATGTCCTAACAGCCTGGCAATAGGCTCTTCTTCATTGCGAGTACAGAACAACATGCACTGACCAACTCCACCACAGCCCCATTTTCTTTTATTTTTTTCTTTTCTTTTCTTTTTTTTTTTTTTTTTGAGACAGTCTCACACTGTTGCCCGGGCTGGAGTGCAGTGGCGCGATCTTGGCTCACTGCAACCTCTGCCTCCCAGGTTCAAGTGATTTTCCTGCCTCAGCCTCCCAAGTAGCTTGGGAGGCACCTGCCACCACGCCCAGTTAATTTTTTGTATTTTTAGTAGAGACAGGGTTTCACCATGTTGGCCAGGCTGGTCTCGAATTCCTGACCTCGTGATTTGCCTGACTCAGCCTCCCAAAGTGCTGGGATTATAGGCATGAGCCACCGTGCCTGGCCTGTTCAGATTTTTAAAATAGGCTGGGCTTGGTGGCCCACACCTGTAATCCCAGCACTTTGGGAGGCTAAAGTGAGAGGATCTCATGAGCCGAGGAGTTCAAGACCAACCTGGGCAACATAGTAAGACCCCATCACTATAAAAAACAATTTTTTAAAAATAGTCTGGCATGGTGGTGCATGCCTGTTGTCCTGGCTAGTTGGGAGGCTGAGTTGGGAGGATCACTTGAGGCCAGCAGTTTGAGGCTGCAGTGAGTTATGATTGCACCACTGCATTCCCAGCCTGGGTGACAGAGTGAGCAACGCTGTCTCAAAAAAAAAAAAAAAAAAAAAAGGGTGTAGATGAGGAAGATTCAACAAAACAGAATGAGGAGTAGGTAATGAAGTAAGAGAATAGTGATGTCCTTGAAGCCAAGAAAAGATAGAAATTTATGAAGGAGAAAATGAACAACTTTGTGAGCTGCTGCCAAGAGTTCTAGGAAGATGAGAACTAAAAATTAACCATGAGATTAAGAAATATGCAGATCTTGTTTATTCTACCAGCTGTACAGAGATAAAACATATCTCATTTACAGAGTAGAATTGAGTGTTTTCAGTATATTTAAAGAGTATTACCACAATCAACACCATCCATTTTAGAACATTTTAATAATCTCATCCATGCCGTAGCATGTATCAGTAGTTCCTCCCTTTTATGGCTGAATACTATTCCACGGTATGGTTTTATCACATTGGATATATCACATTTCATTCATTTATCCATTCAGCAGTTAATGGACATTTGGATTGTTCTCATTATTTAGCTATTATGAATAATAATATGCTACTATGAAAATTCCTGTACAAGGCCAGACGCAGTGGCTCACGCCTGTAATCCCAAGCACTTTGGAAGACCGAGGCAGGTGGATCATGAGGTCAGGAGTTCAAGACCAGCCTGGCCAAGATGCTGAAACTCCGTCTCTACTAAAAATACAAAAAAAAATTAGCTGGGCACGGTGGCAGGTGCCTGTAATCTCAGGTACTTGGGAGGCTGAGGCAAGAGAATCACTTGAACCCAGGGGGAAGGAGGTTGCAGTGAGCTGAGATCGCACCACTGCACTCCACCCTGGGCGACAGAGTCAGACTCTGTCTCAACAAAATAAATAAATAAATAAATAATAAATAAATAATAAAAATTCCTGTACAAGCTTTTATGTAGACATTCCATTTCTTTTGGGTGCATACCTAGGAGTGAAATTGGTGGGTCAAATGGTAACTATGGAAACTTTTAAAGGAGTGCCTGTTTTCCACAATGGCATTTTCCATTCCCACCAGTGTATGTGAGTGGTTCCAATTTCTCCACATTCTCCCTCTTTTTACCTGATGTCTTCATTATAGCCATGCCAGTGGGTGTGAAGTGGCGTTTGATTGTGGCTTTGATTTGCATTTCCCTGATGACTAATGAGGTAGAGCAACTTTTCGTGTGCTTTTTGGCCACATGTATGTATTCTTCGGAGAAATACCTCCAGATCCTTTGCCCATTTTTTATTTAGATTGTATGTCTTTTTAGTATTGAGTTGTAAGAGCTCTTTATGTAGTCTATATACAAGTTGCTTATTAGATATGTGATTTGTGAAAATTTTATTGCATTCCATGGGTTGTCTTTCACTTTCTCAATAGTGTATTTTGAAGTGTAAATGTTTTCTATTTTGCTGATGTCCAATTTCTCTATTTTTTCTTTGACTTCTCTTGCTTTCAGTGTCATATCTCAGAAGCTGTCACTAAATCCAGAGTCATTATTTCTATGTTTACTTTTAAGAGGTTTGTATTTTGGGCTCCTACATTTAATATTTCAATCTGTTTTGAGTTAATTTTTGTGTATGGTGTGAGGTAAGGGTCCAACTTCATTCTTTTGCATGTGGCTATTCAGTTGTCCCAGTATCATTTGTTGAAAAGACTCTTCCTTCCTTCCTTCCTTCCTTCCTTCCTTCTTTCCTTCCTTCCTCCCTTCTTTCCTTCCTTCCTTCTTTCCTTCCTCCCCTTTCCTCCTTCCTTTCTTCCTTCCTTCCTTTCCTTCTTCCTTTCTTCCCTTCTTCCTTTCTTCCTTTCTTTCTTTCCTTCTTCCTTTCTTCCTTTCTTTCTTTCCTTCTTTCCTCACTCTTTCACCCAGGCTGGAATGCAGTGGTGCAATCTCAGCTCACTGCAACCTCCAACTCCCAGGTTCAAGCGATTCTCCTGCCTCAGCCTCCTGAGTAGCTGGGACTAAAGGCATGCACCACCATGCTTGGCTAATTTTTGTATTTTTTGTAGAGACAAGGTTTCATCATGTAGCCCAAGCTGGTATTCTTTCTTTACCAAATGGTCTTGGTACCCTTGTCAAAATCAACTGGACATAGATACAAAGATGAAACGTGGAGATCTTTGGTGATCTGAACAATAGCAGTTTTTATGAAATGATGGAGACAAAAATTTAATGGAAATGGATTCATGGCAGAATGGGATTGTGGAATTGGAAATAGTGAGTAGAAACAAGTTTATTGAGGAGTTTGCTAGCAAAAGCAGCTGGGGGATGGAGCCATAACAGGGGGTTAGGAGTTCAGCTCTTAGCTAAAGACCTCTATGTGATCTTTCAAACTTGATCATAGGCAATTACACAGGCTTTTCCTGGCAGGCCTCACAGGGAAGGCTGCCCTTTCCATGCCAGACTTGATGCACAGTCAGTGCATGACAGTCCTGAAGGGTGCTGTGGTCAAGGACTCAGGTCCCATGGGCAGGCCTTGCTCTCACATATCTGCATTCCTAGTCCAGGTGCCTCCATTTGAAATCTCTTTGGGGTCTCTGAATGAGGCCTTCCTCAGATGCCTCTTCTTATCATGAAGAGAAGAAGGAATCTTGCTTTTCTCTACTTGGACTTGGTTATTTTCCACCCTTAACCCTTCCCCTGATATCTGACCCTCTGCACACTGTTCCATGAGGGAAAACAGAGCAGATGGGAGTGGACATTCCCTCCAAGCGAGCCCTTTGCTTAAGGTATGGCGTTAGATGATTGAAGGCATGACCAGGAGCAGTGGCTTATGCCTGTAATCCCAGCACTTTGGGAGGCTGAGGCAGGTGGATTGCTTGAGGCCAGGAGTTCAAGACCAGACTGGCCAACATGGTGAAACCCCATCTCTACTAAAAACAAAAACTAGCTGGGCGTGGTGGTGCATGCCTGTGATTCCAGCTACTCAGGAGGCTGAGGCAGAAGAATCACTTGAACTGGGGAGACGGAGGTTGCAATGAGCCAAAATTGTGCCACTGCACTCCAGCCTGGGTGATAGAGTGAGACCCTGTCTCAAAAAAAAAAAAAAAAAAAAAAACATTGAAAGCTTGACTGGTGCTTTCATTTTGGCTTGTTGTTTTAATCACGACTCTAACACTACTTGGAGAGCTCTGGAGAGCCGCACTGAGCCCCCAACAGAGGGTGTCTTGTTTGGTTGTTTGTTTTTCTATGGGCGGCATTACCAGCAACATCATGTACTGATGAGAATGGGCCAATAGAGAAGAACTAATGAAATAGAAAAGAGAGAGAGGGCAGCTGGAGGCAGAAGGCATGGTGGATAGTGTGCCTTTGCCAGGATCCCCTCTCGGGGCCAGTGCACCCAGCCCCTGGCTCCTGGCAGGGAAGGTTCACAGCTGCGTCACTTACTGGGAAGGCCCTCAACCACAGAGAACTGCCTTGCCCAAGGGTATTCCCCTCCCAGTAGGTGACCCATGGCCAATACCAGGGTCACAAAAGAATGATCTCCAGCCCAGCTCCAGAGCACCCTATAGAATTGCCTAAAGCTTTAGTTGAACTTGCATTTTGGATCAGTTTCTCCTTCTGCTCAGTCCTGTCTTCCTCAGCTGCCTACACATGCCTCTCGACAGCCTTTCTGTATGCAACACTCTACCTCTGTTTCCAGGGAATATCTAAGAAAATTGAGGTGGTCCTGGGAAGCAGACTCTAAGATGGGACTTTGGAGCTGGATCCCTGCTGGCAAGCTGGCAGTAGGGACCCCATCACTAGTGTTGGGCGGAGTATGGACAGATCTGGGGTGCTGCAGCAGTTCAGGGACTGACTTTCACCTGGAGTGGCCTTGGTTCCTCTGGCGTATTCTCCAGCTCCTTCGGCGTGTGCTCTCTCCTCTCCCTTGTCAGGCCCACGGCATCCTCAGTTGGACTTTGCTGGGACATGACCTATTACTGGTCTGTAATCAGCATTGTATCTTTTGAGCTCTTGACAGTCCCTAATGATAGGATGAGGATGGGGGGAAGGTCAGCAGAGGCTGGAAGACTTGCTGGAGAGCTGGCCTCACACTCTCTTCCCCTCTTCTCCCGACGTCATCCATCTCTCAGGTGACACTCCTGCCAAAGACTTTGAATTCATCCCCTCTTTCCCCTCACCTGACCACCCAAGCACCTCCAGGCTCACCCTTCCTAAACTCTGCACTAAAGGCAGGAGGGACCCCATCACTTAGAGATCATTATTGGCTCCCCACTGTCCTCAGGATAAGCTGAACTCATTGCGTGGCCTTTTAGGATATGGGCCCTCCCCAGCCTCATCCCCTAAAGAGAATGGGAAAGGGCCAATTGGGGTGCACAGGCCCAAACCCAGGTCTCTGAGGAAATCCCCCCTGAATACCACTGCAGATGACCATGGCCCAGCCCGCAACATACAAATGTGAGCTCTGTGACAGGAAGGACTCTTTTGGAAAAAAAAAAAAGAATTTACATGGGCATAGGATGCACTGGCTGTTGCAGTATCTCTGGTGCTAGAGACTGAGAGAGACATGGAAGCTATTTCTAAGTTTCTGATTATTGCTAAGCACCATGGATTCATAGAGAAGAAACAGCGACAGGCTCAGGACAGTTGGTTATCACCAGTTCCAAAGGCCTCCTAGGCAGAGTTTAAGGAAGTCTTAACCTGTAGCTGGAGAGTAGGCAGAGAGGAGGACCTGGCCCAGAGCTGAATCTTCACAATAGCAGAGGCTCGGAGAAGGTTGAATTCTCGGCCTCAGCAGGTCTCTGGGCAGGATCAGGGCCTAATAGGAAAGGAGTGTGACCCTGAGACTTGAGATGGGAATACTGGATGGATACAATTAAGAAGCTTGAATCTACTGGGCTTGCAAAAGTGGGCTGTTTCTTCTTGTTAAGAAAATAGTATTCTCTACTTGCTTAAAGATGTTGCAGAAGCCTTAAATGAGGTAGATGTTATGCAAGATGAAGGTTGCAACCCTCAGGATCACCCTCTCTTCCTCTCCTGGCAACAAGACCAGTAACAGGTCAAGTAAGTCCCAGCAAAGCCCAACCGAGGCTGCCCTGGGCCTGACAAGGGAAGAAAGAGAGCACACACCAAAGGAGCTGCAGAATCTGGCTGAGTCCTGCTGTCAGGAGCTAGAATATGCATGAGATGGAATCCCAAGGTGCTGGATCCAGAGCAGCTGAACATAAAGCTGGATAAGTGAGCATTTATCAGTCTGGGAGCACTCCATTGTTATAAGCATTTAACACCCTGGCAGGTGTTAAGACACCACAAAGATGGCTCTTGGGAGCCTGAAGGTGATGGGCCACACTCAAGAAAGGGCCTGTCACACAAAGGCAGAACACCCACAAGCTGACTGTGTGCCACAGGAGAGCCTGGAAGGCCAAAGTGATGAAGAAAGGACTAGTGAGAGGGGCCCCAAAATTGTGGAGAGTTCCATAGTGACTGTTCCCTGCAGGCCAGGGCTGATGAAAGGGGATACTGTTCACAACTGGGCTCCCTGCCAGGCACAGTGGCTCGTGCCTGTAATCCCAGCACTTTGGGAGGCCGAGGCAGGAGGATTGTTTGAGGCCAGGAGTTTGAGACCAGCCTGGGGAACATAGTGAGACCCTGTCTCTATAAGAAATTTCAAAATTAGCTGGGCATGGTGATGCACGCCTGTTGTCCCAGCTACTACAGAGGCTGAGGTAGGAGGATAGCTTAAGCCCAGGAGGTTGAGGCTGTGGTGAGCTATGATTATGCCATTGCACTCCAGCCTGGGTGACAGAGCAAAACCATGTCTCTAAAAATAAGAATAAATAAATAAAAACCAAGAACTGGGTTCTCTGACATAGCAATGAGGATTCTAACCTTCCAAAATGATGGAGGCCGAGTAGCAGCCATTAGAATCAAGGCAGGTACAATTATCCAATGAACACAAGGTTGGAAAATGGCAGCGAGGAGGAGTTCCTCGCACAGAGAGCAAAGAATAGGGCTTACAGGACATAATTCTTAAAAGTCAAAGATGGTTAGGAGGCTAAAGGTAGCCACTGCAGTAAGTCACGATCCCTTGTTTGTTTCTGGACCCGAGCCTATTTTCAGGTCCAGAACTTACTGAATGAGAAGTCTGTGGCTGCAGAAACATGACAAATGTATTTAGCAGTGATTCCCCAGTCCTTCTGCAAAGAACTATGGCTGCTTACATGGGTAACCATGCCTAGGTGAAAGGGGAATACCTAAACTTTTTGAGGATTATTGGATAGAGTCTGGATTGACAGTGAAACCTGGGATTTGAAGCATCACCATGCCTTCCCTGCTAAACCGGCGGTGGCTGGGGCCGTGTGGTCCATGGGTCCCGACCTAGGTCCAGTTTGCAGACCTGCCCAGTGGTCATTCCTCTGGTCATGGATGTACAATAAGACTGGACACACTCTTTTTTTTTTTTGAGACGGAGTCTCGCTGTGTCACCCAGGCTGGAGTGCAGTGGTGCGATCTCAGCTCACTGCAAGCTCCGCCTCCCGGGTTCACGCCATTCTCCTGCCTCAGCCTCCCAAGTAGCTGGGATTATAGGTGCCCACCACCATGCCCAGCTAATTTTTTGTATTTTTGGTAGAGATGGGGTTTCACCGTGTTAGCCGGGATGGTCTTGATCTCCTGACCTCGTGATCAGCCTGCCTCGGCCTCCCAAAGTGCTGGGATTACAGGTGTGAGCCACCGCGCCCAGCCGACTGGACACACTCTTTAGCTGGCAAAATCCCCACCTGCAAAGTGAGAATTATTGCAGTGGGAAGGCCAAGTGGAAACCTCTGAACTCCTTTCTCTCACAGGAACAACAGTGAATCGACTGGGCGCAGTGGCTCACGCACATAATCCTAGCACTTTGGGAGGCCAATGCGGGCAGATCATTTGAGGTCAGGAGTTCAAAACCAGCCTGGCCAACATGGTGAAACCCCATCTCTACTAAAAACACAAAAAAATTAGCCGAGCATGATGGCGGGTGCCTGTAATCCCAGCTATTTGGGAGGCTGAGGTAGAAGAATTGCTTGAACCCAGGAGGCTGAGATTGCAGTGAGCCAAGATCACACCAATGCACTCCAGCCTGGGTGACAGAGCGAGACTCCATCTCAAAAAAAAAAAAAAAAAAAAAAAAAGGAATGACGGTGAATCAAAAACAATACCTAGAACGCAATGCCACCCTCAGATCCTTAAAGAATGAATGGCTAGTGGTCTCTGTCATATCCCCATTTCTTCCACCAGTCTGGCCCCTGCAGAAGCCAGGGGGATCACAGCAGGTGATGGGAGACTGCAGTAGTCTTAACTAAGGGGCAGCCCCAGCAGCAGCTGCTGTGCCCGTGTGGCAGCTTTACTACAGCGCATTAGCACTGCTGCATATGACCATCCAGCTGGCAAATGTTTTCTTTCCCATCCCTCCCAAAAAAAAAAGGATGAGAAGCAGTTTCCATTCACATGGGACACGAAACAGTATACATTTCAGTCTTCCCTCGGGACTTCGTTAGCTCCCTGCCTTCTGTCACATTACACTTGAAAGGGACCCGGGCCATCTGGACATTCCACAGAATAAGACATTGGTCCTCTATGTTGATGACCTAGTGCTAATTGGACCTGCGGAGGAAGAGATGGCAAGTTCATTGGAGGCCTTGATAAAACATATGCCATTTGCAGGGTGAGCAGTGAGCTCTGTGCAGGTTTAGGAGCCTGTGACATCAGGGTAATGCTTAGGGGTCCAGAGGGCTGAAGTATGCAGGGATATTCCCTCCCCACCCCCACTAAGAAGATGCATAGCACATGGTGATTTGGTTTGGCTGTGTCTCCATCCAAATTTCATCTTGCATTGTAGCTCCCATAATTCCCATGTGTTGTGGGAGGGACCCAGTGGGAGATAATTGAATCATGGGGGCAGGTTCCCCCATACAGTTCTCATGGTAGTGAACAAGTCTCACAAGGTCTGATGGTTTTAAAGGGGTTTCCCCTTTCACTTGGTTCTCATTATCCCTTGACTGCCACCATGTAAGACGTGCCTTTGCTCCTCCTTTGCCTTCTGCCATGATTGTGAGGCCTCCCCAGCCATGTGAAACTGAGTCAATTAAACCTCTTTTTCCTTATAAATAACCCAGTCTCAGGTATGTCTTTATTATAAGCAGCCTGAGAACAGACTAATACACATGGCAAGTCCTTCCAGGTTCTGGAGGTAGCAAATTCCACACTTGGGAATGCTGCTCCAGCCCACTGACTGGGTGATGTGGAAGGTTGCCAGATGGGACCCAGAGCAGGAAGGGCCCTGCCACAGGTCCTGGCTTCTGTGCAAGCAGTCATATTGCAGACCTTATATATACTAGAGGGACCTGTGGTGGGAAAAGATGCTGTAGGGAGTTTGTGGTAAGCCCAGCAGGAGACTCACAATGTAGCCTCCTCTGGTTTGGGAACAAGGCTATGCAGCATTTCACATAAAGCAGCTTCCATCGCACAAGTGGTTCGCGAGAGTTGATGTTGTCTGACCACAGGACATCAAGTAACCCTGTGGGCAGAGACGCTTATCATGACCTGCATTGGCCAAATCCACCAGGTCACAGTTTGGGACTCTATCCTCCCCAAGAGCGCTCCAGCAAGCCCATCCTAGATTGGAACCCATGCCAGGCCAGAGAGTACAAGTAAACTGCATGAGCTGGTAAGAATGAGGAGGATCGCCGGCCACAGTGGCTCATGCCTGTAATCCCAGCACTTTGGGAGGCTGAGACAGGCAGATCACTTGAGGTCAGGAGTTCAAGACCAGCCTGGCCAGCATGATGAAACCCCATCTCTACTAAAAATACAAAAAAAATGAGCCGGGCATGGTGGTGCACGCCTGTAATCCCAGCTACTCAGAAGGCTGGGGCTGGAGAATCGCTTGGACCCTGGAGGCAGAGGCTGCAGTGAGTCAGGGTTGTGCCACTGCGCTCCAGCCTAGGTGACAGAGCGAAACTCCATCTCAAAAAAAAAAAAGTTAATTAAGAATGAGGAGGATGAGGAGGTTTTGGGATGTGAGCAGACAAGATTAAGGAGAAATAGGCATTTAGGAGAACGGGAAAGAGAATGGATTAGGGAAATGTAGGACTTCCAGGCAGCACCAAGAGCACACTTGAAGTTTATAGCAATTTGTAACAAGCATGTGAAAAAAAGCTCAACACCACTGATCATTAGAGAAAGGCAAATCAAAACCACAGTGACATACCATCTCACACCAGTCAGAGTGACCATTATTAAAAAGTCAAAAAAAAAAAAGGTGCTAGCAAAGTTGTGGAGAGAAAGGAACACTTATACAATGTTGGTGGGAGTGTAAATTAGTTCAACCATTGTGGAAAATACTGGTGATTCCTCAAAGACCTAAAAACAGAACCACCATTCAACCCAGCAATTCCATTACTGGGTATATACTTAACAGAAAATAAATCATTCCATCATAAAGACACATGCACACATATGTTCATTGCAGCACTATTCACAATACCAAAGACATGGAATCAGCCTAAATGCCCATCAATGGTAGACTGGATAAAGAAAATGTGGTACATATACACCATGGAATACTATGCAGCCATAAAAAAGAACAACATCATGTCCTTTGCAGGAACACAGATACAGCTGAAGGCCATTATCCTTAGCAAACTAACGCAGGAACAGAAAACCAAACATCACATGTTCTCACTTATATGTGGGAGCTAAATGATGAGAACACATGGACACAAAGGGTGTGAGGTGAAGGGTGGGAAGAAGAAGAGGATCAGGAAAAATAACTAATGGCCGCTAGGCCTAATATCTGGGTGATGAAATAATCTGCACAACAAACCTCCATGATACAGGTTTATCTATGTAACAAACCTGCACATGTACCCCTGAATGTAAAAAGTTAAAAAAAAAAAAAAAGGCCAGGCACAGTGGCTCACGCCTGTAATCCCAGCACTTTGGGAGGCCGAGGCAGGCAGATCACCTGAGGTCAGGAGTTTGAGACTAGCCTGGCCAACATGGAGAAACCCCCTCTCTACTAAAAATACAAAAATTAGCTGGGCATGGTGTTGCATGCCTGTAATCCCAGCTACTCAGGAGGCTGAGGTAAGAGAATCACTTGAACCTGGCAGGCGGAGGTTGCAGTAAGCCGAGATCGCTCCACTGCACTCCAGCCTGGAGCGAGACTCTGTCTAAAAAAACAGAGAGATTTATGGCACTTTGTGACAGTGTCATACATTTTAGGTCATCATGGGTTTGCATTTTTCTCCATTTGGCTTCAGCTGCCTGAGTGCAAGTGAAGAGTGAGCCATTAGTGGTATTTTCACTGGGGCCAGCATTGTACCTCAAGTACAACAGAAAGAAAGGAGCATGTGAGTTGAGGGTGTAAGCCAGAGGTTAATTATAATAATGCACTGTGGAACCCAAGGGGGTTGCCAAGGGGGGCAGAGGGCAAAGCGCCAAGGAAATGGATTACAAGCCCCAGTGGGGTTGGAGGGGCCACTCTGGCATCGGTGAAGGAGGGAATGAGCTGCAAAGACAGATGGTGGAGGTGCAGAGTGGGAAGCTCAGATTTCTCCTCTCAGAGGACAGCAGTCAGGCTGCACTTTAGCCTGGGTGACCCTGTCTTTCAGAAAAGCCTAGCAGGTTAGGCTCTGGTAAAATAGTTTCTCCTGAGGGCTGGCCTTGTTGAGAACAGAATGCTCGGGTATTTCAGAATGGAGACTTTCCCTTCCCCCTGCCAGAAGCACAGGGGATTTTTCTTCAGCCTTCATTGTGAGGACCTGGTAGAGCTCTGGGAGGTAAATTCAAAGGAGTGTGTGGGACTCTTTTCTGAATGGCTCCCCCTGAAGTTTTTAACTCTCAGGCTTCTCCACGCTGAACCTTCAGCAATCCATCCACTGCAGTTCAAGTTTTCCTGTCCTGGAGCTGATTCCTGGGGAGATTTTTGTTTGTGGGTTTCTGCTCTATTAAGTTGTGGTTTTCCATAACTGCCTGTTTGTCTCTTCAATTCTGGGGACAGTGGTTTTCCCTGTGACTTCACTTCTCTGAGAGATCTAAAAGGAGCTGTTGATTTTTCAGTTTGTTCAGCTTTTTACTTGTTATAACAGAGCGTGACTTCTAATCCCTTACATGTCAGGCCAGAAACTGTTATAAACTTTAACTCAATAAAAATATACCAAGGCCAAGCTTGGTGGCTCACACCTGTAATCTCAGCACTTTGGGAGGCTGAGGCGGGCGGATCACGAGGTCAGGAGATCGAGACCATCCCGGCTAACACGGTGAAGCCCCGTTTCTACTAAAAATACAAAAAATTAGCCGGGTGTGGTGGCGGGCGCCTGTAGTCCCAGCTACTTGGGAGGCTGAGGCAGGAGACTGGCATGAACCCGGGAGGCAGAGCTTGCAGTGAGCCGAGATCACACCACTGCACTCCAGCCTAGGCGACAGAGCAAGACTCTGTCTCAAAAAAAAAAAAAAAGAAAAAAAAAAGAACTGACCATGTCTAAGAATTGCGAAAAGGGGTAGAGATTCAGCTACACACTGAAGTTAGAGCAACAAAAAAGCGACAGCATGATTGGCAGGTGTTGTTGTGGACTCTGGGCAAATTGGAGCACTCACACTTCCAGCACATGCACCAATTCAGGCAAAAACCAAAAATATGTTATTTTAAAATTTTAATTTTTGCATAGTGAGAACAAAATCTGAAAATGTCTCTACAATTAGTTTATCAACCCTGAAACAAGAAAGTGACAAGTCTGATGTCACTGGATGTGAGTCATGGAGGACACATTGGTAATTCCTCCCCTTTCTTCTATTTTTCTATTTGTGCTAGATTTGAATGTTTTTGTCCCTTCCAAAATTCATTAGACTAAAGTGAATTTTAGTCTCCTATGCAACACTATTAAGAGGAGCACCCTTTTGGAGGGGACTGGGTCATGAGAGCAAACCCTCATGAATGGGATCGGGTGCCCCTACCAAAGGGCTTGTTGGAGGGAGTTTACTCCTTTTTTCACCCTGAATGAGTCATTAAGGGCAATTGGAGTAAGGGCTCAGAAGCAGAGGAGAGTTGTAGAGAAAGCTTCAGTCTCAGAGATTACTGAAGTGATTGTGAAGAAAATGTTGGTTGAAATATGGACAATAAAGGTCATTCTGATGAGGTCTTAGGTGGAAATGAGGAATATCTTGTTGGAAACTACAAGAAAGGTCATATGTTCAAAAGTGGCAAAGAACCTGTCTGAATTATGTTCATGTTCTAGTACTTTGTAGAAGGCAGAATTTAAGAGTGATGAACTTGGCCGGGCACGTAACCCCAGCACTTTGGGAGTCTGAGGCAGGTGGATCACTAGGTCAGGAGTTCAAGTCCAGCCTGGCCAACATGGTAAAACCCCATCTCTACTAAAAATACAAAAATTAGCCGGGCATGGTGGTGGGCACCTGTAATCCCAGCTACTTCAGAGGCTGAGGCAGGAGAATCGCTTGAACCCCAGGAGGCGGAGGTTGCAGTGAGCTGAGATCATGCCACTGCACTCCAGCCTGGGTGACAGAGTGAGACTCCATCTCAAAAAAAAAACAAAACAAAAAAAAAAAAAGAGTGGCGAACTTGGCTGGGCACAGCGGCTCATGCCTGTAATCCTAGCACTTTGGGAGGTTGAGGAGGGTGGATCACTTGAGGTCAGGAGTTTGAGACTCAGCCTGGCCAACATGGCAAAACCCCACCTTTACTAAAAATACAAAACTTAGCCAGGTGTAGTAACCCCGGCTACTAGGAAGG
Organism: Homo sapiens; assembly: GCF_000001405.40. Taxonomy (NCBI): domain Eukaryota; kingdom Metazoa; phylum Chordata; class Mammalia; order Primates; family Hominidae; genus Homo; species Homo sapiens. The sequence goes on along the minus strand of NC_000010.11, from coordinate 35,269,435 downwards.
GTGAGGCAGGAGAATCGCTTGAACCCAGGAGGTGGAGGTTGCAGTGAGCCAAGATTTTGCCACTGCACTCCAGCCTGGGCAACAGAGTGAGACTCTGTCTCAAAAAACAAAAAAGAAAGCAAGAAAGCAGGAAGGAAGGAAGGAAGGAAGGAAGGAAGGAAGGAAGTAGATTATTTGGCAAAGAAAATCTCTAAGCAGTGTTCAGTGTGCCGCATGGCTGCTTTTAACTGCTTATAGTAAAATGCCAGAAGGAAGAATCAGTTAAAGAGAAAATCTATCATCAAAAGGGAGGCAGTATGTAAAAATGTGGAAAATTTTCAGCCTGGCCACATAAATCTTTAAAAAGTATTCTTAAGGATAGAAAACTGAGGGTGTGGCCAAGTGACTGTTTGATAAGGAGATAAGTACGCATAGAAGGAAGCCAGATGCTGTTCATGAAGATAATGGGAGAATCACCTTAGAGGCATTCCAGAGATCTCCAGGGCTACCAGGCCCTTCACAGGCCCACAGTGCTAGGCCCTTGAGGGCAGAATGGCAAAGGAGGGGCCCCAGGAGCCCTTGAGACCGCTGGGCTTGCTGCCTCCCCGCATTCTGGCCCAGTGCTGCTTGGTCACTCTGGCTGTGCCTCCAGCAGGCCCAGGTATGGCTCAGGCCACTGCTGTGAAGTTCAGGCCATAAACCTTGGTGGCACTCATGTAGTGCTAACTCTGTAGGCAAGCAGAATGCAAGGGCTGTACAGGCTGGCCATCTCCACCTAGATTTCAAAGGATGCCTCAGAGAGCCTTGGGGCCAGGCAAAGGACTGCCACAGGGAAGGGGTCACTGCAGAGAGCCCTGGCTAGAATGCTTAGTGGAGCTGTGGGAACAGGGCTACCTCAAGACCCTAGACTTGTGGGGCCACCAGCACACAATACCAGCTTGGGAGAGCCCCAGGAACACAACACAAACCTGTAAGAGCTGTGGTATACACTGTGCTCAGCAAAACCACGGGGGCAGGGAAGCCTCAGGGACCCAACCACAGCCATGTGGGACACGAGGCAAAGATTGTATTCAAGCCTTAAGATTGAATGTTGTTTGTCGTTGTTGGTAGAGACAGAGTTTCACCATGTTGGCCAGGCTGTTCTCGAACTCCTGACCTCAAGTGACCCACCTGCCTCAGCCTCCAAAAGTGTTGGGATTATAGGTGTGAGCCACCGCACCTGGCATTTAAATTCTTTTACACCAAGAAGATAAGAACCAAGGGGCCCTGCACAGTGGCTCACGCCTGTAATCCCAGCATTTTGGGAGGCCAAGGCAGGCAGATCACTTGAGGCCAGGAGTTCGAGACCAACCTAAAAATACAAAATTAGCCGGGTGTAGTGGCGCATGCTTATAATCCCAGCTACTTGGGAGGCTGAGGCAGGAGAATCCCTTGAGCCTGGGAGGCGCAGGCTGCAGTGAGCCAGCCAAGATTGCATCACTGCACTCCAGTCTGGTCATGAGACTCTGTCTCAAAAAAAAAGGAAAAAAGAAGATAAGAACTGAAGTATCACATCAGCCATCAACAACACCCCATCTCAAAAATAATTCTTACTTTTTCAGCTATGGGTTAACCCATCAGTTTTTTCAACTTAGTAAATCAGTGACTTTATTCCACCGCTCAGCTATTTACCCGACATTGCACAACTCAAGCAGGAACATGTAAGGAACAAAAGGGCAGCACTCGTGCCCACACTGTCCTTTTTATTAGTTTCTTTGGTTTTTCATCCTGGGAATCGATACTTGGAAGCAGTGTTTTCTGTCACAAGAGGGAGCAACCAGGGCCCCATCGTCTTCCTTTTACATCTATATCATTGTCAGAACCTCTCCTCTGGCTTCCTGCCAGACTCAGACCAAATCTACCCCCATGCCCACCACCATGGACATGTTGGACTGTCAGCTGTGTATCCCAGCAGAACGGGGTGACAGCTCCACGCTGGGCTCTTTAGCCTGTTCCTCATTTGGCAACAAAAGAATGAGCCAGCCCCAGAGTGTTTGAGCATGTCAACAGGAAGGAGAATTGGAGAAGAAAGAGGCCCACCAGGGAAGAAGCTTCCCACAAAAGCCCGAGGATGAGGCTGGAATTATCCTCTTTTTTTTTTTTTTTCTAAGTGATGGGATCTCTCTCTGTTGCCCAGGCTGGAGTAGGATGGCACAATGATAGCTCACTGCAACCGCAAACTCCTGGGCTCAAGTGATCCCCCCAACTCAGCCTCCCAAAGCGGAGGGATTACAGGAGCACCACTCTGCACCCGTCCTGGAATGACTCTCTTATGGAAAGAGCTGTTCTATGTGCCCTCATTACCCACAGTAGGTCATTTTTTTTTTTTTTTTTGAGACAGAAGTCTCACTCTTATCCACCAGGCTGGAGTGCAATGGCACGATCTCAGCTCACTGCACCCTCCGCCTCCCAGGTACAAGCGATTCTCCTGCCTCAGCCTCCTGAGTAGCTGGGATTACATGTGCCTGCCACCACACAGCTAATGTTTGTATTTTTAGTAGAGACAGGGTTTCACCGTGTTGGCCAGGCTGGTCTCGAACTCCTGATCTCAGGAGATCCACCTGCCTCGGCCTTCCAAAGTGCTGGGATTACAGGTGTGAGCCACCGCACCCGGCGACAGTAGGTCATCTTTCAAGGAGAGCCCTAGAAAGTGGAATGAATTACATTCAAATCAGGTCAACACTTTCTAAATCTATACAAGTAAAAAATAAGAACGCTTAATGACACCCTTCCTGATGCTAACGATTCCCCCCGCATCACCCACTGTAGGGCTATCTCTGTGACCGACATTGCATTAGGGCTCTTGTTACATTCTGTTCGGTTCGTTTATGGTTAATGAGAAGTATTTTCATTGCAGCACAGGAGGATCCTCTATATGGGGAAGTAATAGAACAGGAGAAATGTGTGCCTGTGTCCACGCGTGAGAGAGAGAATGTTTTAAATCAGTCTGCTACATGGAATTCCTCCACCAAGTGATCAAAAAATCATGCTACATTTCTCACTTCAGAAGTTATCTGGGGCCAGGGGTGGTGGCTCACGCCTGTAATTCCAGCACTTTGGGAGGCCAAAGCTGGTAGATCACCTGAGGTCAGGAGTTTGAGACCAGCCTGACCAACATAGTGAAACCCCATCTCTACTAAAAATACAAAAAAAAAAAAAAAAAAAAAAGGAAATTAGCCGGGCATGGTAGCGCATGCCTGTAATCCCAGCTACTCGGGAGGCTGAGACAGGAGAATTGCTTGAACCTGGGAGGTGGAGGTTGTAGTGAGCCGAGATTGTACCACTGCACTCCAGCCTGGGGGACAGAGCAAGACTCCATCTCAAAAAATAATAATAGTAAATAAAAAAAGAGAAGTTTCCTGGAGATACATGTAAATTCTTTTCTGTCATCTTTTATTCTTCATAACAACCCAGGGATGGCTTATGTCATTTAGAATTTTAAATTTTCAAATAATTGTGCTTGTAGAATGTAAAGAGTGGGGCTGGCTTCTGCTGTGTGACCCACAGCCTCTCCCGGTGGCCTGCAGGTGTGACTCTGACAGCGTGGGAGGCAGCAAGCATGCCAGTGACACGCTGGTGGGCTTCATATCTGCCCCACCTTGGCCAACCCACTAGACCTTCTTCTATGCTCCTCTCAGAAGCTATGTGCTTTGGAGAGCCATTCCCTGAAAAGCCCCCTTCTCCTTAACCACTAAGGAAACTTCACATATAAGGCAACCCGTGCCCTGCTTCAGTGACAGGACGCCTGTGTGCATCCTCAGCTCCTCATTCAAAGCCGGCCGGGAGCGGCACCTTCAGGCGCTTGGCGTGGGCCTCTCGCTGCTGTCTCCCCCAGCTCTCAACGCTGGCTGCACGGTCAAGACCTAGCGCACAGGGCTCACTGCAGGCAAGAGGCCTCCACAGAAGTAACTGATTTATGCACCAAAGTTGCAAAGTGAAGTTTAATAAATGACAGTGGAAAGGCCCAGAAATTCACAACTAAAACAACTGTAGAAACCCTAATCTCCACCCATAAACATACACATCATTATTTGTCAAGTTAAAAAGAACACTAATCTTCAGCTTTCTTCTTTATTTATCTAATTTGTTTTCCTTTGACAAGGAAAGAATGAGATTAGTACGTAAGATGCCGGAATTATTTCTTCACATTATGTCCATCGCAATAGGTCACCAGTCTACTAATACCCTCAGCCTATTCCTAGTCGTTTGATTGTGAAGATTTTCATTGTAGGCAGTCCCCAAATATTTCATCATCATTTGTTAAAAGTAGAGACACAAGGATTCTCTTGCTATCATCCCTCCCCCTTTAAGAAATTAAGAGTGCAGAGCAAAATGAACTATCATCAGAGTGAAGAGATAACCTACAGAATGGGAGAAAATTTTCCCAACCTATCCATCTGACAGTGGTCTAATATCCAGAGTCTACAAGGAACTTAAATTTACAAGAAAAAACAAAAACAAAAACACCACCACTAAAAACTGGGCAAAAGGCCGGGCGCGGTGGCTCAGGCCTGTAATCCCAGCACTTTGGGAAGCCAAGGTGGGTGGATCACCTGAGGTCAGGAGTTTGAGACCAGCCTGGCGAACTTGGCGAAATTAGCCAGGTGTGGTAGTGGGCACCTGTTATCCCAGCTACTTAGGAGGCTGAGACAGGAGAATCACTTGAACCTGGGAGGCTGAGGTTGCAGTGACCCGAGATCACGCCACTGCACTCCAGCATGGGTGACAGAATGAGACTCTGGCTCAAAAACAAAACAAAACAAAACAAAAAACTGGGCAAAGGACCTGAACAGACACTGCTCAAAAGATATACATGTGGCCAACAAACATATGAAAAAAAAATCAACAATACTGATCATTAGAGAAATGCAAATCAAAACTACAATGAGATACCATCTCATACCAGTCAGAGTGGCTATTATTAAAATGTCAAAAAACAACAGATGCTGGTGAAGTTGCAGAGAAAAAAGAACTTTGTTACACTGTTGGTGGGAATGTATATTAGTTCAACCATTGTGGAAGACAGTGTGGTGATTCTCAAAGACCTAGAGGCAGAAATACCATTTGACCTGACGAGTTAATGGGTGCAGCACACCAACATGGCACATGTATACATATGTAACAAACCTGCACATTGTGCACATGTACCCTAAAACTTAAAGTATAATAATAAAATAAAAAAAAAGAAAGAAATACCATTTGACCCAGCAATCCCATCACTGGGTATATACCCAAAGGAATATAAATCATTCTATTATAAAGATACGTGCCACACATATGTTCACTACAGGACTATTCACAATATCAAAGACATGGAATCAACCTAAATGCCCATCAGTGATAGACTGGATAAAGAAAATGTGGTACATAGACACCATGGAATACTATGCAGCCATAAAAAGCAATGAGATCATGTCCTTTGCGGGGACATGGATAGAGTTGGAAGCCATTCCTCAGCAAACTAACGTAGCATCAGAAAACCAAAACTCCACATGTTCTCACTTAGAAGAGGGAGCTGAATGATGAGAACACATGGACACATTGGGAGGAACAACACACACTAGGGCCTGTTGGGGGAGTAGGAAAAGCATCAGGAAGAATAGCTAATGGGCGCTGACCTTAATACCTAGGCCATGGGATGATCTGTGCAGCAAACAACCATGGCACGTGTTTACCTATGTAACAAATCTGCACATCCTGCACATGTATCCCGGAACTTAAAATAAAAATTGAATAAAAATATATACATATAAATAATTTAAAAAAGAAAGTAAAAATGTCTTTAATGATGTATTTTACCTTTTGCTTTCCTTCTGTCCCTTTCCTTTCCTCTCTCCTCCCCTCCCCTTTTTCTTTATTTTATTTTATTTTATTTTAAGACAGGGTCTTTGCTCTGCCACTGAGGCTGGAGTACGGTGACACCATCATAGCTCACTGCAGCCTTGAACTCCTTGGCTAAAGCAATCCTCCTACCTCAGCCTCCCGAGTAGCTGGGACTACAGGCACGTGCCACCACACTCAGCTAATTTTTAATTTTTTTTTTTTTTTTTTTTTTTTTTTTGAGACGGAGTCTCACTCTGTCATCCAGGCTGGAGTGCAGTGGCGCGATCTCGGCTCACTGCAAGCTCCACCTCCTGGGTTCACACCATTCTCCTGCCTCAGCCTCCTGAGTAGCTGGGACCACAGGAGCCCGCCACCACGCCTGGCTAATTTGTTGTATTTTTTAATAGAGACGGGGTTTCACCATGTTAGCCAGGATGGCCTCGATCCCCTAACCTCGTGATCCACCCACCTCGCCCTCCCAAAGTGCTGGTATTACAGGCGTGAGCCACCGTGCCCGGCTAATTTTTAAATTTTTTGTAGAGACAGGGTCTCATTATATTGCTCAGTCAGGCTGGTCTTGAACTCCTGGGCTCAAGTGATCCTCCTGCCTTGGCCTCACAAAGTGCTGAGATTACAGGTATGAGCCACCACACGTGACCTTTTTTTTTTCCTTTTAGAACACTGTTCTTAGAGTGAGAATTTTTTTCATGTTTCATTTCTTCCATATTTTCTCAAGTTATGGATTGAGTCAAGGTACTTTAAAACTCTTCCGAGAAAAGACTGGTTAAGAGAAGCCTAAGGTCAGTATAATGTTTCTTCAAGATGCTTTCTAGAGAATCTAAAGGAAAGTCAATACCAGGATAATCCAAACTTTTAGACTCCCCAGTCCCAATATCAATCAATGATATAATTAGTTTATAATTGACTCATGCTGGCCAGTCATGGCGACTCACCCCTGTAATCCTAGCACTTTGGGAGGCCGAAGTGGATGCATCACATGAGGTCAGGAGTTCTAGACCAGCCTAACCAATATGGTGAAACCCCATCTCTATTAAAAAACATAAACAAATAAGCCAGGTGTGGTGGCGTGCACCTGTAGTCCCAGCTACTCGGGAGGCAGAGACAAGAGAATTGCTTGAACCCAGGAGTCAGAGGTTGCAGTGAGCTGAGATTGTACCACTGCACTCTAGCCTGGGCAACAGAGTGAGACTGTATCTCAAATAAAATAAAATAAAATAAAATAAAATAAAATAAAATAAAATAAAATAAAATGACTCATGTTGACCTTCTGTGTGACACTCATACTATTCAATTCTTTTTTTTTTTTTTTTTTTTTTGAGACAGAGTTTCTGTTGTCCAGGTGGGAGTGCAGAGGTGCCATCTTGGCTCACTGCAGCCTCCGCCTCCTGGGTTCAAGAGATTCTTCTGTTTCAGCTTCCCAAGTAGCTGGGACTACAGGCATGCACCACCATGCCCAGGTAATTTTTGTATTTTTAGTAGAGATGAGGTTTTGCCATGTTGCCCAGGCTGTCTCGAACTCCTGATCTCTCTTTTTATTTTATTTTATTTTTTTGAGATGAAGTTTCACTCTTTTTGACCAGGCTGGAGTGCAATGGTACCATCTCAGCTCACTGCAACCTCCACCTCCCTGGTTCAAGTAATTCTCTTGCCTTAGCCTCCCAAGTAGCTGGGATTACAGGCACGCACCACCATGCCTGGCTAATTTTTGTGTTTTTAGTAGAGACGGGGTTTTGCCATTTTGGCCAGGCTGGTCTTGAACTCCTGACCTCAGGTGATCTGCCTGCATTGGCCTCCCAAAGTTCTGGGATTACAGGCATGAGCCACTGTGCCTGGCCTATTCAGTTATCTATATTCCGTTAAATTTTTTTAGAGATTGGGTCTCCCTTTGTCACCCAAGCTGGAATACAACAGCATCATGGTGGCTCACTGTAGCCTCGACCTCCTGGGATCAAGCAATCCTCCTGCTTCAGCCTCCTGAGTAGTTAAGACTACAGGCATGAGCCACCAAGCCTGGTTAATTTTTTAAATTTTTTGTAGGCCAGGTGTGGTGGCTCATGCCTGTAATCTCAGCACTTTGGGAGGCCAAGGTGGGCAGATCACCTGAGGTCAGGAGTTTGAGACCAGCCTGGCCAACATGGCAAAACCCTGTCTCTACTAAAAATACAAAAATTAGCCAAGAGTGTTAGCATACGCCTGTAATCTCAGCTTCTTGGGAAGCTGAGGCAGCAAAATCGCTTGAACCCAGAAGGCGGAGGTTGCTGTGAGCTGAGATCGCACCAGGCTGCACTCCAGCCTCGGCGACAGAGACTCCCTCTCAAAAAAAAAAAAAAAAAATTTTTTTTTTTTTTAGAGACAGGGTCTTGCTATGTTGTCCAGGCTGGTCTCAAACTGCTGACCTCAAGCGATCCTCCTTCCTCAACCTGCCAAAGCTATTCAGTTTTGTTTTGTTTTCTTTTGTTTTTTTAAGGCAGATTATTGCTCTGTCACCTAGGCGGAGTGCAGTAGCACAATCACGGCTCACTGTGGCCTCAACTTCCTGGGCTCAAGTGATCCTCCCACTTTGGCCTCCCATGTAGCCAGGACCACAGGTGTGCACCACCATGCCCAGCTCATTGTTTTATTTTTTGTAGAGACGGGGTCTCACAAGGTTGCCGTGGCTGGTTTTGAACTTCTGGCTTTGAGCAATCTTCCTGCCCAAGTTTTGGGATTATAGATTTGAGCCACAGAACCGGGGCCACTGTTCACACACTTAACACACCAAGCCTTGCAGGAACTGCCACGATCTTTAAATGGAACTATCAGCTTCTAATGTAACTCAAGGATCCCAAAAGTCCCTTCCATTAGGCATTGGTCAGGATTTGGATGTGGAGAAGAGAAATTATGTCCTGGTGACAGTCCCTGCCTGGCAATGTTAACTGGGCAGTTATTCTAAACCACATCAAATGACCTGATTGACCTCAGATGGGGCACAGGCGCTTACATTCTTCTAAAATTTCCCAGGCAATTTTCATGCACAGCCAGCATTTAAAACTCTTTTCTTAGGGTGAAACCCATATCTTAGTTTGCCAACTGGATGCTTTCTCAACTTCCCAGATCCCTGATCGGGGTCCCAGATTTGACATACTATTGCAATTCTGGGAGGGGAGGGGAGTGGTGGGAGTGACGGGAATGATGGTGTCAGCCCAGTCGGCCCCTGGCAGGATGGGTGCAATAGTGGGAGCAGGGGCAGCCTTGCAGAGGTAGGCTCTTACATACAGCATTTGGTCTGTGCTTTAACCCAAATGTAAGTCCCATGATTCAAGAGTCTTTTCTCCCTGTGGTCCTGTCTGACTCAGACTCTGAGAAGAGCTGGCAGGAATGAGTTCATCAAATGCCTTGGTCATGATAGGAAGGATGAGGTAGCATGATACCACAAGAGGCATGGGGGAGAGGAGAAAAGAGAGAAAAGAGAGCACCGGAAAAGAACAGAAAAAGGCACTGAAGGTGGAAGTAGAAAGACAAAGCATGAACAGGATCAAATTCTTAGTCCCAACATAGAGATTGCCGTGCTTTCTCTGGCCCTGGTAGTTTTGCTTTCTTCCTGGGACATTAGTATAATAGAAAATGGCTGTAAGAGTTTGAAGAGCAAGTGATTTTCTGAGCCAATGGGATGCCCCAGGGTCCCTTTAAAAAAAAAAAAAAGTATGTTGTTTGATTATGCATAAAATTTCCTTAAGAAGAGCCCACATTTTCTTTTCTACATTAAAAAAAAAATAGGACTGGGGCTGGGTCCAGTGGCTCAAGCCTGTAATCCCAGCACTTTGGGAGGCCGAGGCAGGCGGATCACTTGAGGCCAGGAGTTCGAGAACAGCCTGGCCAACATGGCCAAACCTCGTCTCTAAAAAAAAAAAAAAAAAAAAAACAATTAGCCAGGCATGATGGTGTGTGTCTGTAATCCCAGCTACTTGGAAGGCTGAGGCAGGAGAATCACTTGAACCCAGGAGGTGGAGGTTGCAGTGAGCCAAGATCATGCCACTGCACTCCAGCCTGGGTGACAGAGCAAGACTCTGTCTCAAAAAAAAAAAAAAAAAAAAAAAAACAACCAGGACTGGGTGTGGTGGTTTATGCCGATAATCCCAGCACTTTGTGAAGCTTGAGCCCAGGAGTTCAAGACCAGCTTGGGCAACATAGTGAGATCCCATCTCTACAGAAAATTTAAAAACCAGCCAAGCATGGTGGTGCACTCCTAGCTACTCAAGAGGCTGAGGTGGGAGGATCACTTGACCCTAGGAAGTCAAGGCCACAGTGAATAAATAAGGCTGAAAATAAAACCCCACCCAAGGAAAAATAACAAGATTTAAAGCTATACTTTCAAACAAAGGCCTGGACAGAGGATTCTGGAAAGATGATCGAATAGGAAGCACCAAGAATCGGTCTCCCTATCTAGATAACAATTACCCGGGCAGAATCTCTTTGTCATAACTGTTTTAGAACTCTGGAATCTATTGAAGACTTGCAGCTTTCAGCAGAATGACTTAGATGGTAAATTGTGGTTAATTTTGGTCAATTTCAGCTCTTGGTGCGGTAGCAGCTACCCTTTTCCTCACCACCTTTCCCCACGGCAGGCAGCAGTGCATGTGTTTCCTTTTTTTTTTTTTTTTAAGACAGTCTCTCTCTGTCACCCAGGCTGGAGTGCAGTGGCTCGATCTCGGCTCACTGCAAACTCCGCCTCCCAGGTTCAATCATTCTCCTGCCTCAGCCTCCCCAAGTAGCTGGGACTACAGGCTCATGCCACCACACTCAGCTTATTTTTGTATTTTTAGTAGAGACAGGGTTTCACTCTGTTGGCCAGGCTGGTCTTGAACTCCTGACCTCATGATCCGCCCACCTCGGCCTCCCAAAGTGCTGGGAAAGGCGTGAGCCACTGTACCCCACATGTGTTTCTAAGGCAGATTGAACCAACTTGCAGGAGCCAGGGTCGGCAAAGAAGCCCTATCCTCCAACTATTAGGAATCTCCACAAATATCAGAATCACTGGTTGCTGCTTTTGATTACAGAGGCAAAAAGAAGCAGGTGGATGATTTTGTTGCACCTCTGTCATTGTGGCAAGACCCTCCTCCTCTGGAAATGAAGGGCCAGCACTCTTCCCCCACCTTCATTTTTTCTTTCTTTCCCCCTTGGGAGTCAGATACTAAAGTCTGGGATAGTCAAAAGCAACTGCATATACAGGGAAAATTAGGAAGTACTCACACCTGCCCAGGGAAAGGCACAGGCTCAGAAGAGGCCTCAGAAGACATCAGCTTTTCACCTCAGCCTGACTTCTTGTCACAAAGGCAGTTGTTAACAATAACAACAATAAACAAAAACCATAACAAAGAACAGCAAACTCTGAGAATCTGATTTCCAGAGTTACTGTGTTTTATTTATTTATTTAGAGACAGAGTCTCACTCTGTCGCCCAGGCTGGAGTGCAGTGGCACGATTTTGGCTCACTGCAACCTCTGCCTCCCAAAGAAACAAAAAAATTCTAGAGCTGAAAAGCACAATAAAATGAAAAATTCACTAGAGGGATTCAAAGGCAGATTTGAGCAGGCAGAAGGAGGAGTCAGTAAAGTTAAAGAAAAGACAGTGGAAATTATTGAGTCTAAGGAACAGAAGGAAAAAAGATTGAAGAAAAGTAAACAGAATCTAAGGGACTTGTGGGACACCACCAAGTAGACCAACATACATATTATGGAAGTCTAATCCCAGAAGAAGAAGGGGAAAGCCAAGAGAATATTCAAAGAAGTAATGGCTGAAAACATCCCAAACTTGATGAAAGATATGAATATAAACATCCAAGAAGCTCGATAAACTCCAGGTAAGATAAACTCAAAGACTCACACCAAGACACATTAGAATCAGACTTTTGAGAGACAAAGAGAAAATCTTGAGAGCAGCAAGAGGGAAGGGGTTCATCACATACAAGGGTCTCTCAATAAGACTGTCAGCACATTTCTCCCAGAGACTCTGCAGGCCAGAAGACAGTGAGCCAAGGTATGCAAAGTGCTAAAAGAAAACAAAACAAACAACAGCAAGAATCTTGCATTTGGCTTAACAGTTCTTCAAAAGTGAGGGAGAAATTAAGACCTTCCCAGATAAAAAATGAGGGAGAGCCAGGTGTAGTGGTGTGTGCCTGCAATCCTGGTTGCTCAGGAGACTGAGGAGAGAGGATCACCCGAGCCCAGGAGTCTGAGACCAGCCTGAGTAACATAGCGAGATCCTGTCTCAAAAAAAAAAACAGAAAGAAAGAGAGAGAAAGAGAGAGAGAAAGAAAGGAAAAAAAGAAAGGGAGAAAGAGAGAGAGAAAGAAAGAGGAAGGAAGGGAGGGAGGGAGGGAGGAGAAAAGAAAAGAAAAAAGAAAAGAAAGAGAGAATTACCACTAGACCTGCCCCACAATAAATGCTCAAGAAAGTCATACAGTGTGAAATGTAAGGACATTAGGCAGTAACTGGAAGCCATATGGAGAAACAAAGATTTCAATAAAGGTAAATACATGGGCCATTATACAAGGTGGTATTATTGTAACAAGGGTTTTTAACTTCACTTTTTGTTTTCTATATGATAGACTATATGATAGTCTCTTAAGAGACTAATACATTTTTAAAAATTAGTCAAAAATCTAGTATTATTATAACTTTGAGTTGTAATTCCACATTTTGTTTTTTACTTTTAAGACACAAATGCACTTAAAATAATTATTAGTTTATGGCTTGGGGCAGCACATTATAAACATGTAATTTCGTGACACCAACAATCAAGAGGAGTGAGGACCTAGCTATAAAGGAGTGGAATTTTTTTTTTTTTTTTTTAATGTTTTATTTTTGAGACAGAGTCTCTCTCTGTCGCCCAGGCTGGAGTTCAGTGGCACGATCTCAGCTCACTGCAACCTCCGCCTCCTGGGTTCAAGCAGTTCTCTGCCTCAGCCTCCCTAGTAGCTGGGATTACAGGCACCCGCCACCACACCCAGCTAATTTTTGTATTTTTAGTAGAGATGGGGTTTCACCATCCTGGCCAGGCTGGTCTTGAACTCCTGACCTTGTGATCCAGCCACCTTGACCCCCCAGAGTGCTGGAATTACAGGTGTGAGCCACCGCCCAGCCTTGTATGTTAAGTTAAAGTGGTATAAATCCAAATTAGAATTTTATAACTTTAGGAAGTTAAATGCGATCTCCATGGTAACCAGAGAAAATAGTTGCAGATATACACACAACGAAATGAGAAATTAACTTAGATGTTCCACTATAAAAAAATCAAGTAAACACAAAAGATAGTAAGGCAGGAAGCATGGGACAAAAAAGTTATAAGGCATATAGAAAAAAATAGCAAAATGACAGAAAACCCACCTTATCAGTGATCTCTTTAAATGTAAATGAATTAAATTCTCCAATCAAAAATCAGAGATTAGCAGCATAGATAAAGCACCTGATCCACTTATATGCTATCTTCAGATGATTTTTATTAGATCCAAAGACACAATCCGTTGGAAGTGAAAAAATGGAAAAAGATATTCCATGCAAATAGTAAGTAAAATAGGACAGGGATGGCTATACTAATATTAGACAAAATAGACTTTAAATTTTTTAAAGTTACAATTGACAAAGAAAGACATTATAGATTAATAAAAAGGTTCAGTACAGCAAGAAGATTTAATAATTATATGGCTGGAGGCAGTGGCTCACACCTGTAATCCCAGTATTTTGGGAGGCTGAGGTGGTCAAATCGCTTGAGCCCAGGAGTTCGAGACCGGTCTGGGCAACATGGTGAAATCCCATCTCTACAAAATTTTTAAAAATTAGCCAGGCATGGTGGCACATGCATGTGGTCCCAGCTACTTGAGAGGCTGAGGTGGGAGGATCACTTGAGCCCAGGAGGTTGAGGCCACAGTAAGCCTTAATCATGCCACTGCACTCCAGCCTGGGCGGCAGAGAGAGAACTTCTCTGAAAATTATAAACATTTGTTGGGTGTGGTGGCTCATGCCTGTAATCTCAGCACTTTGGGAGACCGAGGCAGGTGGATCACCTGAGGTCAGAAGTTCAAGACCAGCCTGACCAATATGATAAAACCCCATCTCACTAAAACAATGCGGAAATTAGCCAGGCATGGTGGTGTGTGCCTATAGTCCCAGAATCGCTTGAACCTGGGAGGTGGAGGTTGAAATGAGCCGAGATCGTGCCACTTCACTCCAGACTGGGTGACAGAGCGGGACTCTGTCTCAAAAAAAAAAAAAGAAAAAAATTATAAATATCTATGCACCTCACAGACCATCAAAATATGTAAAGCACAAACTAATAGACTTGAAGGGAGAAATAAACAGTTCTAGGATAACAGTTGTAGACTTTAATGCCCCACTGTCAATAATGGATAGAACAACCAGACAGAAGATAAGTAAGGAAATAGACGATTTAACAAAATAAACCAACTGTCTGTCTATTAGACATATACAGTTATATACATAGAACAGTTATATACATAGAACAGTCTACCCAGCAACAACAGGATACACACTCTTCTCAGGTGTACATGGAAAGTTACCCAGGGTAGACCCTTTGTTAGGCCACAACCCAACAGTCGATTGTTTAAAATATCATACAACGTATCCTCTCTGACCACAATGGAATAAAGGTAGGAATCAATTACAGAAATAAAACTGGAAAATTCATAGAAATTAAACAACACACCTTTTTTTTTCTTTTTTTCTTTCCTTTTTTTTTTTTTTTTTTTTGAGACAGGGTCTCACTCTTTCCCCCAGACTGGAGTGCAGTGGCACGATCACAGCTCACTGCAGCCTTAACCTCCCTGGGGGCTCAGGTGATCCTCCCACATCAACCTCCCGAGTAGCTGGGACTACAGGCTCAGTCCACCATGTCTGGCTAATTTTTGTATTTTTTTGTAGAGACAGGGTCTTGCCATGTTGTCCAGGCTGGTCTTGAACTCCTGGGCTCAAGCAATCCACTGGCCTCCCAAAGTGCTGAGACTACAGGCATGAGTCACTGCACCCAGCCTAATTATTTTATCATCAAATTAGATGACAAGGAATTATGTGCTAAAGAAAAAAATAACATGTAATAGGTCAGCATTACCAGACTAGGCATTCATCACACTATTCTCAACTCACAGGAAAGCAACCGGTCAGAAAAATTAGGAAATTTCAGAAAGAATATCTCATTACAGCATAATTTTTTTCACTAAAACAGAAAATAAAAATGAAGCTGCAGCCAAAATAAATTTCCAAATGGCTCATTTGTTAGGCAAGCAAACACATTTACTGATGGTGAATTAATTAAATCATATTTAATTTCAGAAGCCAAAGAAATGTGTCCAGAGAAAATAAACTAGTATAAGACTATTCACTTTTCGGTAAAAAACAGTCACTCAAGGCCGGGCGCGGTGGCTCATGCCTGTAATCCCAGCACTTTGGGAGGCTGAGGCCGGCGGATCACAAGGTTAGGAGATCGAGACCATCCTGGTTAATACGGTGAAACCCCATCTCTACTAAAAAATACAAAAAAATTAGCTGGGCATGGTGGCGGGCGCCCGTAGTCCCAGCTACTCAGGAGGCTGAGGCAGGAGAATGGCGTGAACCCGGGAGGCAGAGGTTGCAGTGAGCCGAGATCACACCACTACACTCCAGCCTGGGCGACAGAGTGAGACTCCGTCTCAAAAAAAAAAAAAAAAAAACAGTTGCTCAAACAGTTGAGGATATTGAGAGCAACATCAATAGCCAATTTTAAAACAATGCAAATGATTTTGAGTGATTTTCCTTGGCTTCTAATGACTCAACAGGTATTTCCAACACTATTCAGTTGTTGTTTATTCAAGGAGTCAATGCCTGGTTTGAGTCACTGAATGTTAGCCTCTATGAATGGTCTACATGGAATAAATATAATTGAGAATATTTTCAGAGAACTCGAGAAAACACCATGAGATTCCCTCATGGGGAATCTACTAAGATGTGTTAAAATGGATAGTGATAAAAATCAGGTGTGGTGGCTCATGCCTGTAATCCCAATGCTTTAGGAGGTCAAGGTGGGAGGATGGCTTAAAGTCAGAAGTTCAAGACCAGCCTAGGCAACAAAGAGAGACTCCCCCCACAACACACCCATCTCTACAAAAAAAAAAAAAAAAAAAAAAAAAAAAATAGTGAGCATGCTGGTGCATGCCTGTAGTCACAGCTACACAGGAGGCTAGGGTAGGAGGCTCGCTTGAGCCCAGGAGCTGGATGCTATAGTGAGCTGTGATAGCACAACTGCACTCCAGCCTAGATGACAGAGTGAGATCCTATCCCAAAAAAAATTACGTGGAGAAGACAAAGGCCTAGTTTAACAAATTTACAAAGTTTTTTTAAAATTCAAGGTGTTGGAAGACTTCTTTGTATTCATTGTACTAGTCATCAACAGGTACATATGTGAAAAATATTTGACTCTATCATGTGTTATTCAACCAATAGTGTCAGCAGTGAACTTCATTTGTTCTCATGGACTTAATAGTGTTCAGTCCCGTGAATTTTTGTCATAAATAGAAGCAAATATCCTCATTTGCCCTATCACACAGCAGTTCGATGGTTTTGTAGTGGTAAAATTGTATGGAATATTTTTTTAACCTCATAGTTAAGATACAAATTTTTCTAAATGAGGACTTTCTGCGACCACTACAATTCTGAATGGCTTTGGAAAGTAGCTTCTGCTGCAGACTTGATAATGTTTCTTAATGAATTAAGACTCAAACTACAAGACGAAACAGAGGTTGTATACAAAACTGCTATTCAATAAAGTCATTTGGATGACAACAATGCAGTTGGAACCATAAGCAATATCAAGCCGCTTTATTTACTCCCTCTGCTGTCAAAAAGTAAAACAAGAAGCAAGATCTCCATCCAGTACAAATTTGCAGAGAATATATTTTCCAATACTGTTCCAGCAATATTTTTCATACCTCAATGCAAGTGCAAAGGATATTCTCATTTTTTTTTTTTTTTTTTTTTTTTTTTGAGACGGAGTCTTGCTCTGTCACCCAGGCTGGAGTGCAGTGGCGCGATCTCAGCTCACTGCAAGCTCCGCTTCCCAGGTTCACGCCATTCTCCTGCCTCAGCCTCCCGAGTAGCTGGGACTACAGGCGCCAGCCACCACGCCTGGCTAATTTTTTTGTATTTTTAGTAGAGACGGGGTTTCACCATGTTAGCCAGTTTGGCCCCAATCTCCTGACCTCGTCATCTGCCCACCTCGGCCTCCCAAAGTGCTGGGATTACAGGCCTGAGCCACCGCGCCCGGCCAGGATATTCTCATATTTCAAAACCCATTTAACTGTGCTGTTGAGGAGCCTCTACATAACCTTTGAGGGGAAATGATTAATCTGCAGTGTAGTAATGTGTTAAAAGGCAAATATCAAAGAAAGAATATAATAAAATTCTATAAATGCCCTCAAGCAATGAATATAGACAATTAAAATCTTATGCTAGGATTGATATCAGTGTCCAGCAGTATCTTGTGTGAAAAACACATTTCCTTGTTTTGTAAGTACCTATATAATACCTTAATTTGCCTGTTAGTCTACAAAGCCTATAAATATTTACTATCTTGTTCTTTGCAGAAAATAGAAAAGCACCTCCTCTAGAGGGCTGTAGGTGTCTGAAAGTTGCAGAAAAATGTCATTAAAAGTTGTGTTGAAGGCTGGCCACAGTGGCTGATGCCTGCAATCCTAGCAGTTTGGGCCGCCGAAACAGGCAGATCACTTGCACCCAGGGGTTCAAGACCAGCCCGGGCAACATAATGAAACTCCATCTCTACAAAAAGTACAAAAATTAACCAGGAGTGGTGGCTCATGCCTGTAGTCCCAGCTACTCGAGAGGTTGAGGTGGGAGGATCTCTTAAGCCCATGAGATCAAGGCTGCAGTGAGCTGTGATTGTACCACTGTCTTCCAGCCTGCATGACAGAGCGAGATCCCGTCTCAAAAAAAAAAAAAAAAAGTGACATTGAAGGATTGCTTGCTAGGGAAAGTTTGGTTAAGTATGAAGTCTAATTATTCCAATTTAGCAAACAAAACCTTATCTGCAGTCATGTTACTTTAATCAAAAATAAAAGTGCACCTGAAGCTACATCTTTCTACTACTATAAACCTAACATGAGCAATTTAGTTTCAGCAAACAACACCATCTGTCTCATCTGTGCTGCCAATTTTAATTTTTATTAGTTTTATAGTTTTGTTTGTATTTCATTTGTACATTTTGTATTGGATTCAGACACCAATAACACTAAGGAATTTAATATTATATTTGCTCATATGTATGTAACATTATATTTAAAATAGCCTTTATTTATTTTTGTCGAGATGTGGTTTCACTATATTGCCTGGGCTGGTCTCAAACTCCCCAGCTAAAGCAACCCTCCTGCCTCCACCTCCCAACGTGCTGAGATTTCAGGTGTGAGCTACTGCACCTGGCCAAAAAATAGTCTTAAGTCACAACTCTAAGGTGGACATTTATTTTTCCTTATAAGCATCCAGTTAAATATTCGAATTTGAATGGGAATGATACGAGAAGATTAGCATGGCCCCTGGGCAAGGATGACATGCAAATTCATGAAGAGTTCCATATTTTAATAAAATCTTGAGATGACATTCACCTTAAAAATCCATCCATCAATCAATACTTGATTTTGAGAAAACATTGCCTGAAGTTGAACATCCCCCCAAGATCACAGCAATTGTCTCAATCAGGTGTTAGATGTGAACATGAATGCGAAGCCCTGAATCTTCCCAGATGTATTTTCATTTACTGAAAAGGAACCTTACGAATACACATAAACCTGTTACTTTGAGAAGTGTGAAAAAGCTAAGTGCAGTACTTCTCACCAAATGGTCATGGAAATGGCAGAATGTCAGGAAGAGGCTCTATTAGGCAGAATTGACCTTGACAGCAGTCTGGGCTTACCTCTTCAGATGCAGCAGTTCTCAGACTGAACGTGCACAGAATTACCTAGAGAGCTTGTTTAACAGGTTCTCAAACTTCTCTTCCAAAGATTTTCACCCGGCAGTTCTAGAATGAGACCCAGGGATATGTATTTATAGTAAACATCTCAGAAGATTCTGACTCTGAGGATACATGGACCACCATATTTTGAGAAAAATGCCCTCATGACTCCTGATTTTCATGGCTTCATTCTGTCCTTCACTTTATTATTTATTTATTTATTGAGACGGAGTCTCATTCTATTGCCCAGGCTGGAGTGCAGTGGTGCGATCTTGACTCACTGCAACCTCTGACCTCCAGGTTCAAGTGATTCTCCTGCCTCAGCCTCCCAGGTAGCTGGGATTACAGGAGCCCACCACCACATCCGACTACTTCTTTTTTTTTTTTTTTTTTTGAGATGGAGTCTCACTCTGTCACCGAGGCTGGAGTGCAGTGGCACGATCTTAGCTCACTGCAAGCTCTGCCTCCCGGGTTCACGCCACTCTCCTGCCTCAGCCTCCCCAGCAGCTGGGACTACAGGCACCCGCCACCATGCCCAGCTAATTTTTTGTATTTTTAGTAGAGACGGGGTTTCACCATGTTAGCCAGGAAGGTCTCGATCTCCTGACCTTGTGATGCACCTGCCTCGGCCTCCCAAAGTGCTGGGATTACAGGCGTGAGCCACCGCACCCGGCCACACCCGGCTAATTTTTGTATTTTTAGTAGAGACAGGGTTTCACCATGTTGGCCAGGCTGGTCTCAAACTCCTGACCTCAAGCAGTCTGCCTCCCTCAGTCTCCCAAAGTGCTGGGATTACAGGTGTGAGACACTGCACTCCGTCTCACTTTAGATCCCAGATCTTTTTCAAAGCTGCGAGGTTATTTTTTTCTGCAAGGACTCCCTACTGTACAAGGTGAAGCAGGAAGAGGTCAGCCATTCTATCTTGCTATTCTCTTCATCATTGTCATAAATCCTAAACCACACTTTCTGCAGAACATTCCAGAATATAGCAGTATCTTGGGCTATTTTGTTTGTAACTAACTAGAAGTAATTTTCTTGCTTTCAGGTTTAAAAATTCAAATACCCCAAATAAGTCAACTTGCAGTTAAGAAATAAAATGTGACCAAGACTCATTCTCTATCATTCTAGTTATTTTTTTAAGGTCTTAAACAACATAAACAATCTACACAGTTTTCCATTTAGGGATTTTCTGTAATCTCCACTGAAGTTTTATACATACACAAAAAAGCCCTTGCTTCATTGCTTGCAAAACAGATTAGTCCAGCCCATGCTTAGTGGTTAATATTAATATAAAACCTCTACAACTCAACATTAGTCTCAATATAAGGCATCAAAAACCTAGTGTTGGCAGGGAGCAGTGCCTCACACCTGTAACCTCAGCACTTTGGGAGGCCTAGACAGGTGGATTGCTTGAGTTCAGGAGTTCGAGACCAGCCTGGGCAACATGTTAATACCTGCCTCCCTCATCTCTACTAAATTTCAAAAAAATTAGCCAGGAGTGGTGGCATGCACCTGTTGGGGTTGAGGTGGGAGAATCACTTGAGCCTGCGAGGCGGAGGTTGCAGTGAGCCTAGATCATGCCACTGCACTCTAGCCTGGGCAACAGAGTGAGACCCTATCACTGAACCAAACAAAACAAACCTAGTGTCACTAAAAAAGACTTTTAAAAAGTGTAAAATTCAGGCCACTTCCTAAGCAAACATTGCTGAGGAAACCAAAGTGTTAGTTTGATTTTCTTTTTCTTTTTTAGAGACAACGTCTCACTGTGTTGCTCAGGCTGGAGTGTGGTGGCATGAGCACGGCTCACTGCAGCGTCAGCCTCCTGGGATCAAGTGATCCTCTGGCCTTGGCCTCCCGAAGTGCTGGGATTACAGGTTTGAGCCACACTGCACCCAGCCCTAGTCTGATTTTCTTTTCTTTTCTTTCTTTCTTTTTTTTGAGAGGGAGTTTCACTCTTGTTGCCCAGGCTGGAGTGCAATGGAATGATGACCTTGGCTCACTGCAACCTCCTCCTCCCAGGTTCAAGCAATTCTCCTGCCTCAGCGTCCCAAGTAGGTGGGATTACAGGCATGCACGACCATGCCCAGCTAATTTTTTTGTATTTTTTGTAGAGATGGGGTTTCGCTGTGTTAGCCAGGCTGGTCTTGAACTCCTGACCTCAGGTGATCTGCCCAACTCGGCCTCCCAAAGTGCTGGGATTACAGGCGTGAGCCACCGCGCCCGGCCCCTAGTCTGATTTTCAGTGGGTGTGTTCCTCCACTGCCAGTCCCCACAACCTACTGCCTGTTAAAACACAAAGCATTTATTAGACACAAAAGGTTTTTCTAGGAAGGGAAATAATTTTTAGCACTGGGAAATGACAGGGTCAAGGCTCACCTGGTAGCAAAAAGCTCTGGGGCGATGACTTCTAGTCCCAGTTCAGCTCTTGATGTTGTGACCGGAGGGGACAGGTTCACTGCACGATTTCCTGGCTGTGAACCTAGAAGAGCAAGGACCTTGCTTTTCCAAGGAACCCCAAGTGTTGCACATAAAGTGATGGTGAAATAACAGCCTTGCTGTTTGTGACAGTTCCTGCACCCCTTCCGATGGCTCTGCCATTCGGATTATTCACCACTTGTTTATTCTCAATTTCTTTCTCTATTTTTCTTTTTTTTTTCATTTATTTATTCTTTTCTTTCTTTCTTTCTTTTCTTTTCTTTTTTTTTTTTTTTTGAGATGGAGTCTTGCTCTGTCACCCAGGCTGGAGTGCAGTGGCGCGATCTCTGCTCACTGCAAGCTCCACCTCCTGGGTTTACGCCATTCTCTTGCCTCAGCCTCCCGAGTAGCTGGGACTACAGGCACCCACCACCACGCCCAGCTAATTTTTTGTATTTTTAGTAGAGACGGGGTTTCACCGTGTTAGCCAGGATGGTCTCGATCTCCTGACGTTGTGATCCGCCCGCCTCAGCCTCCCAAAGTGCTGGGATTACAGGTGTGATTTTTTTCATTTATTTCTTTATCTAGAGACAAGGTCTCACTCTGTCACCCAGGCTGGAGTGCAGTGGTGCAATCCTAGCTCACTGCAGCCTCAAACTCCTGGGCTCAAGTGATCCTCCCACCTCAGCCTCCCCAAGTAGCTGGGACTACAGGTGTGCACCACCGTGCCTGGCTAATTTTTAAACTTTTTGTAGACACAGGGTCTCACTATGTTGTTCTTGAACTGCTGGGCTCCAGTGATTCTCCCACCTCAGCCTCCCAAAGTGCTGGGATTACATGCATGAGCCACTGTGCCTGGCCCTATTCTCAATTTCCACACCTTCTCTAGATCATGCCCTGTTCCCTGACCTCTCAAGTCTCCTGGCTGCAGTCTCTGCTAGTGCACCGCCCAAGCAAGCTTTTCACAAACATGACTCCTAACTCCTCAGTCCCCCTCCTCCCCAAGCGTTCTCAGGCCTGGCTCCTGTCACACAGAGCTCACCTCCATGCCTCTGCCCCTGCTGTCCCCGGACAAGCCCCCCAGCCAGGCGGCTCTCAACCTGGTGGCCTCAGTATGATCTTCCTGGTACGAGGCTCACATCTCTCCTGACTCCCACCCACCCATCCCTTCCAGGGTCATCCTGCGTACACTGTAATAATGCCCCTTGTGTGTCATCACTAGGTCATGGCCCTCCTCAGGGCCTGGATCTCCCCTAACTTCCCTTGGGTTCCTGGTGCTCTGTGTACAGTGCACCATCTCCTCCCCGCTCTACCCGCCATGGTAATTAGAGGTTAGACTTGTCATTCTTCAATGATTTGGCCTGTAAATTTGGGTTGATGAAAGATGAGTTGAATGGAAAAAGGATACAGCTTCAGGAAACCTAGAATACCCTGATTTTTATCCTCACCCTCAAGTATCCTATTTCACACATGTCTAAAGATCAACTTACTTCCCAAGGCTTTTCTTTGCTAAATAGATTCCTTCTTTTCTTTCTTTTCTTTTTCTTTTTTTTTCTTTTTTGAGATGGCGTCTCGCTCCGTCACCCAGGCTGGAGTGCAGTGGTGCGTTCTCAGCTCACGGCAACCTCCGCCTCCTGGGTTCAAGAGATTATCCTGCCTCAGCTTCCCGAATAGCCGAGATCACAGGCGTGTGCTAACATGCCCGGCTAATTTTTGTATTTTTAGTAGAGACGGGGTTTCACCATGTTGGCCAGGCTGATCTCGAATTCTTGACCTCAGATGATCCACCCGCCTCAGCCTCCCAAAGTGCTGGGATTACAGGCGTGAGCCACTGTGTCTGGCCAGATTTCCTCTTAATCAATAAACATTTCACAATGACAAACACTATGAACTAAAAATATCATTGTAGCTTAGTATTTGTCCTTATAGCATCACATTTTATATTTGGGAGGTGGTATGGTTTGGATCTGTGTCCCCGCCTAGATTTCATGTCAAACTGTAATCCCCAGTGTTGGCGGTGGGGACCGGTGGAAGTGATTGGATCATGGGGCAGAATGTTTTACCCCCAGCCCCTTGGTGCTAGTTCTCGCAAGATCGGGTTGTTTTAAAGTGCATGGCAACTCCCCTTTCTCGCTCTTGCTCCTCCGGCCATGTAACCTGTGGGCTCCCCCTTCCCCTTCCGCCATGATTGTAAGTTTCCTGAGGCCTCTCCAGAAGCCGAGCAGATGATAGAATCATGCTTTCTGTATAACCTGTGGAACCATAAGCCAATTAAACCTCTTTTCTTTATAAATTACTCAGTCTCAAGTATGTATTTATAACAGTTCAAGAATGAACAATACGGGAGTGTATCCATATGATTCATTATTGTATATGGAAGCAGTAACATCCCACTAATGGGGCATCATAGAGAAGGGATACATCCCCTATAAGTGACATTTCTGGATAAATGAAAATGACCACCAGTCCTTTGGAAATTTCGCTTTTTTTTTTTTTTTTTTTTTTGAGACAGAGCCTCGCACTGTCAGCCGGGCTGGAGTGCAGTGGCGCGATCTCGGCTCACTGCAGTCTCCACCTCCCAGGTTCAAGCGATTCTCCTGCCTCAGCCTCCCAAGTCGCTGGGATTACAGGCACCCGCCACCACGCCTGGCTAACATTTTGTATTTTTTTTCAGTAGAGACGGGGTTTCACTATGCTGGCCAGGCTAGTGTTGAACGCCTGACCTCATGATCCACCTGCCTCACCCTCCCAAATTGCTGGGATTACAGGCGTGAGCCACTGCATCCGGCTGAAAATTTCACCATATTTGTTAGAAGTCTTAGTTTTTTAAACAACAAAATTAAGTATGACAATACTTACATAATTGAGAATCAATGAATGTCTTTCTGAAATAGATAGATGCCTGCCTCCTTGTACAGTGAAAAAACAACATAACTTTTTTCATGGCATCTCCAGAACACCACTGAAAGCATCGTGATTGAATATCGTAATAATCTAGTACTAATTTTGCTTCTTGGAATTCTTGTCTCTCAGTAGTAGATTGCCAGATGATACTTTGTCCTGTTGTTTTACCTGCTAACACCTCCTAATGTCCTGCTGCTCCTCGGCACCACACCTAGAAACCAGATCACCAAACTTAGGAGTTAGAAACATGCTCGTGCATGGTGGGAGAAAATGTAAAATGGTGCAGCCATTATGGAAAACAGTATGGAAGGTCTTCAAAAAGTTAAAAATGGAATTACCACATGATTCAGCAATGACACCCCTGGATATAAAACCCCCCACCCATCAAAAAAATTGAAAGGAAGATCTTCAGCATTTGAACATCTATTTTCATATAACATTATTCACAATAGCCAAAAGATGGACACAGCCCAAGTGTCTATCAATGGACGAATGGATAAAGAAAAGGTGATATATCCATGCAGTGGAATATTACTCAGCCTTGAAAAGGAAGGAAATTCTGACATGCCACATGGATGAACCTTGAGAATACTATGCTATGTGAAATAAGCCAGTCACAAAAGGACACATGCTGTGTAATTACACTGATATGAGGTACCTCGAGTTCTCTATCTTCATAGAGATAGAAAGTAGAAGGTGGTTTCTGGGGACTGAAGGGAGGAAAAGTGGAGCATTGTTGTTTAATGGGTATAGAGATTCAGTATTGCAAGACAAACTAAACTGTACACTTAAAAATGGTTAAGATGTTGGCTGGGCGCGGTAGCTCACACCTGTAATCCCAGCACTTTGGGAGGTCAAGGTGGGTGGATCGCTTGAGCTCGGGAGTTCAAGACTAGCCTGGCCAACATAGCAAAACCCCGTCTCTACTAAAAATACAAAAATTAGCCGGGCATAGTAGCATGTGCATGTAGTCCCAGCTACTTGGGGGGCTGAGGTGGGAGGATCACTTGAACTCGGGAAGTGGAGACTGGTAAGCTGAGATTGCCCCACTGCACTGCAGTCTGGGTGACCGTGAGACCTTGTCTCAAAAAACAAATAAACAAACGAAAAAACAACAAAAAAATGTTAAATTTTAAGATGTTAAATTTTATGCTATGTGTATATTGCCACAATTAAACATAAATTTTGAAAAATGAGTTAGCATGCATTAATTCATTCAAAAAACATTTATTTTGCATTTATTATATATCAGACTCTGTTCTTGGTGGCAGGGATGAAGGGCTGAACAAAACAAAGTTTTGGCTTTCATAGAACTTGCATCCTAGTATATAGTATATAATAGCAGACATAGTTTTGCTGTCCACCCAATCAAGTGCATCATTTCAGGTTATTGGTTTTCATAAAATAAATGTATTACCCAGAAAATCTGCAACTTGACCTATTTCAATGATGAATATATCTGAAGTTTAAATATCTTAATTCTAAAAGAGCATAATGATTACAATGTTTTAAGTCAGGCCAGGCATGGTGGCTCACAACTGTAATCCCAGTGCTTTGAGAGGCTAAGGCAGGAAGGTTGCTTGAGCCCAGGAGTTGGAGGGTACAGTAAGCTATGATCATGTCACTGCACTCCAGCCTGGGTGACAGAGCGAGACTCTGTCTCTAAACAATAACAAATAAATTTTAAATATTGATCTATCTCTAATATCTTTGGATGTGGTTTTGTTGTTGTTGTTGCTTGTTTGTTTTGAGACAGAGTCTCGCTCTGTCACCCAGGCTGGGGTGCAGTGACGCAATCTTGGCTCACTGCAGCTTCTGCCTCCCAGGTTCAAGTGATTCTCTTGTCTCAGTCTCCTGAGTAGCTGGGATTACAGGCATGCACCACCATGCCCGGCTAATTTTTTTTTTTTCTGAGATGGAGTTTCGCTCTGTCGCCCAGGCTGGAGTGCAGTGGCGCGATCTCGGCTCACTGCAAGCTCTGCCTCCCAGGTTCATGCCATTCTCCTGCCTCAGCCTCCCAAGTAGCTGGGACTACAGGCGCCCGCCACCACGCCTAACTAATTGTTTTTGTATTTTTGGTAGAGACGGGGTTTAACCGTGTTAGCCAGGATGGTCTCGATCTCCTGACCTCGTGATCCACCTGTCTTAGCCTCCCAAAGTGCAGGGATTACAGGATTGAGCCACCGTGCCCGGCCAATTTTTGAATTTTTAGTAGAGACGGGGTTTCATCTGTTGGCCAGGCTGGTCTCGAACTCCTGGCCTCAAGTGACCCACCTCCCAAAGTGCTGAGATTACAGGCGTGAGCCACCTCTCCCAGCCTGCAATGACCTAATTTTTAACAATGGATGATCACATGAAAATTATTTTAGAACAATTTGTTTACCAGTTAGACTGCTGGTTAAATCATCTTCTACTATAGTTACTTCAGGCACTGAGGAATATTTTCCATTGTTTTTTTTTTCTGATGTTTGTGGAGGGTTAGAGTGGCCCCAAAGGATGACCTCCAGATAATAGGGACATGGCATATATTCTAATCAAGAATGTGAGTGCTAAGAGGTTAGGAATTATTTTTCTTTGCTTGGATTTGAATAACTACTGGCTAAACATTAGACATAGGAAAGTACTTGAGGCCGGGCATGGTGGCATGCACTTGTGGTACCACCTACTCAGGAGGCTGAGGCAGGAGAATTGCTTGAGGCCAGGAGTTTGAGACAACATAGCCAGGCCCTGTTTCTAAAAAACATTTTTTTTAATTAGCAGGAGCTAGGTGTGGTGGCTCATACTTGTAATCCTAGCAGTGTGGGAGGCTGAGGTGGGAGGACTGCTTAATCCCAGGAGTTCAAGATCAGCCAGAGCAACAAAGTGGGACCCTGTCTCTACCAAAAAAAAAAAAAAAAAATAGCCAAGTGTGCTGGCATGTGCCTGTAGTTCCAGCTACTCAGGAGACTGAGATGGGTGGACCACTTGAGTCTGGTAGGTTGAGGCTGCAATGCACTATGATCATGCCTGTGAATAGCCACTGCACCCCAGCCTGGGTGACAAAGCAAGACCTTGTCTCAAAAAGAAAAAAAAAAGAAAAGAAATTAGCAGAGAGCTACTGGGGAGGCTCAGGTGGGAGGGGGTCACTTTCAGCCCAGGAGTTAGAGCCCACAGTGTGCTATGATCACATCTGTGAATAGCCACTGCACTACAGCCTGGACAACATATCAAGACCCCATCTCTCTTAAAAAAAAAAAAAGGTACTTGATGAAGCCAGATTGGCTGTGACACTGAATAACATTGTAAGGGTCATTATTGGGATATTAAATACATAATATGCTTGGGTCCCCCGACATGTATATGACCTTTCCTTATTCTGTTGGCATCACGCATCTGCCTCATGCAGGATTATAATTTTTGTGTCAAGAAGGCAAGGCCAGGCACGGTGGCTCACGCCTGTAATCCCAACCCTTTGGGAGGCCAAGGCCGGTGGATCACCTGAGGTCAGAAGTTCAAGACCAGCCTGGCCAACATAGTGAAACCCCATCTCTACTAAAAATACAAAAAATTAGCCAGGTGTGGTGGCGCACACCTGTAGTCCCAGCTACTCAGGAGGCTGAGGCACAAGATCGTGCCACTGCACTCCAGCCTGGGAGACAGAGTGAGACTCTGTCAAAGAAAAAAAAAAAGGCAAAGAGAAAGAGTAAATGTTCAATTTTTGCAGTCTAGTCTTTGCTTTTGAAATTTTCTGAGACCACAGACTTGCAAAATAGGCTTTTGAAGAGATAGGGTTTTCTAAATTCCAAGTGTTCCCTCTTTATTTGAATTAAATAATTCATTAAAATTATTATTTTTTAAATGAAACAGGGTCTTTGTCACCCAGGCTGGGGTGCAGTGGTGCATAGTTCACTGCAGCCTCCAACTCTTGGGCTCAAGTGATCCTCCTGCCTCAGCCTCCTGAGTAGTTGGGACTACCAGCATGAAACACCATGCCCAGCTAATGTGTTTTTTGTAGAGATGTTGCACAGCCTGGCATTGAACTTGTGGCCTCAAGGATCCTCCTGCCTTGGCCTCCCAAAATGCTGGGACTACGGGTATGAGCCACCACACTCGGCCCCAAATGCTGTCTTTTTTTTTTTTTTTTTTTTTTTTTTTTTTTGAGATGGACTGTCACTCTCTTGCCCAGGCTGGAGTATGGTGGCATGATCTCGGCTCACTGCAACCTCTGTCTCCCAGGTTCAAGCAATTCTCTTGCCTCAGCCTCCTGAGTAGCTGAGATTAAAGGTGCGCACCATCACGCCCGGCTAATTTTTGTATTTTTACTGGAGACGGGGTTTCATCATGTTGACCAAGCTGGTCTCGAACTCCTGGCCTCAAGTGATCTGCCCACCTCTGCCACCCAAAGTGCTAGGATTACAGGTGTGAGCCACCGTGCCCGGCCTCTCCCTCTTTATATTTTGAGACAAACCTGGCTGGGTCATAGATTGTTATAATGGCATCATTTTGTTGTTGTTGTTGTTGTTTGAGACGGAGTCTTGCTCTGTCGCCAGGCTAGAGTGCAGTGGCAAAAACTCGGCTCACTGTAACCTTCGCCTCCCTAGTTAAAGCAATTCTCCTGCCTCAGCCTCCTGAGTAACTGGGACTACAGGCGCCCACCACCACACCCGGCTAATTTTTTTTGTATTTTTTTTAGTAGAGACGGGGTTTCACCATGTTAGCCAGGATGGTCTCAATCTCCTGACCTCGTGATCCGCCCGCCTCAGCCTCCCAAAGTGCTGGGATTACAGGCGTGAGCCACCGCGCCCGGTCATGTCTACGAAAAATACTAAAAGTCACTACTAAAAACAGAAGAAATTAGCCAGGGGTGGTGGTGCGAGCTTGTAATCCCAGCTACTCTGGAGGCTCAGGCAGAAGAATCGCTTGAACCCGGGAGGTGGAGGTTGCAGTGAGCCGAGATCGCGCCATTGCACTCCAGCCTGGGCGACAGAGCAAGACTCCATCAAAAAAAAAAAAAAAAAAAAAGAAAAGGAAAAAGAGAGAAATTCTCTGGATTTAGGATGTCATTTCGGTTTCTTTATCAATTTGGCTCCCTCTAGAGGTCAGTTAGCAAATTTTAGTCAGCGCGACTTAAACACCTTGGCCCTCTTAAAACAGTAATTTCTCCTAGGAAGGTTTTGGAGAAAATGATTGAAATTGATTAATAGAGTCTATTTTTTAGCAAACATTATATTTAATTTTTTTGTTTAAAATTACTAAGGCTGCCAGATTTAGCAAATAAAAATACAGGACACCCAGTAATATTTACAGTTCAGATTTAAAAATTAATTTTTTAACCTAAGAATGTCCCAAATACATTAATCCAGCAACTCTGTATATCTGTATATAGAGACATACACTATATATACAGTGTTTTACTCCTCATTTGTTAAGTGAGGATTCTGAGGATCAAAACATCCAACTCCAGCCTCTCATTTTCCCAACATTCCCATGGCTTGTTCTTGTTATTTCATTCTAAGTTTTCTTCTAAGTTCTCAAAAGAAATCAGATCATAGGTCTGGTCAGATAACTTGATTTTAAGCTCCAAAGGACCTGAGATATTGAAGGAAACCAAAATATTTCACCCCAAAATATCCTTTGTTGACATATTTTGAGATAGCTCTTCAGAGAGCTAAGCAGCCCTGCAAAGCTGTCTTTTGCGTTGAGCTTTTTGCATCTGTAGAGCAAATCTGCATCCCTGCAGCCAGGCTTTCTGAGGTCCTCCCTGGTCCAGATCTAGGAAAGATGAACTGAGAGTCTGACATCTCTCAAGATCTGAAAGGAATATTTCCCACCTCTTCTCTCTGAGGGCTGCTACCCGTGAGGTTTCAGCTGCATAACAAGACCACCTTTGCTAGCCAGGCGTCCTTTTCTCTCCCATCCATAATCTGTCTTGCCACTGTCACCTGACTTACCACCATAAACTTTTTGGGGCCATGCTCGGAGCCCCCATTTTTTCTGTAATCTCAAAATGGTAGAGGCTGGGTGTGGTGGCTCACGCCTGTAATCCCAGCACTTTGGGAGGCCGAGGCGGGCGGATCACAAGGTCAGGAGATCGAGACCATCCTGGCTAACACAGTGAAACCCTGTCTCTACTAAAAAAAATACAAAAAATTAGCAGGGCGTGGTGGCAGGTGCCTGTAGTCCCAGCTACTTGGGAGGCTGAGGCAGGAGAATGGCATGAACTTGGGAGGCGGAGTTTGCAGTGAGCCGAGATCCTGCCACTGCACTCCAGCCTGGGCAACAGAGCGAGACTCCGTCTCAAAAAAAAAAGGTAGAAAAGTCTGGGCCTGGTGGCTCACACCTGTAATCCCAACACTTTGGGAGGCCCAGGTGGGTGGATCACTTGAGGTCAGGAGTTCAAGACCAGCCTGGCCAACATGGCCAAACCCCATATCTACTAAAAATCCAAAAAATTAGCCGGGTGTGGTGGTGGGGTATTCCCAGCTACTCTGGAGGCTGAGGCATGAGAATCACTTGAACCTGGGAGGTGGAGGTTTCAGTGAGCCGAGATGGCACCACTGCACTCTAGCCTGGGCAACAGAGCGAGACTCTGTCTCAAAAAAAAAAAAAAAAAAGGCAGAAAAGCTTCTGTGCTTCACTGGGAAGCTGGGGTGATCGTTCTGTGATTTTCCCCTATGCATGTTAATAGATTTGCAAGCTTTGTCTCTTAATAATCTGCCTTTGTCTGTTGATGTTCAGCAAACCTTTGGGAAGGTTTCCCTTGGCCCCTACAGTGTTGGCGTCACAGACAGGATCCTAAAGCTGCTCTACTTTTCTGGAAGCCACAGTCCAGGGAACCCAGGACCTGACAAAGCATCAGAAGGGTAAGAAATTCCTACCAGCCAGGCTTCCGGCCTCTCTCCGTGAAATCCGGTCAAGCAGACAGCAGAAATCACTGTTTGTCTCTTTTCCCTTGCCTAAAATCTTGATTAATTGGAGAAAAGGATTTGTGTGACTAGTCTTGGGTTACGTAGCGATTCTGGTATATTTTTAGGCATGAATATTGGTATTGTCTGATCCTTTTTCTCTCAGTCTTTTCCCTTGTATTTTGGTATTGATCTGTCATAAAGAGGGGTGCCCTAGGGTAGAACATGGATCTAGAACCCCCAGAAGCCCACTGTGCCAGCTGGCTCTGCAGTTTTTTTGTTGTTGTCATTGTTTTTTTTTAGATAGAGTCTCGCTCTGTCACCCAGGCTGGGGTGCAGTGGTGTGATCTCAGCCCACTGCAACCTCCGCTTCCCAGGTTCAAGCGATTCTCTTGCATCAGCCTCCTGAGTAGCTGGAATTACAGGCACGCGCCACTGCGCCCGGCCAATGAGTCCTATTTATAAGGTGCTTTTGTTGTCTCAACCCCTGCTGCCTGGTTAGTCCTGGGAAAGTCCAATCCCAGGAGAGCCTGCCTCGTGTCACAGATTAATAGGTGTATGACTGGTGGCCCCCCATAAATGTGTGGGATACTAGAAGCACTGTATGTAAAAACGCCATCTTTTATCATCTGTGGCAACAAGAGTCTTTTGCTGCCTTAGTCTATTCCTGGGAGTGAATTTGTGAGGATGGGGATCGTTGAGGCTGCCTGTTCTATGCCCTCTCCAAGAAGCACCTCTTGTTTATTGGTAAAAACTTCATTGAAACCTGGAAAATAACCTCCTGGGCATTCCATGAAGAGGCTTATTAGATTGAGTTGCTATTTGCATAAGTACATCTCGGGAAATTCTTTTTTTTTTTTTGAGACAGAGTCTCACTCTGGCACCCAGGCTAGAGTGCAGTGGCTCAATCTCGGCCCCCTGCAACCTCCGCCTCCCGGGTTCAAGCAATTCTCCTGTCTCAGCCTCCCAAGTAACTGGGATTACAGAGGCAAGCCACCATACCCAGCTAATTTTTGTATTTTTAGTAGAGACAGGGTTTCACCATGTTGGCAGGCTGGTCTTGAATTCCTGACCTCAAGTGATCCCCCCCCAACCCGGCCTCCCAAAGTGCTGGGATTACAGGCTTGAGCCACCATGCCTGGCCACATCTCAGGAAATTCTAATCATCAGTGGCCAAAAGATTGATTCTTTAAGTTACAAAGGCCCCCTAAACTAAAACTATTTTAGAGACCTCTCATTCCAAACAAGTGCCTTATTTGTGTTTAGGGAAAGATCAAATTAAAAGAAAGGCACTAATAGTATCATGGCTAGCCTTAGACATTTTCCTAACAAAAGTTTCAGAACAAAAATCTGACGGAAAACAAAGTTAAAATCCTTTGTACGCTTAAACTGCCTGCTTTGGAGTCCCTGCAGGATTTGTAGTGGCGGCCACTCCACCTTGTGGCCTAGGAGTTAAAATTCTGTGCTTTCACCACTGTGGACTGGATTTGATTCCCAATTAGGGAGCCACTTCCTTTTGGTTAAAAGGTTCAAAGCCCAAAAATATTGGCTGTTTTTCCTGGTTGAAATCTGATAATTAGAGATTATTATCTCTTATTATTATCTCAGTAAGGGCTTCAGCTATGTGAGACAGATAAACTTTAATCTGTTCCATTTACAGAGACACAGTTTAATCCACCTGTCCTTTTAAACTAGTGAGTTTTACCAGTCTCATGGCTATGATTTTGAAATCAAAGCTGTAAGACCTTTATTTATGTTATTTATGTCTGCATGTTTTTTGTTTGTTTGTTTTGTTTTGTTTTGAGACGGAGTTTCGCTCTTGTTGCCCAGGCTGGAGTGCAATGGTGGGATCTCAGCTCACCGCAACCTCCGCCTGCCGAGTTCAAGCGATTCTCCTGCCTCAGCCTCCTGAGTAGCTGGGATTACAGGCGCCCACCACCACGCCCAGCTAATTTTGTATTTTTAGTAGAGATGGGGTTTCTCCATGTTGATCAGGCTGGTCTTGAACTCCTGACCTCAGGTGATCCACCAGCCTCGGCCTCCCAAAGTGCTGGGATTACAGGCATGAGTCACCACGCCCAGCCGTCTGCATGTATTTTTATATACACATGTCTGCTTGTATATTATCTACATGGTACCAAATTGACTTATAAATAAATTAGCATTTATAAATTAATAATCCCAAATGCTTTTCAAATTCATGCAACATCTTTGGTAAATAAAACCAGTTTTAATATTGTTGATACAATAAAATAAAAACATTGTCTGAATGTAATTTAGACATTTTGTCTGAGTCTATTGGTTTAGATGGGTTTATACTGTCTCTGTGATATGTTTTAAGATTGTAAAACTGTTAACAGCTTCTGCAATTTTTCTTGTTGTTGTTACTGTTTTTGAAACATGGTCCTGCTCTGTTGCCCAGGCTGGAACACAGCAGCACGATCATGGCTCACTACAGCCTTGGCCTCCCAGGCTCAAGTTATCCTCCCACTTCAGCCTCCCAAGTAGCTGGAACTACAGGTGCATGCCTCCATACCTGCCTAATTTTTTTTTACTTTTTGAAGGGATGGCGTCTCCTTATGTTGCCCCGGATGATCTTGAACTCCTGGGCTCAAGAGATCCTCCTGCCTCAGCCTCCCAAAGTGCTAGGAGATATTTTTGAAACTTGCTTGATTTGTCTGTGACTTTATGACTTAGGTTTTGAGCCATTTGATTCTGGAGTCTACACAGTGGCCATGGTGAGGCCTGGGGACCCACGTGTGTCTGCAGTGCCTGGGCCCATCTTCCCTGGGCCAGCAGGATTTCCTGGCCATTCTGGGAAGGGTTGGATCCTCTGGGTATTGTCTTTACAGCTCTGGCCTCTGTCCTGGGCTCTGCCCCCGATACATAACAATTAAAATAGCTTACTCCCTAGGTTTTTCACTGAAAAATAGGGCTACTAAGTGTTAAAATTATAGTTAATATATAACTGAAACAACTAGAACTGAGAGAAACACTTCTGTATACAGAGTATGTAAGAAAAGTATGTGTTTTTGGTGAGGAGGGTGATAGGAAAGGCATGAGAATGCAGTTTTTGCTACAGGAAAAGTAATTTTGTCTAGTTTAGATGAATAGATATGGAAAGTTGGGGGGAAAAAGAATGAGAAAACTTGTAAGAGGTTATAAAAGGTAAACAGAAATCTTACTTTGTGTGGTCAAAGTTGATTGAAATTGGATGCATCTATTTATAAGGCTTTGTTGAAATTGGCCTAACTATTAATAACACACTAATGCAGCATAATATGGTGGCTCACGTCTGTAATCCCAGCACTCTGTGAGGCCAAGCTGGGGAGATCACTTGAGTCCAAGAGTTCGAGACCAGCCTAGGCAACATGGAAAAACCCTGTATCTACTAAAAATACAAACATTTGCTGGGCATGGTGGTGCACCTCTGTAATCCCAGCTACTTGAGAGGCTGAGGCAGGAGGATCACTTGAACCTGGGAGGTGAAGGTTGCAGTGAGCTGAGATCGCGCCGCTGCTCTCCAGCCTGAGCAACAGAGCAAAACTCTGTCTCAAAAACAAAACAAAACAAAATGCTAATGCAAAAGTAGAAGTTGGTTTTCTCTTTTGAATGAGATTTTCGTGTAGTATTAATAAAAGCAAAAGATTTTGTTTACCTTTGAGACCAACTGTAAAAAAGGGGAGAAGGAGAGACAGATTCTGTTGGTCTTAGCTATCGTCATTAGGTCTTTTGATTGTTTGAAAAACAGAATGTCTCTCTATCAAAGAGTAAAGGTTTTTACTTTTTGAAATCTGAATTATCACTTTAGCTGAATGAATGACTATTACTTTGCAGTGACCTGTGCTCCTATTTTGATCAAGTGTTTTAAACCTTTCTTATTGGATAAACTACCCAAAGTCAAATTTTAAATTCTAAAATTGTCCTTTTAACCTCAAACTAACTTTTAGAGGTTCCAAAAAGGACCCCTGGGAGTCCAAGAGAGATGTGTTAGGCTTATTTACTATGTAAATAATTATATGGGAAGCATTGTTAAATGAGAAATGGTATTTAACCTTCTTTGAGTTACATTTATATAAATGTATTATCAACAGGTGTTCCAAAATTGTGAGATTCCTAAAATTCTTATATGTCTCAGTATTTGTTTTCAGTCATAAATATCATTATTACGTCAATTTTTGTTTGTTTGTTTTTTGTTGTTTTTTTGTTTGTTTTGAGACGGAGTCTCGGTCTTTCGCCCAGGCCAGACTGCAGTGGCGCTATCTCGGCTCACTGCAAGCTCCGCCTCCGGGGTTCATGCCATTCTCCTGCCTCAGCCTCCCGAGTAGCTGGGACTACAGGCGCCAGCCACCACGCCTGGCTAATTTTTTTGTATTTTTAGTAGAGACGGGGTTTCACCGTGTTAGCCAAGATGGTCTTGATCTCCTGACCTCGTGCTCCACCCGCCTCAGCCTCCCAAAGTGCTGGGATTACAGGCGTGAGCCACGGCTCCCGGCCTTTTATTTTTGTTTTTAAGAGACAGAGTCTCACTCTGTCACACAGGCCAAAGTGCAGTGGTGTGATTCTTGCCCAGACTGGTCTTGAACTCCTGGCCTCAAAGGATCTACCTGCTTCAGCCTCCCAAAATGTTGGGATTACTGGCGTGAGCCACTGTGCTTGGCCGATGATTATGTTTTTTGTTTCTTTGTTTTTGAGGTGGGAGTCTCACTCTGTCGCCCAGGCTAGAGTACAGTGGCGCCATCTCGGCTCACTGCAACCTCCGCCTCCCTGGTTCAAGCGATTCTCCTGCCTCAGCCTCCCAAGTAGCTGGAATTACAGGTGCCCACCACCAAGCCTGGCTAATTTTTGTATTTTTAGTAGAGATGGGGGTTTCACCATGTTGGCCAAGCTGGTCTTGAACTCCTGACCTCAGGTGATCCACCCACCTCGGCCTCCCAAAGTGCTGGGATTACAGGCAGAAGCCACTGCACCCGGCCCGTATTATATGAAACTGTAGTATGCTGCAGCACTGTGGAGGCCTGAGTCCCTGATCACAATGGGTGAGGAAAAGAAGAGCCTCTACTGAAGCAGTTCTCAGCTCTGTCAGGGTGTCTTAGTCCATTTTCTGTTGCTTATAACAGAATACCTGCAACTGGGAAATTTCTGAAGGAAAGGAATTTACTTCTTACAGTGTAGGCTGAGAAGTCCAAGGTCAAGGGTCAGCATCTGGTAGAAGCCTTCTTGCTGGTGGAGACTGCGGAGTTGTGAGGGTGTCGCCCAGTGGAAGGGGCTGCGTGTGCTAGCTCAAGGCTCTCTTCCTCTTATAAAGCCACCAGTGCCACTCCCATGATAACCATTAATCCATTAACCCATGAACCCATGAATGGGTTAATCCATTCATAAGAGCAGAGCCCTCATGACCCAATCGCCTCTTAAAGGCCCTGCCCCTCACGACTGCCACACTGGGGATTCAGTTCCAACACCTGGCATTTGCCAGACACATTAAACCGTAGCACTGGGTAACAGAATTGTCTGTAGAGCTTTGTAAAAATACATGTTTCCTAGAGTGTCTGATTGAGTAGCCCAGGCTTGAGGCACAAGTCTCTCTGGTTTCACTGCTATACAGAGGTCCTTCCTCCTTCCCGTTCATGTGTGTTTAGAAATCTAACAGATGATTCCTGACAATACTCATTACTGCTGGTTCCCATCTGAATGTGTTTGGGCATCCTGCCACCAGAACCAGTTGGTGACAACTCTAAATCCATTTAATGTTCTGAATGTGTGGCTCCAGAAATTCCTTCTTAAATCCCTTTCGCTTCTCTGCCTCAGGGGCTGTCATTACTGCAATATTTTGTGGCAAGTTCCAAAGACAGATAAAAAGGCCTATCTTCAGTTCCTGTCCTGCCTTCCCTATAAAGTATCTGATTTCTGAATTTTTCTTTTTTTTAAAGTGAGAGGGTCTCACTCTGTTGCCCAGACTGGAGTACAGTGGTGCAATCATAGCTCACTGTGACCTTGAACTTCTGGGCTCAAGTGATTCTCCTGACTCAGCCTCCCGAGTAGCTGGGACCACAGGCACATGGCACAATGCTTCGCTAATTTTTTTTTTGAGATGGAGTTTCGCTCTTGTTGCCCAGGCTGGAGTGCAGTGGTGAGATCTCGGCTCACTGCTACCTCCACCTCCCGGGTTCAAGCAATTCTCCTGTCTCAGCCTCCCCCATTACAGGCAGGCACCACCATGCCTGGCTAATTTTGTATTTTTAGTAGAGATGGGGCTTCTCCATGTTGGTCAGGCTGGTCTTGAACTCCCGACCTCAGGTGATCCACCCACCTTGGCGTCCCAAAGTGCTGGGATTACAGGGGTGAGCCACTGTGCCTAGCCTGCCTGGCTAATTTTTTTTTTAATAGAGATAGCATCTTGCTACGTTGCCCAGGCAAGTCTCAAACTCCTGGCCTCAAGTGATCCTCCCACTTCGGCCTCCCAAATCTCTGGGACTACAGGTGTGAGCCACTGTGCCTGGCCTCTGGTGTCTTCTTACCTCAAATAGGAGCTTTGTGATTGCCTGATAGCCAGGCTCATAGTAGGACCACAGGCTCCAGAAGTTCCCATTCCATGGGAAAAGCAGAATAGGGTCTTAATCAATCTATATGTGACTGTCAAGGATCCCTCACCCTCCCACGAAAGTTGCCAATTTCTCTTTTTAAATTAGTGCATATTCTAGACCTCGGTGGTAAAATGGGGAGAGACTCCAATGAGGTACCTCCTCAAAATTCACAACAAAATAGAGAAGTGGTTTAAAAGCAGCAAAATAATGCAGTAGCAATTACAAAAGGTACTTGTGGACAGGGCATGGAGGGATTGGTCTTACTTATATTATAATCTTTAAAAATTCCCATCAAGAGTAAGAGTGATGTGGGAGAGTCCCATTATCCTCTTGACCAAGCAGGTTCTAGGTGCTCCTGACTCATCCCATTCCCACTCCCAGCAGCAGTATAAGGGGAACAGATGTCGTACTCACCTCAGCAGCACATATACTAAAATTGGAATAATACAGAGAAGATTAGCGTGGCCCCTTTAAAAATCTTTAATAAAAAGGCCGGCATGGTGGCTCATACCTGTAATCCCAGCACTTTGGGAGGCCGAGGCAGGCAGATCACTTGAGGTCAGGAGTTCAAGATCAGCCTGGCCAACATGGTGAAACACCGTCTCTACTAAAAATACACAAAAATTAGCTGGGTGTGGTGGCGCGCGGCTGTAGTCCCAGCTACTCGGGAGGCTGAGACAGGAGCATCGTTTGAACCCGGGAGGCGGAGGTTGCAGTGAGCCAAGATCTCACCACTGTACTCCAGCCTGGGTGACAGAGCAAGACCTTATCTCAAATTAAATAAATAAATAAATAAATAAATAATTTTAAAAAAGGAACGGAGGTGGGGGAGAGCAGGGAATTCCTTAAGAATCACCCTAATATACCCAACAAGAAAGTGGTGGGCCAAACAGGACATAGGAATCCAAGGATGAGTTTTGCATAAGAACAGAAATCGCGGCCTTCCACTTGCCATTTTATTTCCTGTCTCCCGGTTGGGAGGAAAGCTGGAGAAAGTGGTTCCAGTTTTTGGCGTCTGTGGAGATAATCGTATTTTTCC
Source organism: Homo sapiens (assembly GCF_000001405.40). Classification (NCBI taxonomy): domain Eukaryota; kingdom Metazoa; phylum Chordata; class Mammalia; order Primates; family Hominidae; genus Homo; species Homo sapiens. Next base: position 35,230,761 of record NC_000010.11, on the reverse strand, counting down.
TTCTTAACAAATGAATATGAGTTATATTCATAGATTTCTTAACATTTTTGCATTAAAAATTTTTTTGAGTTTTTGTGTTCCTGAGATGAATCTCACTTAGTTGATCTATATTACTATTTTAATGTACTTTTAAATTATCTTTATGAATATTTTATTGAGAATTTTGGCTCTCATATTTAAAAATGAAATTGTCTGTAATACTTTCCCACTCTCCGGCACCTGAGTCCATGGCTTTGGCAGCCATAGTGATCATGAACTTCCGGCTATGTCCTAGAGTCATTTATCTCCGAGGATGTCAGGAGGAACCCCAAAATGTCATCAAGACACTGGCTACAGGTAGGCCCTTTGTTTCTGCCACTGCTCCTACTCCCTCTATTTGGCCCTAAGTTTCTGCCATCAGAGTTGGCATGCCTCACATTCACACTCTGTGAGCTGTGAACAAGTAGGTTCCCAGGGAAGTCTTTATCACACAGCAAATCCCACCTCAAACTTCCACCTCCCACAAAAAGGAACCCTGGAGTTAGGAAATTCTCTCCTCTCTAATGCACAGGAGTTTTCAATTTCCTCAAGCCTGGGGGCGGCCAATACTCAGGCTCTAGGGAAGCAGCTTCCACCCCAAGCACACAAATAGATTTTCCCAACAGAAACAGGTGTTTTGTTGTTGTTTGTTTTTTTGTTGTCGTTTTGTTTTGTTTTTCTGTCAAAAGTATTCTGGTGCCAGCTATAAAGAAAATATAAACTTTCCCGCCTTATAATAGTAGCTACAAAATAAATGTATGTGTTTTCAATGATTTTTAAGGAGATATTATATTAATATTTGGGTATATTTTATCTACAGAAGGTATTGTACTTGGTGTTGTCAACCCTTTACTTAATAATTTTTTAAAAACTACAGATAGGTTGTGTGTGGTGGCTCAAACCTGTAATCCCAGTACTTTGGGAGACTGAGGCAGGAGGATCACTTGAGGCCAGGAATTCAAGACCAGCCTGGCCAACACAGCAAGATCCCATCTCTACAAAAAAATTTAAAAATTAAAAAAAAACTATAGAGAAATTATAAAATGCATGCTCTATTACTTCATGGGTGGTGGTGGAGTCTGCAATCTGCAGTCTTGTGAATAAACATCCCCCAACTGACATTCAAAATATGGGACCAAAGGTAAAATTGAATCACTAAAATCATAGTACAGGTCTGCTTAGGTCAGACCCCACAATATGGAAGCTGTGTCAGTTAGCAGTTGGCATTCCCCCAGGAGTAACAGAAACCCCACGAGAGTGGCTTGAATACAAGAGTTTATTCTCATATAACAGCCCTGACATAGGGAGGCCTTTCAGGAGCCAGTATGGTGGCTTCACATAAAAGCCACACTGGAGTCCTTACGATGCTGTTTCTGCCTCTCCATCCTCAGAGTGTGACCTGTCATCAAGGTCAGCTTGTAGTTTAGGATGGCACGGATCCTCCTCAGCCATCATGTTTGCAAGCTAGGCAGCAGAGAGGGCAAAAGTGAGCAGAACTGGCTTTTTTTTTTTTGGAGACAGTCTCACTCCTTTGCCCAGGCTGGAGTGCAGTGGCACGGTCTTGACTCACTGCAGCCTCTAACTCCTGGGCTCAAGGGATCCTCCCACTTCAGCCTCTGGAGTAGCTGGAACCACAGGCACCTGCCACCATGCCCGGCTAATTTTTGTATTTTTAGTAGAGAAGGGGTTTTGCCATGTTGCCCAGGCTGGTCTCAAACTCCTGGCCTCAAGCAATCCACACACCTCGTTCTCTCAAAGTGCTGGGATTACAGGCGTGAGCCATCAAACCTGGCCTATAGTGTTATTTTATGAGGGTAAAACTGACACGAATGATATAACTCTTAGATCAGTTTACAGTTTTTTTCTTATGGGAAACACAGTCCAACATTGATCCTTTGGATCCATGTAGCTATAATTCATGCATTCGAACTGCTGAATAGCATTCCTTTGTATAATAAGCCACAGTTATCCCTTCCTTACTGAAGGACACTCAGGTTGTTTCCAGTATTTTCTTTTTCTTTTTCTTTTTTTTTTTTGAGACGGAGTTTTGCTCTTGTCGCCCTGGCTGGAGTGCAGTGTTGAAATCTCTGCTCACTGTAGCCTCTGCCTCCTGGGTTCAAGCGATTCTCCAGCCTTGCCTCCTGAGTAGCTGAGATTACAGGCATGCGTCACCATGCCCAGCTAATTTTGTATTTTTAGTAGTATTTTTAGTAATTTTGTATTTTTAGTGGCCAGGCTGGTCTCAAACTCCTGATCTCAGGTGATCCACCGGCCTCATCTTCCCAAAGTGCTGGGATTATAGGCACCTGGCTAAAATTTTCTATTATAAACATTGTTGCAATAAACAATCTCCTTGTACCTGCCTCCTTGAGAGTCTCTCAGATATACATCTAGGAGCTCTCCCAAGATACATGCCTCTTCAAGGTTGATAGGTAGCAACCAATTTCTCTATAAAGATGCAATTTGCATTCCAACCAGTAGTATATGAGTCCCCATTCCTCCCTATCCTCCCAACACTAGGTGGTATTAAAAATTTTCCCCCATCTGCTGAATATGAAATAATTAGTTTTAATCTTCATTTCCTTAATACAAGAAAGATTCAGCATATTTTCCTGTTTATTCATTGCTTTTTCCCTTTTGTAAACATTCAGTTTTCGCCCATATTGCATGTGGATTGCTGTATTTTTCCTTATTAATTTATGTTAGTTCTTTTTTTTTTTTGAGATGGAGTCTCGCTCTGTCGCCCAGGCTGGAGTGCAGTGGCGCGATCTCAGCTCACTGCAAGCTCCACCTCCCGGGTTCACGCCATTCTCCTGCCTCAGCCTCCCGAGTGACTGGGACTACAGGCGCCCGCCACTGCGCCCGGCTAATTTTTTGTATTTTTAGTAGAGACGGGGTTTCACCGTGGTCTCGATCTCCCGACCTCGTGATCCGCCTGCCTGGGCCTCCCAAAGTGCTGGGATTACAGGTGTGAGCCACCGCACCCGGCCAATTTATGTTAGTTCTTAAGGCCGGGCGCGGTGGCTCACACCTATAATCCCAGCACTTTGAGAGGCCGTGGTGGACAGATCACTTGAGGTCAGGAGTTCGAGACCAGCCTGGCCAACATGGTGAAACCCTGTCTCTACTAAAAATAAAAATAAAAAAATTGCCAGGCATGGTGGCGGGTGCCTTTAGTCTCAGCTACTGGGGACGCTGAGGCATGAGAATTGCTTGAACCTGGGAGGTGGATGTTGCAGCGAGCTAAGATTGCACCACTGCACTCCAGTCCGGGCAACAGAGTAAGACCCTGTCTCAAAAAAAAAAAAAAAAATGCTAGTTCTCGTTATTTCTAGATAATAATCCTCTGCCAGTTTTATGTGATGAAAATATCTTCTAGTCTGTGGCTTGTCTCTTACCCTTGTTATGGTGTTATCTGTCATACAGCAGTTTTCTTTTTTAACATACTCGATCTCTACCTGACTTTTCTGTACTGTTTGAGCATTTCAATAATTTTTCAACAAATCCTAATCCTGATATAGACATTCTTCTAATTTTCTTCAAAAGTTTTAATGTTTGATTGACAGAATGTATTTTTATTTTTTATTTATTTATTTTTGAGGCGGACTCTCACTCTGTCGCCCAGGATGGAGTACAGTGGTGTGATCTCGGCTCACTGCAACTTCTGCCTCCTGGTTTCAAGCGATTCTCCTGCCTCAGCCTCCTGCGTAGCTGGGATTACAGACACACACCACAACGTTCAGCTGATTTTTGTATTTGTAGAGACGGGGTTTCACCATGTTGGCCAGACTAATCTCAAACTCCTGACCTCAAGTAATCCACCCACCAAAGCCTCCCAAAGTGCTAGGATTATAGGTGTGAGCCACTGGGCCTGGCCAGAATGTATTTTATTAATGAGGTATTTTATTAAATGAGGTATCGTGTGCATAAGCATTATCCAGCACCGTTTATTGAAGGGTCTATTCTTTTCCTCCTGGTTTGTAATGCCAGCTCTAGACATACCATACTCAGCGTAGTGGTTATCACTCCTTTCTGTTTCATTAGTCTCACACTCTGCATCAGTTCCATATTACTCAAATCACAATAGTTTTCTAGAAAGTCTTGAAAGCTGCAAGGCAAGTTTCTCTCCTTATTCTTCTAAGTCACTTGACTGTTTTTTACTGTGTTAGTCTCCTGTTGCTGTTATAACAAATTACCACCAATTTAGGGGCTGAAAACAACACAAGTTTATTCTCTTACAGTTCTGGAGGTCTGTGTTCCTCCTGGAGGCTCTTAGGAAGCCATGGCCCCGTCTTTTCCAGCTTCTAGAAGCTGCCTACATTTCTGGGCTCGTGGCTCCTTCCCCCTGCTGCAAGGCAGCAGTGCAGCATCTTCTGGTCTCTCTCCGCTCCTCTGGTCACATAGCCTCTTTCTCACTCTGACCATCCCACTTCCCTCCTAGAAGGACCCTAGTGATTGGCCTACACAATAATCCGGGATAATCTCCTCATCTCAAGTCTCTTAATTTAATCACATCTGAAAAGTCTCTTTTGCTATTGTAATGTATCCACAGGTCCAGCCTTTAAGAGGTGGACATTTTCATGGGAGCCATTATTCAGTCACCACACTGGCCTTTTACAATTCACTGTGAGTTTTGAGATGTTTGCTGGGTTCTATGGAAAAAGAAGCCCTGTTAGGGTGTTGATTGGAGTGGTATTGAATTTATAGATTGATTTGAGAATTGACATCTCTAGAATGCTGAGCTTTTCCATTTATAACATGGTTTCTCTATTTAGGCCTTCTTTTGTGCCCTTTAGTAAAGATTTATAATTTTTTCCGTAAAATTGTTGTATAGCCTTTGTTATGTTTATTCCTAGGTGCTGTGTATATGTTTTGCTGTTATGAATAGGATTTTTTACTATTACAATTTCTACTTGTTTTTTGTAGGTATATAGGAATACTATTAAATTTTAATTTACATATTTATCTTTTATTTAGCAACCTTAGTGAATTTTATTTTTCTAACATTTTGTCTGCAGATTCTTTTGAATTTTGTATATGGACATTTTAATCTGTAAATAATGACAACTTAGTTTTTTGTTTTGTTTTTCTTATCTTGTTGCACTAGCTAGGGACTTCATTACAATACTGAATCATGCTTCTAACTATACTAATAAGTAAGCTGGTTGTACACTATCAAGTTTTGGGAGTTCCTATCTGTATTAGTCTGTTCTCACACTGCTATAAAGAAATACCTGAGACTGAGTAATTTATAAACGGAAGAGGTTTAATTGACTCATACATGGCTGGGGAGGACTCAGGAAACTTAACAATCATGGCGGAAGGCAAAAAGGAAGCAAGCACCGTCTTCACAAGGCAACAGGAAAGGGCGTGTGTGAAGGAGAAATTGTCAAACACTTACAAAACCATCAGATCTCTTGAGAACTCCTCACTATCATGAGAACAGCATGGGGGAACCACCCCCATGATTCAATCATCTCCCACCAAGTCCTTCCCTCGACATGTGGGGATTATGGGGATTACAATGCAAGCTGAGATTTGGGTGGGGACACAGCCAAACCACATCACCATCTATTCTTGGTTTGCCAAGAAGTTTATCTTGTAAACGTTTTGACAACAAGAAAGGGTGTTGAACCATAGCTAATGATTTTCTGCATCAAGTGAAATATGTTTTCTTTCTCTTTTTGTATGTTAATCTGTTGATGTGTATTCCTAGGATACCCCTAGTTGATCATACTGTAATATTTTTAATATATAGCTGGATTTAATTTAGTAACATTTTATTTAGATCTTTTGTATATTAGTTTATCAATTAGATTAGCATATACATTTTCTTTTATAATGGACTTTCCTAATTTTACTACAAATGTTATACAAATCTCATAAAATTAGTTAGGTTTCTTTTACTATTTTCTGTAACTGTTTTTTTTTTTTCTAAGATAGGAATCCATACCTTGAAATCTGATAACACTTGCTTGTAAAGCTGAATGACCCTGGTGTTATTTTGTATAATTAATTTTTGTGAATGGTTATACTGTTCACGGTTTCTCTTTTCCCTTGAGTTGGCTTGGAAATTTATGATTTTCTAGAAAAATGGCCCAACTTGTCTAAGTTTTGTCACTGATCGGCATAAAGTTGCTGCCAGAGAGCGGGCTCTGAGATGGACTTGGCATGCACACAAGGTTTCATAGGGATGCTCTTGGGAGGGCAAGAGTCCACGAGTGGGTGAAGGGAGAAACAGCTCCTGTGCTGGCCAAATGACCACCTCATCTGACCCCACAGGGAGCTCAGGAGCTAGACCGACCCTAGGTGTGGTCTGGTGGGGCCACCTGGGTCCATTGCTGGATACAGACCCTTGAGCATCAGGTGAGGCAGCACCCAAAGGGACTGAATTGAAGGCTGTGGGCTGACAGCACTCCCAGCAGCTAAGGGCAAGATCCTGTATGCAGAGGAGCGGGGGTTGTCCCAGTCTTCCCCACAACCACCCCTGCCCGCCAGCTGCTCACATACATTAAGAGAGCAGCTCCTTGGAGGTTCTGGGGAGTGTGGGGGCGCCTCCTCCTGGGGATTTCTTTTTCTTTTTCTTTTTTTAGAGACAGGATCCCACTCTGTCACCCAGGCTGGAATGCAGTGGTGCCATCATAGCTCACTGCAACCTCCAACTCCTGGCCTCAAGGGATCCTCCTGCCTCAGCCTCCCAAGTAGCTGGGACTACAGGTGTATACCACCATACCTAGCCTATGGGAGAATTTAGAAGAGGAAGGTTAATAGAACAAACCACAGCCCTTCCCACCACAGCTGGCCTCAGGCTGCAGTCCACACTCATCGTCTCTTTCCTCTACATCTGTTCCCCATTCATCCATCCCTCAGCCAGCACATCTGCTGTTCTCAGCTGGGATTGCTGCACTTGAGGTGCCCACATGGATCGCCTGGGTGCCAAACATATACTTCCAGTCTGGAGCAGAAGCCTTTCCTCCTCCTGGTAATGGTGGCCAGTCAGTGCCACCAGGAGGGTGACTCCTCTTCCTGCTGCAAGGTCCCTTGGCACAAGGAGATTGAGTGCCCTGGTGGCACCTCCCCTGGCAGAAGTGTCTTCCTGGGACCAGGCCCTTTAGACCTGCAGAACCCAAACTTACAGAGAATGGGAAATGCCGATTCCTTTCCCAACTGGTCCCTGGGGATGAGACAGGCAGGGCCTCTGGTCCCCAGGCCCATGCATTCTTCCCACTGAGCACTGTGTAAAGGTCTTTAAAGTGCAGCCTGTGTCCTGGAGGATGGCACCTTATGCCCTGAAAGTCCTGCCCTGGAGTGGGCACTTCAGCCATGCCTCTATCAGGTCCACTGTTCTGTGGCTTCACTACGGGATCCTGTGTTCCTGGGCCACTCTCCCACCTCCCTTGCTGTAACGTGGTTCCCAGGCCTGATGTGATGTTATGAGGTATCCCATGCCAGAGGATCAAACATTCTGTCTCTGTCCCTTCCAAGGTGGAAGAGGGTCCCTGTCACTGACTTGCCACCTAGTGGCTGGTTCTTCTCCTCCGAGGATAGTGCCAGTGAAGGGACACAGTACTGGTCTCTGTGGTTGGCAGATTGGATATTCAGTTGCATACATTGCTAGATTAGCTTGGAGAGTAGACGTATTAGTTCCATATTGCTGCATAACAATCCCCAAACTTAGAGGCTTAACACAGCATTTATTATCTCACAGTTTCTGTAAATCAGGAATCCGGCCCTGGCTTAACCGGGTCCTCTAACTAAGGGTCTTTCACAGGCTACAGTCAACATACTGGCCAGGGGCTGGACGCGGCGGCTCACACCTGTAATCTTAGCACTTTGGGAGGCCGAGGTGGGAGGACTGTTTGAAGCCATGAGTTCGAGAATAGCCTGGGCATTATTTTCATTTAAAAATTTAAAAATTAGCCAGGTATGGCAATGGACACCTGTAGTCCCAGCTACTCGGGAGGCTGAGGTGGGAGGATCACTTGAGCCCAGGAGTCTGAGACTGCAATGAGCTATGATTGCACCACTGCACTCCAGCCTGGGCGACAGAGTGAGACCTAGTCTTTAAAAGAAAAACAATAATAATAATAATAAATAAAACCAAAGTATTGGTTAACTATAAATGGGAGTGAACAATCTTACTGGGGTGATGGAAATGTTCTAAATCTGTATTGTGGTGATGATTATACAACTTGGTAAATTTGTTAAAAATCATTGAGTTGTACAGGTAAAATGGGTGAATTTTATGGTGTAAAAGTTATACCTCAGTTAAGTTACACATACACACCACATTAGTTATAATGCTCTGTACAACCACAGAATGTCAGCAAAGACAGCTATGAAGGATTTTTTTCATAAACCAAATTTTCCAATGAAAATGCCACCAACCACTAGATGTAGCTGCCTTTTCACGACAAGAAGGCCTTTGTTCTGGGTCTCAGGGACTTGAAGTTATCAAACGTCAGGAATAAGGAAATATTTTCAAGTATCAGCTTATTCAAATCGATCATGATTGAGCCTATCAAATCATTTTATCCTTGGGTACAATTTATATTCCTGGGGTGATGAGTGCACTAGCATTTCCAGACTTCACCACTATACAATTCATTCATGAAACCAAAAACCACTTATACTCCAAAAGCTATTGAAATAAAAAATATATATTTAAAATCAGTTTATCCATTGTATATACAATTTTAAAACTCACACCATAATAAATTTTAATAAGCAAACTGGAAATGCATTCCTATCAAAACTATTAAAACTATTTTAAATTAGCCTTATACAGGTTATATATTTGTTTTGTTTTGAGACAGAGTATCACTCTGTCACCCAGGCTGGAGTACAACAGTGTGATCTCGGCTCACTGCAACCTCCGCCTCCCAGGTTTAAGCGATTCTTTTGCCTCAGGCTCCTACGTAGCTGGGAATACAGGGAAGCACCACCATGCCTGGCTTACTTTTTGTATTTTTAGTGGAGATGAGGTTTCACCATGTTGGCCAGGCTAGTCTCGAACTTCTGACCTCAATTGATCTACCCGCCCCAGCCTCCCAAATTGCTCAGATTACAGGCATGAGCCACCGTGCCCAGCCTGGTTATATATTTTGGTAAACATTTTTTATAAACTTTGATTTTTATGACATATTTCACATCTACAAAATGTATAATTTTATATTATTTATTTTCCTCCAGCTTTATTAAAGGGTAATTGAAAAAATTTTAAAATGTACTTTAAAATGTACATTTTAAAATATTTTTGTACATTTTAAAAGTACATTTAAAAGTACATTTTAAAAGTACATTTAAAAGTACGTTTTAAAAGTACTTTTAAAATTTTTTCAATTTAATTGTTTTTCTGCTAAGAAAAATATGTGTGAATAAAACCTTTCAAATAACATGGAAAAATCTTCTAAAGAAAATATAGCCTCTCCCTTCATTACTTCAGTTCTTTCAAGAATATTAAAATAATAAACTGGGTTACAGGACAGTAACCCTCCTAATGTACACTGAAAACCACAACCTTTTCTAAGCCAGTGATAATTTCTGTTAACTTGGTGCGGCCCTGTTAGGTTGAGAAGGGCAGAGGAAACTCCTGCGGTGGAAAATTTTCATTCAGTCACAGTTTTGGTGCATTTATAAATAACATAAGTAAAACAAAATTTGCCCAAGTAAAGTCTTCATGTGTGAAAATCTTAATCCAGTTACCAGAATCAAAGTAGATGTCCCTGCCTTCATCACAGGCCAGTTTCAGCCTAAGGCTTTTTTCTCTTAAATGCTGGGCAATCCTCAGAATGGATTATTAAAAATATTGATGTTGAAGACATTCTGAAAGATAATTTTATAGGTTCATGACCTGATACTAAGAATCTAGAAGCTGTGTTCACAGGGATGAGGTAACAAATAAGATCTGATGAACTCTTCTTTGAAATTTACATTTCACTGTGAATTTCATCACAGTGTCACAAATGTCAAGGTCAATGTGGAGAAAACAGAGGTTCCCAATCAAACAGAGGTCAAATGACCTTGCCAAAGCGACACAGGGAGTTTTAACAGAAAAGCTAGGACCAGAACCCAGGTCTGGTGGCTGTCAGCCATGGTTCCTCGAGCCAAGCACACACCCACTGTTCATTCTGCTCTTCACAGCGCCTGTAGCTTTGGACTTTGTTCTTTTGTTTCTGTAGTTCTTTTTATCCAGGATGGATTTTTAAGAACATAGGTAATCACTGCCTGACTCATTTTAAAATGAAAATCATGAAACAGGGGTGTCTGGGATACTAAATGCTCTAGAAGTATTCAAGTAATTGATTGTAGTGAAAATCCCTAAGAAACCACAGCTAATCTCAATGTGCTTTGGTGCGTGAAGTCCATACCAGCTGTGGAAGAGTTCCCATAGATTTTCTGCTAAGCCCCTCCAGCAACTCAGTCTTCTTTCTCTATTGTTACATGGGGTGTTCCCTCTATGAAACCCTCTGCTGGTACTCCAACCTCCCCTCCCTGCCCCACCAAACTGCCACAATCCTGTATTCCTGGAGCAACAGCAACCCAGCATTTAATGATATTAAGTCAGGTTACTTGAATAGAAAGACTAATAGGTTAGGCATGTTATACCCTTGATAAGGTAGATTTGTCTTCTACCCTTCTAGGTCTAAACTCCAATAAAATCCAGCTGGGTTACATCAATTCAGACATCTGGATAAAAGGATGAATGAAACCATGTACATAATACAGAATTATGCATGCCAGGAAAAAAAATTATACTGCCTAAAAGCTGCAACCTTCATGACATCAAATCTATTTTAACACTGGCTGGTTATGTGAGGAAAAGGCTAATAAAAAAAAATTCTGGCTGACCAAAGAAGTATGTATGTATGTATGTGTATTTATTTTTAAATTAATATTGAGATGGATTAATGTTCTAAAATTTGGAATTTCTAACATTATCTTATTCATAATATCATATATCAAAAGTCTCTGAATAGAAATTGTTCAAAGGCATATAATCTAATTATCATTACCATGTCACTAATCTAACCTCTAAGTAATTGCTAAATGCCATCAGCACCTTCATCTCCAATTACATTTTCATGATATTTCAAGCTACAATAACAAAACAGATGCTGATCTCGGCATTACTAAGCAACAGGATATGTATACTTTTTAGAGTGTGAAAATATCACTGCTCTCCCACAGTTAATGATACTTATTTTCCAAGAACTTCTAGTGATATGATTATGCTCATCCAATTCCCATGAGGCCAACACTGTGATCACAGGTTACGATAAGAACTAAAATGCCACCCACAGCCATGTCTGAGTGACACGCAAAACGCTTTGAAACTCTTTTCCACTAGGTTTTTTTTTTTTTTTTTGAGACAGAGCCTCACTCTGTCACCCAGGCTGGAGTGCAGTGGCGTGATCTCAGCTCACTGCAAGCGATTATCCTGCTTCAGCTTCCCCAGTAGCTGGAACTACAAGCGCGTACCACCACATCCAGCTAATTTTTGTATTTTTAGTAGAGATGGGGTTTTGCCATGTTGGCCAGGCTGGTCTCGAACTCCTAACCTCAAGTGATCCACCTGGCTCGGCCTCCCAAAGTGCTGGGATTATAGGTGTGAGCCACCGCGCCTGGCCTCATTTTCCACTATGTTCTAACCACCTAAAATAACCCCTCATATGCAGTTAAAGCAAAACCGGTAATTTTGCTGAGAAAAGATGGATTCATTTTAAAGTCACTTACTTGCTAAAACTATGTGGCCTGGAAGTAATGTCTAAAGTTCTTATGTCAAATAATTCAATCTATTTGCAATTAACTGTGTACTCTTAGAGAAAACTCTATAGTTTAAGGATTCCCAAACCTTGTCAAATTATTGCCCCTCCCCCACAGTTAACCCAAGACTCCCCAGAGTTACTGTGAATATAATTCACCAAACTAGATCAGAGAAAACTGCCCTTAATCCCTTGCCCCCATAGGGCTTGGCATACACTTGGAGAGTCCATGGCAGAAAAGAAATACCACCCGTTGAGTTTTGAAATGTTCACAGACTAATGTTTCTAAGAAAATACGCCGTTTGGAAGTCACACATACACTAGGTGGCGCTGTGGCTGTGACATTAAACAGTCTGTGTGCTGGATAAATGCTGGGTAAGAGCATCCATGACTTAAAGGAAAATTAGGCTAGGCCCAACCCCAGATCATAGAGTTCAGTGTTCTCCAACACTAGAGTGCTTCAGAAACATGCCAGGAACTTGAGCCTGGCGTGGTGGTGGCACATGCCTGTGGTCCCAGCTATTCCGGGGGCTGAGGCAGGAGGATCGCTTCAGCTCAGGAGGTGGAGGCTGAGGTGATCTGTGATTGTGCCACTGCACTCCAGCAGGGGCAACAGAGCAAGACCCTGTCTCAAAAACAAACAAACAAACATGCAAGGAACTGGTTAAAAATACAAATTCCCAGACCTACTGAATGAAAATTCCAGAGGTATGGAACACAAAACAGAAGACACAAACAGGCACACTCATGCTATCCTCTCCCGGGCAGCCCACTTTCATCCAAAGCCTCCTTATTTGGGCTTCTCACCTCCTCAAAAGTCTATCAGTAGTGGCTGGGCTTAGTGGCTTATGTCTGTAATCCCAGCACTTTGGGAGGCCAAGGCGGGTGGATCCCCTGAGGTCAGGAGTTCGAGACCAGCCTGGGCAATATGGCGAAACCCTGTCTCTACTAAAAATACGAAAATTAGCTCAGTGTGGTGGCATGTGCCTGTAGTCCCAGCTACTCATGAGGCTGAGGCAGGAGGATCACTTGAACTCGAGAGGCGGAGGTTGCAGTGAGCCGAGATTGCACTACTGCACTCCAGCCTGGGCGACAGAGCAAGACTCTGTCTCAAAAAAAAAAAAAAAAAAAAAAAAAAAAAAAAAAAAAGGGTATCAATAGTAAACTGTGTTTTAAAAGGTAGGGTTCATTCCTAAGTTAAGCCTCACGCTGGTCTGCTGTAAGTCAGCGCTTCTGAGAGCTCCACAAACGTTGAAAGCAAGAGCTCTTGTACATCTTGTTAACAGCCTTTTGTCCTAGAAAATGACTGAACCACAGGTCAAGCATCCTTCATAAAGTGAGGTGGCTGAGATAGATCTGGCAGAGTTCCTGTGTCCTCCAGCTGTCACAGAGACCAGCTGGACTTTTGCATAGTAAGTGACGGGGTTTTCCTTCCAGCTTCCGTCCATTCAAACCACAGGGACAAATCCTTCCTCAGAAAGCTATGCTGCACAAAAGCTGGTTGAAAATCCAGTTTATAGAAAAATAGAGGCATCACAGTAATATAAAGATTATCACACTAGTTCAGAGATCTGAGTATTTCTAGTCTATTGTCAATAGCTGGCAATATTTAAGTAAATCAATCTGAAATTTGGTTTTCTTGTCTATAAAATGAAAGGAGTAAATTACACCTGTTGGTCAGTCTCAGTGGCTCATGCCTGTAACCCCAGCACTTTGGGAGGCCAAGGCAGGTGGATTACTTGAGCCTAGGAATTCAAGATCAGCCTGGACAACATGGCAAAACCCCGTCTCTACAAAAAAACACAAAAATTAGCCAAGCGTAGTGGCGCGTGCCTGTAGTTCCAGCTCCTTGGGAGGCTGAGGTGGGAGAATCGCTTGAGCCTGGGAGGCGGAGGTTGCAGTAAGCCAAGATCGTACCACTGCACTTCAGCCTGGGTGACCGAGCATGAGACTTTGTCTCAAAAAATAAATAAATAAAAATTAAAAAATTACACCGGTGAGACCTCTTTTAGCTGTAAGATTCTATTTCAATGAGCATAACTGTGACTTTGATGTTCCAATAGCTAGCTAGTCCTTAGTCCTTAAACTGTAGAGTCATTTTTTCCTGATCAGCATCAGGGATTTGAAAAACCAGAGAGGAGCGAAAATGTGCTTTTGTGCATTTGAACAGGAAGGTCTGGGTGTTCCCACACATAGCCACTCAGAGCCACAGAGCTCTCTCTCTCTGCAGCCACCACCTGCTTGAGTCATTGCCAGCAAGTGTTTCTTAACACTTTCCTGCCTTTGGGTCCAGACTGGGTGAGAACCGCCAGGACAGAGGCTTGCTGTCCTGGTTCTGCACTTGGTCCTGAGCCATGTGACCTTTGGCAAGCTACTGAACTTCTCTCCAAGCTTGCTTCCTCATCTGCAAAATGAGGATAATGGTAACAGCATCAACACTTGTTGGGCTGCTAGGAGAATTAAATGTGGAAGCCCCTTGGCGCAGGGTGAGCACTCTGTACACGGTAGCTGTTATTCTTGACTGCCATGACTACGTGGCTGTAGCATCTGTGGAGCTACATACACACCTGGAAGAAAGCAAGCCCAGGATGGTAACGTCAGGGTTGCCACAGCCCTAGGTCCCAAAGCTGCCCTGTCTCCTCCTGGACTTCTTACAAATGCAGCCTCACTTATTGACTTGAAGGAGTGAATGAACATGCTGACTCCCATGTTGCTTTCTGGAAACTCCGCATCACATGGCCCTGAAGATGGGACAACTTAAGGATACAGACAACATGATCAATGAATCATGTATGTATCGTAGCTGGGACTACAGGTGTGCACCACCATGCTTGGCTAATTTGCTTAATTTTTTTTTTTTTTTTTTTGTGGAGACAGAGTCCCACCATGTTGTCCAGGCTGGTCTTTAATTCTTAGCTTCAGGCAATCCTCCTGCCCCAGCCTCCTAAGGTGCTGGGATTACAGGTGTGAGCCACCATGCCCAGCCAAGAAAATGGATTTATATAGAAAAAACCTTCCCACAAAGCATAAAGATTAAAATATACCATGCTTGAGTAGTTCAGAATCAAGTCTGTGTCTTTAAGATGACCTTAGAAAAGATGAATCATGGCCAGCGTGGTTGCTCACGCCTGTAATCCCAGCACTTTGGGAGGCCGAGGTGGGTGGATCACCTGAGGTCAGGAGTTCAAGACCAGCCTGGGCAACATGGCAAAACCCTGTTTCTACTAAAAATACAAAAATTAGATGGGCGTAGTGGCACACACCTGTAATCCCAGCTACTCGGGAGGCTGAGGCAGGACAATCACTTGAACCCAGAGGGCAGAGGCTGCAGTGAGCCAAGATCGTGCCACTGCACTCCAGCCTGGCACATCTAAACTTCTGAGAACCATGGTATACTACCATACGACAGTCATTGCATTACAGCCAGCCAACTGGCAACAGCTCTGCCTGCCTCACACGTCAAAGCGGCCTAATTATTTTTGGTGTAGACTAGAACAATCAAGTTGGTTTCACAAGTCATGATATTTTTTAAAGGTGTACTGTTAGGCACATGGGAAATAGCATGTTTTGGACGTAAGTTTCTTCATATGAAGAAAACTGAGAAGTGTGGTTGAACAAGGAATGAGGCATCTGGCACTCAAACAGCTGCCGTTCATGCACAGTATGTTGCTGATGTCCATGTTCTCAGTTTCAGGCATGCCTCATGGTCACACGTTTAAATACTAGCAGGAGTTCATTTTCTTAATGTTCCCATCTCACATGACTTAGTGTTATGAAGTACCTAGTTACACAGGACAGAGAAGGTATGCAGTCCCCTAACCTTGGAGCAGGAATTTCTATACCCAGCAGTCCAGATGAAACTTTTAGGGTTCAAAGAAAGACACACGCAGTGAGAACTCGATCCCACACGCACAGGTGCGCGGGGAGCTCCAGATCCCACACGCACGGGTGTGAGGAGCGCTGTGGATCCCACACGCCCGGGTGTGGGGAGAGCTGTGGATCCCACGCGCACGGGTGTGCGGGGAGCTCCGGATCCCACGCGCACGGGTGTGGGAGCGCTGTGGATCCCACGCGCAAGGGTGTGCGAGATGTGCAACGTTCCCCCCTGCAAAGCTTCCCCTACTGCAGGTTCTGTTGAGGGAGAGGTCGTAGGCAGTATCTGCTGTAAGGCTGAAAGCACTGCTGTCAAATCGTGCTATTTTGGTAGCAGAAGCTTGGCTTCAGGGATACATTTCATGAGCAAGAATAAGAGTTCCCATGCAGGTCTGGGAGCATGGCTCAAGCCCCAGCCTGTCACAAGCTGTTCCTCACTTCTTGTACAGGGTAAGTGCTCAGTCCCAGTGCCAGACGTCCCCAGTGTCTACAAGCCACTCTTCCAGAAGCCCAGTTTTATTCGACATTGATGGCCATATGCTTCCCCAAAGCCTGGAAGATCCTCAACCCTAGGGGCTGAATCCTCATGAGCAACCCAGTGCCTTTCAGCCCAGTCTTTGGGCTGGGAGGTGGAGCTTGCAGTGAGCCGAGATCACACCACTGCACCCCAGCCTGGGCAACAGAGTGAGACTCCGTCTCAAAAAAACAACAAAAAACAAAGAAAAAAGCAGTATCCCCCCAAAAAGGGTGCTGTCTTTTCCATTTCTGATGCCTGGGACTGTGGCAGCAATATTAAGGTCGGGGAACCAGCAGGTAGAGGGAAAAGAATGAGGAGGAAGGATCTGGTCGTGATGCCATCGTTGTCACTAAATTAGCAAGCCTGGGATTTCTTACCACTAGACTTCTTGTTTTGCAAGGTAGTGTATTTCCTTATTGTTTAAACCACTGGGTTTGGGAAGGGGGGCTTCTGTTGCTGGTGGTCCCAAGTAATTGGATAGTCCCTTTCCTCTAAAATAATATAACCTATTTTGCAGACTAGAGTACACACAGGCATGCGCACACATTGCTTCTGTCTTCCCCTGATTTTTAAATGAAACTAGCTCTTGGGTGAGAACTCACTTGGCCTCCCTCTGTCCTCCAGACCCAAGCTCCTTGGAGCAGTGTGTGTGCTCTGTATTCCCGAAGTACCCACCCCACGCCCCAGCACTGTCAATCACTTCAAGGCCCAGTTCAAAATCCACTTCCCACATAAAGTCTCCTGTTTAACCCCCAGCTGCATCTTTCTAGAATTCTAACATGTAGCGTGCATCGTCTCCAACTTTGTACATCTTGCCTGCTGATCCTCGTGTCCCCTCTGTGTGTCCACCCACCCCAGCCACACCACTGGCGCACAGCAACTGACTGGGCAGATGAGTGAATGCAAGGTCCTACTGTCCTGCACCTGAAACCTGGAGTTTTCCTTTCCTTTTTCTTCCTTGACTTCTTTCCTCATCTTCTCTGTAGAAGAGAAGACAAAAATTGAGATAAAAGAAATTTAGGCCGGGTGCGGTGGCTCGCACCTGTAATCCCAGCACTTTGGGAGGCCAAGGCAGGTGGATTACTTGAGGCCAGGAGTTCGAGCCTAGCCTGGCCAACATGGTGAAACCTCATCTCTACTAAAAATAGAAAAATCAGCTGGGTGTAGTGGTGTACGCCTGTAATCTCAGCTACTCGGGAGGCTGAGGCAGAAGAATTGTTTGAACCCGGGAGGCGGAGGTTGTGGTGAGTTGAGATCACGCCACTGCACTCCAGCCTGAGTGACAAACCAAGACTCTGTCTTAAAAGAAAAAAAGAAAAAAGAAATTCAGAGCTCCGACTCTGAAGGAAGAATAAATATTTTTAAAGAAAGCCAACAATGACATGCCCTACTTACTGGGAGTGACAGATAAGGGAAAGAATTCCAGTGGTACAGGGAAAGCAGCAGCTGGATGCTCCGCAAACCAGCTCCCAATTTTCTGTCTCCCACCACACACTGATCAGATCCACTCTTGAAACTGGGGGGTGGGGCAGGGACATCCTTAAAGCAGAAGTCACAGCAGGAAACACAGCAGAGTCCACCACGCGGCAGACAATCAAGAAACGTCAGGGAATGAGGGGACACAGCATCCTGTGGTGAGGGCTTTGGGCTTGTTCCCTGAAGCTTTTTATTATAAAAACAAGATGAAACATAGATCACATTGCAGTCTCGATTGTAATGAACCTCAGCTGAATGTGCCGACAGCGGAGTATCTGATCTAATGTGGACTTTGAAGCATTTTGAAATGAAAAAATCTTGGGATGTTTTTGTTTTTAAAATTCCTGTGGTTGTTCGCTAAATGGCAAAATAGGGGGCCACCAGCCGGACAGCTCCAGACCACCTACAGAAAGAAAGTCTCAGGCCATTATGAAGGCCGAAACGCTAACAGCCATCTTCTTCTGGGTGCACAGCCCTGCGGCCATCCCCACCGTGAGATGGTAGAAAGGGCGCGTGCAAGGATCAGCACCCAGTGTAGAAACTGACTTGTACCCCGAAGGTATGCAATGCGATCCCAACAGGCTCATTCCAGATATAAAAAATATGTCATCACTTTCATTAGGTAATATTAAACCAACACTAAGAACTTCTGCAAGATCTTTTATATTACACAGTAGAGTTAAAAACTGTAGTAAATGTTCAGATATTTAAATGAGCACCAAACACTACAAAGTGCAACCAACATGGTTCTATTAAAAACTCTCTTTGACTATGGCATTCAAGGACAGCAATACAATCTTTTTTTTTTTAACAAAGCAACTAATATAAAAATCTGCAAATGCCATATATTCATATCTAGGCTATTCTTCTCATATAGGCATGTCATTAGATAGACTTTCTTTCTATTCTTTCCTGAGGTATTTTTTTGTGGTTTACTTTTATTGTACTGCTGGATGCATTATTTTTGATCATCCTTTCCTAAAATGATTTAAAGACCTGCAAATAATTTTATTGCATAGGACACTATTGATGACACATAGAATGGGAGCTGCAAGTATGTGGCATTGGAACAAGCCTTACAAATATTGCATTTTAAGAATACACACATTTTTTACAGTTTGTCTCTTTTAAAAAATTTGAAGTTATAGCTACGACTTAACTACGTACAGTGAAGCATTTTAGGAATGTTAAGTGATTAAAGAAGAAGATGAATGATACAAAGAAAAGAAGCCACCATTCTTGCCAGCTATATATTGTATTCCTTCAAAAGCAACTATACATGCTGCCTTCAGTTCATAGTTAAATATTTCTAGTAATCTGTTTTGGGAGAACAAATGTCTTTCAAGGTTTCAAGTTCCTCTATAAGCTTCTTGTTCTGGACTTCCAGCACTGCAACTCGGCTCTCCAGACATTTTACATATTCTTTCTTTCGACGTCGACATTCTTTGGCAGCTTCCCTGAAAAAAAGCAGAAGCAAAGGGCAAACAAAGCATTTTTTGCATGCTATTGACAAACAGATCAAAGTAAGCTCGGTAAGTGTGATCACGGCTGCATTCCACATCCTGGAACAACATTCCCAATTCAATTTCAAACACTAATCCAAACTGGATTCTTAAGGGTCACACGTGTCCTTCCCACAAGTCCACATGGCAATAAGTAGGACTGCTGCATCTCCTGCCTTGATTAGAGTAAACAAGGTCCAAGTCAAAGACAGTTACTCTACTTTATGGCAATAAAGATCTTTGAGGGCCTTGAGTTCCTCAATGAGAGTCTTGTTTTGGTTTTCAAGCACAGCCACACGATTTTCAAGACATTTGACATATTCTTTCTTCTTCCTGCGACACTCCCGGGCAGCTTCCCTGGAAGCAACACAAGGCAAATGACTACAGGAACAGCCTTCCAACACAATCCACAGTGGGTCAGTGCACTTCTGCCCCCCGAACTCAACAGCCAATCGATCCTAGGTAAGGACTGTACAAAGCCACATAACAAACATAACCAGGCACATGCTTTTTGTAAGATAACCATTAGACAACAGGAATGATTTGAGAACACAGTTCGCCCAGCATTCATCACAAATGGTGTTTTCTTAGGGCACACATTCCACTGGTAACAATGCCCACAACTGTTTTCAGTAAACTACAATAGGACCACATCCCCAAGTGGAATTTCTACAAACACATTTATAGATCCTTTCAATTCTCTTAATTATTTTTGTCTCCCAAAAGGCACATACTCCGACATAATGAGTTAATTTTATTCGATCAAAAATGATTATAAGAATTAATCCTCAAAAACCTTAAATATCAACACTGGAGATTTTTAGTCTTCAAAACTAAATCTCAGTAAAACAAGATCAATCATGACTGCAAGACACAGTTTATTGGCTAGAAAACACACATGGATAAATCATAACAATAAACAAAAGATGTGCATTTTTATAAACCGAAATGAAATGGACAGTGCTTCTGAAAATTAAAGAAGGGGGCTACAAAATACAACACTCAATAACTCAGACAATTTAAACCCACAAATGTGAGACCACCACAATTAAAATTATAAAAAAGAAGCTACTGAGTAACTCTGGGCATATTTCAAGACTGTTTCCTAATCACATGCATTTAATATCCAATATATTGAATTTTAAAGCACTATAAGCCCAAAATGAAAGAACAGACCAGTAGCCAAAGCAACAACACAAACAGATGAGTTGACTTAGTCATTTTCATACATAACCCCACCAAAACAATAAATAGAGCCAACATTTTCTCTTTTTCTTTTTTTCAGGGTGGGAGGGATGGCAACCACTTCCCTTAACTCCTATGTAGAAGACACCCTTTAATTGGCCTCATTTTGGAGGATTCAATTCCAGAATAACTGCCTTTGAGGTAGATCACCCTTCATGTCAAAAAAGCCTGCACTGAAACAGACACTATCATTCAAATATGTTAAAAAAAGCAGTGTTGAATGTCTAAACACCAGTTTCTGTAATGCCAGCTAGCATCCTGAACCACATGTGATGTATACATGATTTTTTTTTTTTTTTTAAGATAGCTGACTCTCACTGAGTGGATATCTGTGTTTTCACTATGGAAGCAAGAGTCAGCAAAGAAGAACCTTCAATCCAAATGAACTGCAGGAAAAGATCAACCCCTGCTTCCTAGCCAGGAACAATGGACTCACCCTGTGAACATACAAAGTTCTCAGACTTCTCAGCTGGTTAACAAAAGAAATTTAAAATGTAAAATTGAAAAGAATGTTATAGTGACTAATTTAATCTAAATGATGCAATTGGAAAAGTTAAGAATAAATCCAAACACACACATTTGCCAATTTGGGGACATAATTTAACTCTTTTCCACAAAGGCACTGAAATTCATTTATGAATACCAACGTTTTCATGATTAAATTATATTAAATTCTAGACCTAGAAGGAAGATAGTCATTTTACAAAACATGGTTACCATTAAATGAAAAATTTAAAGACCTAATAGCGGTGTTGCGGGTGTTTAAACATTTTCTTTAATAAGCTATTATAAATACTCATACTTCATCTTCTACATTTGAGTGTGCATGTGTGTGTGTGCATGCACAGACACACATATTACTAGAGTCAAAATGTTGCAGGCACAAAGCTTTCCCCGATCACATCAGTAGATGGTACATTCCTAAGCACTCCTCAGCCATGGAAAACACCTGTTTCTTCTATTAATAGTGAGCTCGGTTTTCAGGCTTGCATGTGTCTGGGTGTATCCTCAGCACGGAGAGGAAGTGCAAGGCAAGGAAGAAACTCTGACAAGGCTGGAAAGAAATAAAAACTGTTGCTGGATTGGCAGAAATACGATATAATGAGATATCGATTATAGATGCCAATCAAAGAATAAAAAGAAAATATGTAAGAGATCTATCTGTGAATGACTAAAGCCTCACACTTCCCCAGGAAGTGAAATTTGCAGGTTATCATGGGGTATTTTTGAGATGCCTGATGCTGGTATAGAGGACAGGCTCTGGAATAAAGACTGCCCGGTTGCCCATCCTGGTTCTGCCCAGTTTGGGCCATGTGATCTTGACCAACTTATTCCTTAACATCTCTGAACTTCTGGTCCTCATCTGTAAACTGGGCATAATAATCACCTATTCTCATGTAAGCATTAAACACACAGTAGAAATAAAGCACTTAAAATCTGCTAAACAGATAATGAGCAACCTAACAGCCAGGTATCATCTGCATTTCTCTTGTCTTGCTCTGAAACTGAGATTTAGAAAGCGAAAATAAACCTTTCTCAGAATCCTGTACAGCTAGGGACTAAAGACCTATTTCTAGCCAATGAAATGTAGGTGAAAGTTGCTGGGAGGATCTTCCAGGAAAGGTTTGCAGTTGGGCCAGACCTCAGCTAGCCCCAATTTTTGGCTCTAGCCCTTCTTCCTGTCTGAGGCAATGCCTAGAGGTTCAGTAGCCGCGCTGTGATCATGAGAATGAATGATACATGCTGAAGATGACACAGCCGGGAGCGGGAGTCTGGGCCCTTGATAACACTGCTGAATCTCTGTCCTGGCTGCACACAATGAGGACATTATTTGACATTAGGACTAAGGTGACAAGACTACTGGGAAACTCTAAGACAATTCTGTTCCTTTTGAAAATCAGATTAATTTGCACCATTATTCATAATAAAAACTAAACCAATAAATAATATACAAGTTAAATAAAATTTTATTTATGTTTAAATTTTTAAAAAGTTTTAGAAAATAGCATTTTATAATATGTTGCTTAAAAATAAAATGACAGAGATATGGAGCAAGAAAAAGTGAGAGAAAATGAGAGCTGACTGGAAGTACATAGACTATAATAGGAGGTATCCTAAGTGGTTAGAGCCATGGATGATTTTAATTCTTTTTGTTATTTTGTATTTGCACTTGACTAGAATTTATCAGATTAAATATGTATTTCAGTGTAATAGAGGAAAAAAAGTTAAAAAATAGACAAAAGGAAACTACATGTAGAAAATGTCGAAAAGTAACGCCTCACTTACACTTCATTTTTCTCAGAGAGAAGCTAAAAAATTCGACTTATCACCTACTTCACAGCAAATACTAAATACAAAATAGCTCTTTGTTTCTAACAAAGTCCTTTAATCATTATTTTTAAAAATTACTGTATCTTTTGGACATCACCCTTACAACATAGGGATGTAACTCCTGCTGATGAAATAGTTTAACAGCCAGGAATTCTGACTGGAAGACAATCTAATAACACACACAGAGCACAAACCTACATGAAATGCCACACAACATGTAACTTGGGAGAAATGGCTTATGAAAACTGTAATTTTTTTTTTTTAAGACGGAGTCTCACTGTCACCCAGGCTGCAGTCCAGTGGCGCGACCTCAGCTCACTGCAAGCTCCGCCTTCCGGGTTCAAGTGATTCTCTTGCCTCAGCCTCCCGAGTAGCTGGGATTACAGGTGCACACCACCACACCCAGCTAATTTTTGTATTTTTAGTAGAGACAGGGTTTCGTCATATTGGCCAGGATGGTCTCAATCTCTTGACCTTGTGATCTGCCCGCCTTGACCTCCCAAAGTGCTGGGATTACAGGCGGGAGCCACTGCGCCCAGCTGAAAACTGTAATTTTTATTTTTATTTTTATTTATTGATATTATTTTTATCATTATTTTATTATCATTTATTAATATTTAATATTGTTTTATTATTTTTTTGAGATGGAGTCTCGCTCTGTCGCCCAGGCTGGAGTGCAGTGGCACGATCTTGGCTCACTGCAACCTCCGCCTCCCAGGTTCATGCCATTGTCCTGCCTCAGCCTCCCAAGTGGCTGGGACTACAGGCACCTGCCACCACGCCCGGCGAATTTTTTTGTATTTTTTAGTAGAGATGGGGTTTCACCGTGTTAGCCAGGATGGTCTTGATCTCCTGACCCTGTGATCCGCCTGCCTTGGCCTCCCAAAGTGCTGGGATTACAGGCGTGAGCCACTGCGCCCGGTGAAAACTGTAATTTTTAAAAAGTGTCCTAGAAGTTACCGATTCCCTGTGCAACACCTCACCTGTTTTTCATTAGCCTCAGCTCTCGTTTGCGTGTTGCTTCTTCTGCCAGCTGCTGGGGACTGTGCAAACTTCCGGGCGATGCAGCCATCACCACTCCCTGTGGCAAAGCAGCAGTAGGAGCTCGGATCTGGTAAGTTGGCATGTCACCAGTGGCAGCTGCAGTAAAACAAAATATTTTGAGCTTATATAAAGAATTCATAATTTGGCATTTTACATAAAACTGATCTGGAAATGATATACTTTTGACATCTCATAAGAGGTGATCTTGTAATGTTTAAGATAATTATTCTGAGCATTATAGCAATCTCAAGTATTAAAGATCTTCTTCAGCACTTAGAACAATGATATTTAGCATGCTCTAAACACTTAAGGTAGAAAAGCATCCTAATGCATTTTAGACAGGTTTTTATCAAAGGCAAAAGCTTAAGATGCTCATTTAGCTTAAAGTCAGTGGTGTGCTAATAAATATTTAAGAAACAGTCCTCAGGACAAAACAATGAAAAAGCCCTGATGTGTAGTGTTCAGTAATTCTCACGATGTAAATACTTCCACCATGGCCAGTTTCAAGCTACCAAGGTGACTTTCCTGAGCGTAGAGTTGGAAAGACACACACGTGGTAAGCAGCACAGCATACAGACAAAACAGATGCCAATACCCACAGAGCACAGAGAAAATACTTGGAAATTATGAGTTTTGAGTACTAATGTTTTTAATGTGTAAATTGTGTATGTGTATGTATATATGCATATATATATGCATGTATATATATACATATTTATACACACACATATTTTTTTTTTTTTGAGACGGAGTCTCGCTCTGTCGCCCAGGCTGGAGTGCAGTGGCGCGATCTTGGCTCACTGCAAGCTCCGCCTCCTGGGTTCATGCCATTCTCCTGCCTCAGCCTCCCGAGTAGCTGGGACTACAGGCGCCTGCCACCACGCCTGGCTAATTTTTTGTATTTTTAGTAGAGACGGGGTTTCACCGTGTTAGCCAGGATGGTCTCAATCTCCTGACCTCGTGATCCTCCCACCTTGGCCTCCCAAAGTGCTGGGATTACAGGTGTGAGCCATCGCGCCTGGCTTTTTTTTTTAGACAGAGTCTCACTAAGTGGCTCCAGGCTGGAGTGCAGTGGTGTAATCTTGGCTCACTGTAACCTCCACCTCCCCAGTTCAAGCGATTCTTGTACCTCAGCCTCCCAAGTAGCTGGGATTACAGGCGTGCACCACGACACCTGGCTAATTTTGTATTTTTAGTAGAGATGGTGTTTTGCCATGTTGGCCAGGCTGGTCTTGAACTCCTGACCTCAAGTGATCTGCCTGCCTCAACCTCGCAAAGTGTTGGGATTACAGGCGTGAGCCACCACGCCCGGCCTGAAAATTTAATAATAGGCTCTAGCAAGCCAGGAGGAGCTGACTGTAGCACACCACTGCAAAAATTTCCATTAAGCAGAATATCTCCATCCTCTGAATGTTTCAGTTTAGAGATTTTCCTATACTCCATATCATGCCTGAAACAGTCACTGAATGTCTTTAAGTGCAATTCTCATTACTAGAAAATCACTGAAGCACTGGAAGGAATTGAGCTCACTGCAGTTTCAGTAAAAAAAACAAAAAACAACAATAAAAACCCAGCAAAGCTCTGCTTAAACCTAGTTTCTCTGGGGAAAGATAATTTTTCTTTCTTAGGTTTCTAGGAAAATAATACATTTGTAAATATTCATTTAAAAGTATTGTCTAAGCATAGTATAATCATACAGTTAAAATACAGCGTTTAATATTTACTTAGTATTCAGATCAAATACTAAAAGTAAGTTCTCAAAGTTTCCTAATTTATATTCAAAATTTGTCTACTGCAAGAAACATAGCTTCCTAGAAAAGACAGATGGATTCGAGTGATAAAACATTTCTACCACCAACGCTTCAACATTGAGAACGTATGGTCCAGAGTTAGTTTGTCACTCTGATGAGACATTACAAAATACATGCTCTCTCAAAGCTAAGTGCAAGAAAAAAGATTTTTTAAAAAGTTATCAAATTCTATAACAATTGCCTGAACTAAATTCCAATCAAAAGAGGAAAACACAGCATTTCTGTATTTCATGAAAATGTATTATACCCAATGAATAAGAAGTGAAATGCTACCCATGGGAGACAAATACTTTGTCAGCTAAATAGGATATTATCACTGAAACTTTGTTTAAAAAAGTTAAACAAAGATTAACTGATTTATGTGCTTCTATTTGGGTATATGCCAGATTTCTGCCTTCTAAGGCTTGAGAATTAGGTGAAAGAATACAACAGTTAAAAACATGGCTTTCAAGGAAGCTCACTTAAAGATTTTCATAGAATTAATAAAAATATTGTTTATAAGGTTGTACTGCCTTTTCCTTCTACATGTAATTTTAAAACATTGGTGATAGGGAATAATTGATTTTTTTTTTTTTTTTTTTTTGAGACGTAGTTTTGCTGACACCAGGCTGGAGCGCACTGGTGCAATCTTGGCTTACTGCAACCTTCTACTCCCTGGTTCAAGTGATTCTCTTGCCTCAGCCTCCCGAGTAGCTGGGATTACAGGCACGCGCCATCATGCCCAGCTAATTTTTGTATTTTTAGTAGAAACAGGGTTTCACCATGTTGCCCAGGATGGTCTTGATCTCCCGACCTCGTGATCTGCCTGCCTTGGCCTCCCAAAGTGCTGAGATTACAGGCGTGAGCCACTGTGCCTGGCCTAATTGTGATTAATGATCACCAGCATATGAATAAACTTGGGAAAAGTCCTAAATTTGTTTTTGTGACTATACAAAATAATGTATACACAGACAACTCAATGAGTCGTACAAAACTGTATAGCTTTGAGATAGTTAACAAGGTCACGTTAAGCCAGTTATAAACTAACTTAATAGATTGTTTAACATATCTTCATCGTATTGTCAGAAGAGATGGAGTGGAGCAGAGAATAACATAGCTCTCCTCTTTTTTCTCTTCACCCACATCCAGGGAAGAAGGTTATGGGGTAATAAAGGCTGAAACAATAGAACAGCTGGTGGTCACCTAGGTCTTCTAAAATTGGAACAATAGCCAGTGACGAATGAGAAGTTTACATGACACCAGGTTGACACATGCAGGCAGCATGGATATGGACCTTGGTCTAGGATCATTCTTTCCAAACACTGCTCACACAGACGTGTAGTAAAATTAATGGGTAGAGAGGGGCTCATTACACTCTAGTTCTGTAGACGTTTGCTGTTTTCTTGTAATATGAAGTTAGAGCAGGATGGTTCCATGATATATACAAAAGCTAGTTTAAAAAAAAACAAAAAACAAAAAAAAAAACTTTTTACTTTTTATTTTTATTTTGAGACAGAGTCTCACGCTGCCACCCAGGATAGAGTGCAGTGGCACAATCTCGGCTCACTGCAACCTCCGCCTCGCAGGTTGAAGCCATTCTCCTGCCTCAGCCTTCCAAGTTGCTGGGATTACAGACGCCCACCACCGCTCCCAGCTAATTTTTGTATGTTTAGTAGAGATGAGATTTCACCATTCTGGCCAGGCTGGTCTCGAACTCCTAACCTCGTGATCTACCTGCCTCAGCCTCCCAAAGTGCTGGGATCACAGGCGTGAGCCACTGCGCCCGGCCACAAAAAACTTGTTTTTTTAAAAAAAGGGTGGGTGGGAATAGTCACAGGTGAACAATGAAGTTCAAGGGCAGACATGGTGGCTCACGCCTATAATCCCAGCATTTTGGAAGGCCAAGGTAGGAGGTTCACTTGAGTCCAGGAGTTCAAGACCAGCCTGGGCAACATGGAGAAACCTGATCTCTACAAGACATACAAAAATTAACCAGGTGTGGTGGCGTGCGTCTGTGGTTCCAGAGCCTTAGGTGGGAAGATCATGTGAGCCCAGGAGGTTGAGGCTACAGTGAGCCGTTATTATGCTACTGCACTCCAGCCTGAGCGACAGAGTAAGACCCTGTCTCAGGAAAAAAAAAAAGGAAAAAAGCAAAAAAAGACGTTCATTCATTGGCCTTGTATTTATCAGAAATGCTTCCAAACAACTCTTGCCTGTTTCCAGAAGCAACAACCACCCTCAAGGGACCAAATTTGGCACCATGAAAGATAATGGCAGTTCCAAAATAAGAATTCTTAAAAACATTTTGAGCGATAGCTCAGAAAAAAATACCACTTTAAAATAACTTGGAAGGGGATGATATATTCAGATGTATTAGTTCTGAGATGTTAGGTGACTGGGTTTTATTATAATTTTTCAGAGGTATCATATATTCATTTTACTTCCCTCAATAAAATCAAAATGACAAGCGCATTAGTTCAAGCCAGAAACAGGAGTTAGTATAAATTAGTAGGAATTTGTATAAATTTCTATAATATCCCAAAGGATCTATATGGTGGTATACTTCTAATGGTCGATGGACAAATTCCATATACTCAAATATAATCTTATTAGTAAAGTACATTTAAAAAGATATGGGCAAAGACAGCTGTGCACAGTGGCTCATGCCTGTAATCTCAGCTCCTTCAGAGGCTGAGGCATGAGGATCACTTGAGCCCAGGAGTTCAAGTCCAGCCTGGGCAACATAGCAAGACCTTGTCTCTTAAAAAAATAAAGATACAAAGATAATCTCTTGTTTTGAGAAAATCTAAATGTCACAAGTTTTAATTTTAAAACAAGTTATAAAAAGTATTTATCTTAGTTAGCTTCAAATTTCCAATATTATGAACTCAGTGGAAATTTAAAGCAGATAAGACACCAAGGATCACAGTTCAAAGACCATCCTGCATTCTCTGATGACACACTGCTATTCCTGTATTCTTATAAAGGCCACTTCCTGTCCCATTTAACTACTGAAAGTGTCTAAATTACTTTTTATTCTAGAATTTTCATATTTTGAAAATATATGGGTTATCAGTGGGGAATTAACAATCATGATTGAAGAAAGATTATAAGATATTTGTACACTAACTTTATTCTCAGGAAAGCAAAAACTTTAAGACAAATCAGGGATAGTATCTTTTTAACCCCAGAAACCCCTAGAATCTAGCACATACTTGGCATATAATGGGTGTTTCATGAGTTAATGTGTGCTGTATGAAGTAAAATTTGAACTTCCTCGGGTTTTGCACAAGCCTGCTGTCATTTAGAATGCTTAAAATAAGCAGTCTTTCTTATAAACTTACATTATTATAGCTAAACCTTTACCTCTAAGACATGGAAAGCCCTACAAGATGCGATGTGTCTCTTCAAAGTGGCCTTTCTTGATAAAAGGCATTATTTCTTAAATTTTCCTTAGATGCACTTTAGATAAGTCTAACATAGCATTTTAAAAGCAAAGGCGTTCTCATTATGATGTGCTTCCATCTAGCTCCTGACATGAAAGCATTTTTTTTTTTTTAGGTTCAGTATCAAATATTTCATGGGAAAAGAAAATTCCTAGAACTCTCAATTTTGGTCATTAACTACATATCTCTCTTTGCAAGCTTTAAACACGGTACAGCAGAAAAAGCATGGGGTTTGGAGTCTGGGTTCTAGTCCAGCTCTGCCACTTACCAGCCATGTGACTTGGGGCAAGTTCAGTTTCCTCATCTGTAAAATGGGGATACAGTATCTCATTTAATACTCACAATAAACCCTACAATGTATGTCAAAGTGTCTAGCACAGTGCCTGGCACATGGCAGGCACTCCACAAATGTTAGTTCCCTTCCTCTTCCCCTCCTTAAGTTCTGAAAGACAACGTTCCAAGTTATGCTTATACCGTATATTAGTTAAAACGCATATAACATCCATAAATACATTTCCCCCTGGAGTTTCCCTTCTGACAAACCCAGGGAATCCAAATTTATGGCTCTTATTCCTTATTTTGTTAAAAAATATGCCTATTAAAAACTTATAAAATTATATATCGTTATATTCCTTTAGAGAATACATTAAAGATAATGTAAGATATCCTTTTCAATGTATGCAATCATTTATAATAGAACCCCAAATGGCCAAAGATATACTCTCATCAGACTGGGAAGAAGAAAACTGAAAAAAAAACCCACAAGTGAGAGTAGGAAACAAAGAAATAAATAAGAAACCCAGCCAAGTACCTATGTTGGTAACTTCCAAAGTGAAACGATTTCTCAACACCCCAAATGATGGTGATTTTATTCAATTGTTTATTAAGATATCTGTAGTACTGAGCACAAAGACTGAATAAAAAACATTTTTATATAGAGAGTTCCTGTTTTCATATGCCATTTCACAGCATGGCACTAATCCTAAATACACCTTTAAGTAAGCAGCAGAGGTTAACTTAGATGTCACACTTCTAAGTGGGGGGCTTCTATCCCTAGCTCTGGTAAGCTGCTGACATCACCACCACTGCTGTGGTTCTCTTCCTGTCTACCACCACCTGCTCCTAATACCCAGATCCTACACCTCCATGCCTGGTATCCCACACTGCCAAAAACGTTCCCTTCTCTGTGAAAATTAAACCCTACATAAAAATGGCTATTTAAGCACTGATCATTTTCAAATTTGCTACAATCACTATAACACATAGACCACATAGAATTAACTCACCAAAATATTTTCAGCTTTGAGGTATAATTGACAAAAACTGTATATACTCAAAGTGTATAATGTGATGCTTTCACATATGCATACATTATGAAATTATTACAATCCAGCTAAGTAAGTTATACATAAGGGACCTTTTAAAGTTCAGTATGTGAAAATCTATAAGTCAGTCTATATAAAAGATGGGAAATTACGAACACTGAAATTTAATGTTCCATATAATAGCAAATATATGCTCTACTGTCCTATGAGAGTAATAATAATCTATAAAAAATTCAATTTTAGGCTGGGTGTGGTGGCTCATGCCTGTAATCCCAGCACTTTGGGAGGCTGAGGCGGGTGGATCGCTTGAGGTCAGGAGTTCGAGACCAGCCTGACCAAATGGTGAAACCCTGTCTCTACTAAAAATGCAAAATTAGCCGGGTGTGTTGGTGGGTGCTTGTAATCTCAGCTACTTGGGAGGCTGAGGCAGGTGAATCGCTTGAACCTGGGAGGCAGAGGTTGCAGTGAGCCAAGATCACGCCACTGTACTCCAGCCTGGGCAACAAGAGTGAAACTCTGTCTTAAAAAAAAAAAAAAAAAAAGCCATTTTAACGACTTAAAATAATATTAACCTAACCTCATTTTATATGTTTTATAAGCAGTGTGTAGCAGCATGTACTCACGTGACACTGCATTCATGTGTCAATGTCAGGTGACTTTTGAGGAGTCACATTAATATGCTATGAGCAGAACCCGAGGATTCTGAAGACTCGAACGGGTCCACTACTTGCTAGCTTTGTAAACTTGGAAGTCATTTACCCAGTCTGACCTGGGTGTAGTTGGGCATGTATCAGTGAGAATGCCTGTAAACTGCCTTTTTTAGCATTTGAACATGGTTTCCTAGTGAGGCCTACCTGATCCCTTAACCTGTATGTCCTGTTTCTGTGTCAGTCACAATCTGATAGTTTCTTTGACAGCACTTTCTATAGTTGGTATTCATGTTTATTTGTAACATTAAGTGATTTTTTTATTTTAAAGTTTACATAAATGCAAAGTATATTTTATTAGAATATAAATGAATAAATATATTTGCCTAATATATTCATATAAACAGGGCAAAGTGAAATAAATATCCCAAATTACATTTCGTTATGCATTTTTCAAAAGTAGTAGGAAAATAACATGAGTAATTTCCAATTTCACCCTGCAGATTTGGTTTACTGAATCTTAAGGTAGATAAATGCCTTGTTATTTTCACTTCCAAAGTGATTATAACTTGTTCAGTTACCAACTTCAAGAAGCTGTCACACCTAAATGAAATTATTCTTTTTTGTTGTTGTTGAGACGGAGTCTCGCTCTGTCACCCAGGCTGGAGTGCAATGGCACTATCTCAGCTCACTGCAACCTCCACCTCCCAGGTTCAAGTGATTCTTCCGCCTCAGCCTCCCGAGTAGCTGGGATTACAGGCATATGCCACCACGCCCGGCTAATTTTTGTATTTTTGTGGAGATGGGCTTTCACCATGTTGGCCAGGCTGGTCTTGAACTCCTGACCTCAGGTGATCAGCCCACCTCGGTCTCCCAAAGTGCTGGGATTACAGGCGTAAGCCACCACGCCCAGCCTCGAAATTATTCTTTTATGTAAATATTTTTAAGCAAAAATAATTGCTAATAGCCTCCTTTCACAAAGGTGATATATATCCTTATTCTCATGCATCAAATATTAACTAAGACACTAGTTTTCCAAATTTGTTGGAAAGTTTGTTTTAAACAATGCAGAAATCCAGCCAGAATGCAACGTCAGAATGCAACGTCAGACTCAGAGTCTAAAAGATAGGAAATTATGCTCCTAACAGAATCAGTTTATGAATAAAACAAAGGCAATTTCTAATAAAAATGTAAATTATGCCCCACAAAATCAATAATATAATCCCATAAACTATAGTCATTTACTTTTTTTTTTTTTTTGAGATGGAGTCTCGTTCTGTCACCCAGGCTGGAGTGCAGTGGTGCAATGTTGGCTCATTGCAATCTCTGCCTCCCGGTTTCAAGCCATTCTCTTGCCTCAGCTTCCCGAGTAGCTGAGATTACAGGCGCGTGCCACCACGCCTGGCTAATTTTTGTATTTTTAGTAGAGACGGGGTTTCACCATGTTGGCCAGGCTGGTCTTGAACTCCTGAGGTTGTGATCCGCCCGCCTTGGCCTCCCAAAGTGCTGGGATTACAGACGTGAGCCACCGCGCCCGGCCAGTCATTTGCTTTTAATATTTCACTTCATGATCCTGTAGGTAAATGCTGCTAATATCTTTTCCAGGCCAGCCATTAGTGCTAGGAGCCTGATTTTGGTCTAGATCAAAGTTTTTCAAACTGTAAGCTGTAGACCATTAATGGGTCAAAAAGCAAATTTCATGGGTCAAGAATAGCATTTTAAAAAAAGGACAGAAAAGGAATTATGGGTACATCATATTTTGTAAGGATAAGAATTATGTCTGAAACTTGTTTTATATAAATGTAGGGTACATACACACATAGGTCCACTTTGCCGTGATAATTAACGTGGGTCATGGTTGAAAAGTTTGCAAGCCACTAATCTAGATCTACTTGGTCTGCCGATCCATAGGGTTACCTCAGAACTGAGAGCCCAGAGGTCTGGTTCCTAAAGCTACTCTACTACACCTTCAAAAAAGTCCCTTAACCCTGTGCTCTTCTGGCTTTAAAAAAATAAAGTAAAATGAGGCCGAGCGCGGTGGCTCACGCCTGTAATCCCAGCACTTTGGGACGCCGAGGCAGGCGGATCACGAGGTCAGGAGATCGAGACCATTCTGGCTAACACGGTGAAACCCCGTCTCTACTAAAATACAAAAAAACAAAATTAGCCGGGCGTGGTGGTGGGCACCTGTAGTCCCAGCTACTCGGGAGGCTGAGGCAGGAGAATGGCGTGAACCCGGGAGGCCGAGCTTGCAGTGAGCCAAGATCCAGCCACTGCACTCCAGCCTGGGCGACAGAGCGAGACTCCGTCTCATAAAATAAATAAATAAATAAATAAATAAATAAATAAATAAATAAATAAATAAAGTAAAATGAAATAAAATTTATTACTCATTTTTCAAATAGCACTGATTCTGTAAGAAATGACCAGATTTTTAAAAATATGATTTCCAAAGGCAAAATCAGGTCTTGTGAAAAAGTGTTTTAAGTTGTTTGACATTTTAAAGTTTCAGCATTTTGAAAAGTTTAAATTGGAAAAGGAAAATCAATCATGTGTAGCATTATTGGTAAAACTGTGAAAAAAACTTTCAAGGATGTTATGTTCATTCTGTAAAAACAAATGTCAAAAATGTTTGTTTATTTATATGTAGTGGTTAAAAGTATACAGCATTGCCAAGGAGGGCGGATCACGAGGTCAGGAAATCGAGACCATCCTGGCTAACACGGTGAAACCCCGCCTCTATTAAAAATACAAAAAATTAGGCGGGCGCCTGTAGTCCCAGCTACTTAGGAGGCTGAGGCAGGAGAATGGCGTGAACCTGGGAGGCGGAGCTTGCAGTGAGCCAAGATCGCGCCACTGCACTCCAGCCTGGGCGACAGAGCGAGACCCCGTCTCAAAAAAAAAAAAAAAAAAAAAAGTACACAGCGTTTTCACATCATTTTATTTATTTTTTGTTATGAGTCTTATGCTTAGACAAGTCAAAGGGGTAATAGGAATGAAAGGCTTGGTAAAGAAAGATATTAACCAATAATTTTTAGAAAATATATGTACAAAAGTGCCTTCTGGTTCTAAGAATCATATGACATGCAGTGTTTGAGATGATTTTAAGTTCATCTATGTCTTATAATAAATTCATCATTTGAGTTCTGCAGTCTATAGCATCTCTAGAACTTCACAAAACTTCGAGAAAAAAATAGTTCCTCAAGACAGTTTTAAAAACAATGTAATACAGGTTTTACTTACTCAAGACAATCCAATGTTCCTATCCACAAAGAGGGCTGAGACCCATTAACTTCGAAGAGCTAAATTGTAGTGAAGTTGTTTAAAACTCTTAATTCAACTGCAAATTCAGTACTGTATTACAAACAAGACCACTGAATAAACAACACTGCAAGCACACAAAGGTTATTAGTAACTAAGTCTTCCAAAATCACTCTTTGTTACTGAGAAAAGCAAACCTAGTGAAAAATTACCGATTACAAATTTAAATACCAGAGGCTGGGAGAACAAGTAAAAGACAAGCACTTCCCTGACTGAACACTAGAGGAGCTCTGAATCGCAAGTTCCTATAGATGGAGTAAGAGGATGGAGTAAGAGTAAAGAACCCGCCAGCTTATACAATACATAATCCATTTCTCACCAGGCGCATGCAGGGACGGCCTCAGTAGGAGGCTCGATCTTACCACTAAGCTGGCCAGACAACTCCTGAGTTCTGTTCATGCATTACAGTTTCATGACGTGTTTCCCTCTTCAAGCAGACAACCACTTCAAAAGAAATGTTAAAGTAGGGCTAACAAGAAAAGCTATTCAGTCTAAAAGGCAGCTTGGAGGCAGAGGCAGTGGTGAGCTAGTTAACTCTAAATCTGTCAGCAGCATTTTACAAAGCGGAAAGGAACTGACTAAATCACAACATGACTCGGAGCTGACGTCAATGTGCAGCTCGCTTGGAGTTTTAACTTTTCCACTTCCCCTGCTGAAATACGATTCCAGGAAATGTAATGACATCAGCCTTTTGAACTCAATTAGCTGAACAGACCATTTTAAATACAGGAGGAAAGAAACAAGTAGGCACACAAACATCCATAACACGCGGGTTTTTCCTATTCTGTTTGGAGCTGCATTTGTCCACAGTAATGAAATCAGAACATGAACGGTATATACTGTATGTTTAATCTGCGGCTAGATTGAATTTGCAACAGGTTGCCTATGAAGTAACAGCTTATTTTAGTAGGGCAGAATGGTATGCATATGAAAGAGAGACACAGAGATGGAGGAGAGGGGAAGAGAAGAGGAGGGGAAGAGTGGGGAGGAGGGGAGGGAGGATAGAGGGAGGAAGAGAGGATTAGTGCCTCAGTCAAGCAAGCAATAGAATATTGAGCAAAGAAACAATCACACTAAGATGCCCTAACAAAGTGAGCTGAATATATAGATGTATATTTCAAAAAAAGTCTTACACCTAAGTGACTAGGAGAGTAACACTTTCTGAAACACTCAGATGTTCCTGAATACTTCCTAAACTTCAAAACAATCTGCACAATTAACTGAAAACCCCTCTTTAACATTCTTACCTGTGTCATCTCCAGTTACAGCCATAATGGGCTTCTGCAGACAGAACTGTCTTGTTTCCTCTACCACAGTTCAACATAAAGTGTTCCAAATTAGCAAGCATGTGCAGGATAAGCAGGAGGACTGACATCACAATGACATCACTAGCCTATCACTGCCATCAATTTGCTTTGTCACAGGCGAGCTCACTGAAACCCAAGCCCTATAAAAACTCTTCCTGTAATAAACCATCTTAATGCTCTTGTTTCTCATTTTTACATAGAAATCTGTTTGAGGTGGGCTCTAGCAAATAATAATAATAATAATAATAATAATGTCTCTTTTAGCATTAAAAGTTACATGATTGTATCTTACAGGGCTACTTCTTTATTATTGTTGTGTCCAAGGCTTCTAGGTAAACTAAGGGAGAATAAACCCAACATAATTTCCTAACTCATAAGAGAAAAAACACTTGGAGATTTAAAAAAAAAAAAAACACATTGACTATCAGCAAAGAAATACCATATTTCATAGTCACTTCTAAACTCACCAAGAAATATCCAGCCACCTGTGTTCACTTAACATTTTTATTTGCTGAGCCATTTGCTACACCATCAAAAAATCCAACTCTTCCTAAGGTGATACAGAATTTGCTACTTTCACTTAAAGGGAGTAGATAATTAAATTTTAAAAATTCACTGTGCCAATGGAGCAAGTATTATGTAGTATTCTCCCATAACTACTAGATTGAATCACATGAACTTGCTGATATTTGAACTTTCTGGCCTACAAAAATAGCAGTTTCATGTGATTCAATCTAATACCTTATTTTCCCAGATTAAAACCCCCTGAAAAGACATTTGGGATTTTTAAAATTCATAAATAAATCAAAATTACTATTTGTACATTTTTTTTAAATGTCAAATTTTATTTGGATCACTTAATGAAGGCTTGGCACATAGAGAGCTGGATCATTATAGGAAATTCAGTGATTATAAGGTTAGACACAAAAATGGGCGAATGTTCAACCATAGAACAGACCATAGCCTGGAAAAAAATTATTGGCATTTCCACTGCAAAAAAATAAGTGACATGCCACTGAGACCTTTTGTCTTTTTTTTTTTTTTTTTTTTTTTTTTTGAGATGAAGTCTCGCTATTCTCCCCCAGGCTGGAGTACAAAGGTGCAATCTTGGCTCACTGCAACCTCCGCCTCCTGGGTTCAAATGATTCTCCTGCCTCAGCTTCCCAAGTAGCTGGGATTACAGGTGCCCACCATGCCTGGCTAATTTTTGTATTTTTAGTAGAGACGGGGTTTCACCATGTTGGCCAGGCTGGTCTCGAACTCCTGATCTCAGGTGATCCACCCACCTCAGCCTCCCAAAGTGCTGGGATTACAGGTGTGAGCCACCGCACCCAAAGCCCTTTCCCTTGTATGATTAGAATTCAACCCAACCTTATGTCAATGAAAGGACATCCCACCACATTTTAGCTGTATTTAATTTAATCATCTTCCAGTAAAGGTAAGGACTTTACACCTCAGATGCTCAGGAGGTAAAGTTTCAGGGAGTGTCCATGTTTCTAGTAATTCTCCAGGATACCTGACAATGGGGTTAGGGTTTCAATTCAGCTGAAGATATCTTGGCTGAGTAAGGAACCCTGGATGGTCACCTAGACATCAACCTCAATCTGGGGCTCCAGCAGGGACTCTTTGCTGTCCCAGTCACACCTGAGGGTTTGGGTCCAAGAATGCTATTAGTAAATTTTATTTCAAATTTCAGAAAATCAATAAGAAATTGATTTTTATGTCAGCATTTCTTTAAATTGGCACATAGATGCTCAATAAATATTGGTGTGAAAAAAAAGGCAAGGAAGGAAAGAAAGAAGGGAAATGGGTTGCTTAGTTGATTACTGCTCTTAGTAGTTTTAATGTATTCCCTGGACCAGTTAATCTCAAGTCAATCAGCACACAGAACAAATCACATTTTCAGAGGAAGAACAGTTCACTTTCATTTGGTAAATGCTTACTGAACATTTATCACATGCCAGGGTCTGTGCTAGGTATTTGTCCAAATAGAACTTACCATCTAGCAAGACAGAGAGCCACAACACAACATGATATGTGCCTAAGGAAGTACAGTAGGAACTCACAGAAGGTTGCCTAAGCCAGATGTGGAGGATGGGCAAGGCTTCCTCGGGGAACGTATTCTTATCAGGCAATCGGTATGTGTGAAGAAGGCCCTGGAGGGAGAGAGGGCATGGCCTATCCCAGGAAATGAAAGAAAGAGCTGTATTACAAAAGAGGGAGAAGTGGAGAGGTAGGCAGCTATTAAAGAATGCAAGGCTTGGATCAAGCAAAGATTTGGGCCACATGAAAGATTTGGAGCTTTGTCTAACAGGTCACAGACATTGATGGATGCTTTTGAGTGGATGCTATAGACTGAATGTTTGTATCCCCACCCAATTTCCTCTGTTGAAATCCTCACCTCCAATGCAATAGTATTTGGAGGTGGAACCTCTGAGAGGTGATGAGGTCATGAGGGTGACACCCTTGTGAACAGGATTAGTGCCCTTATTAAAAAGACCCCAGACACCAGGTGTGGTGGCTCATGCCTATAATCGTAGCACTTTAGGATGCCGAGATGGACGGATTACCTAAACTCAGGAGTTCAAGACCAGCCTGGCCAACATGGTGTAACCCCGTCTCTACTAAAAATACAAAAATTAGCTGGGCATGGTGGTACATGCCTGTAATCCCAGCTACTCGGGAAGCTGAGGCAGGAGAAATGCTTGAGCCCAGGAGACAGAGGTTGCAGTGAGCTAAGATCACATCACTGTGTTCCAGCCTGGCCAAGAGAGTGAGACTCTGTCTCAAAACAAAACAAAACGAAACAAAACAAAACAAGTGCAATGCAGTAATGGAGATGTTGGGGGCAAGAAACTGCTGTTTTTAAGAACTATCAGTGGCTCCCAGAATCACTGTGAGGAATGAAGAGTTTAGCTGAACTTTCAGGAACAATTCCCAAAAAACTGAGCCAAGAAGGGAGCTGCTGCCTCTGGCATGATTAGGAGGATCAGAAAGCTGTTCCACAATAGCCAGCTTCCGGTGGCTGCCGGAGACTGTAGCCCACAGGGGTAGCCTGGGTCAGAGGGATAGCACCCAGGCCAGGGCCAGGGCCAGGACAGAGGGCTGTGGAGTGGCAGAAGCATTCATGGCTCAGCCAGGCAGAAGAATCTACACAGTGACTTTGAATGGAGACTGGGAAGAATACTGGACAACACCTAGGTTTCTGGCATCAAGGATAGTAGTGGTCAATCACTGAAGATAGGAAGAGTGGATTTTAGGAGTCAGAGGTATGTGTGGCCATCTAAGGAACCAGCTGGAGTCAGGACATAGTCACAGTGAACTGAAGCCAGCGTGGGAGGGAGTCCTTCAGGGAGGGAGCTCAGCAGGAAGAGGGTGGGGGAGTGAGCCTGAGGATCACTGAAACACTCAGGACAGGGGCAGGGGAAGCTTAGCCCAGCAACAGGACTGACAGAGAAGCAGCAGAGAGAGAAGAGCAAGGAGGACACAGTCTCAGGAAGTGGAGGAAGCAGAAGTCGACAGTGTTAAATACTGCTGAGGCATCAGCCAAGACAGGCACTGAGAATCCACAAAGAAGCTGACAGGGCCCTTCAGTGAGATGAAGGGAGAAGGAGGGCAGGGAACACTGCCACTAAGTTCAGGAAGACAAGAATGCCCACTGGCCTTGCTGTGTTTAAACTGGAGCTCCTGGCCATGATTATTTAAGGAAAAGAAAAAAAGAGAAAAAGAAAACAGGAATAAAGATTGGAAGGGAGGAAACAAAACATCACTATTTGTATAAACATTCACATAGGATCACAGACCGAATCACAAAGAATCAGTAAATTATTAGAAGTAATTAGAGTTCAGCAAAGTTAATAGATAAAAGATCGACTTAAAATAATCCGTATTTCTCTACACCAGCAACAATTAGAAAATACAATACAAAATAAGGTACCATTGTAATGGCAACAAAACCCATAAAGTACTTAGGAACCAACTAAAGAAAGAATATGCAAGATCTCCGTGAAGAAAAATGTTCAACTGTTCCCTAAAACTTAAAGTATAATAAATAAATAAATAAATAAAAAGAAAAATGTTCAACTGTTAAAAGAAGTAAAATGAGATCTGAATAAACAAGACTTTCTATGGTTTGGGATAGGTCAACTTAACATTATGAAGACTTCAGCTCTCCCTAAATTAAATGCAGTCTTGGCTGGGCATGGTGGCTCATGCCTGTAATCCCAGCACTTCGGGAGGCTGAGGTGGGCGGATCATGAGGTCAGGAGATCGAGACCATCCTGGCGAACATGGTGAAACCCTGTATCTACTAAAAATACAAAAAAATTAGTCGGACATGGTGGCAGGCGCCTGTAGTCCCAGCTACTTGGGAGGCTGAGGCAGAAGAATGGCGTGAACCCGGGAGGTGGAGCTTGCAGTGAGCCATCGTGCCACTGCACTCCAGGCAGGGCAACAGAGCGAGACTCCATCTCAAGAAAAAAAAAATTAATGCAGTCTCATCATTGGTTTTATTATTATTATTATTACTACTACTATTTAGAAACTCAAACTTATTCCAAATGCATATGAAAGAATAATCGTGCACAAAAAACTAACTCTGTATCAAACTGAGAAAAAAGACAAGGGGAACTTGTTTTATGAGATAACAAACATGTATGGCGCTGGGATTCAGAAAAAGATGAATCAGACAGAAGACTGGCCAGATCCAGGTGCAAAAGCAAACCCACTGTCTAATTAAGGCTGCCCCATACACCAGTGAGGAAACAACAAACCCTTGGGAGTGGCTCCATATACGGAGAAAAAAGTTAAAAATGAATTCCCACCAAATACTATATACAGAAGTGAAGCCCAGATACATTAAAGACATAAATGTGAAAGGTAAAACCATAAAGCAAATAGAAGAAAATGTGGAAAAAAATCTTTGTGACTTGTGGAAGAAAATTCTTAAAAACCCCAAGGCACAAACTTACGTGCATATTGTGTAAAACATTAAAAATTCTCAAAACTCTGTTGTTTGCAGTAGATTCTTCCATGTAACAAAGATAAAATGAGAAGAAATAATTATTCTTTAAGATTATTCACCTAGACATAAATATGGTCCATGAGTATGGGGGGAATAGAACAGGTGGCTTTCATTTTACATTTCAAGAAAACATTAAAGTACTGGGTTTGTACTATGCATTTTTTACTCCATAAATGCCACCACCTCAGTTCTTCACACACTTTTACCATAGTCCACATTAACCCCCAAAATACCTGAGTATAATTATCAAGAGACTCATCAATTATAATATGCTTATCATACCTGCAAGACATTCGAACTAAAATAACTGATTTTACTTTCCTTAACGTTAGTGCTGCCTGTAATCCCAGCACTTTGGGAGGCCAAGGTGGGTGGACTGCCTGAGCTCAGGAGTTCACGACCAGCCTGGGCAATACGGTGAAACCCCGTCTCTACTAAAATACAATAAATTAGCCGGGCATGGCGTTATGCACCTGTAGTCCCAGCTACTCGGGAGGCTGAGGCAGAAGAATTGCTTGAACCTGGGAGGCGGAGGTCGCAGTGAGCCGAGATCGCGCCACTGCACTCCAGCCTGGGCAACAGAGCGAGACTCTGTCTCAAAAATAAATAAATAAATAAATAAATAAACAAACAAACAAACAAGCAAGCAAATTTTTAAAAAATAGTGCTATATCCTAAATCCTAAGCGAATGGACCAAGAGGAATAGAATTCAATTAAAACACAGGAGTTTTGAAAGCTGTATTAAATACATCTATTACAGTTATCATAGGCACAACTGAATTAAAATAATGTATAACGCAAATCCAGTTGAAATCTCAGGTAACCCTAAAAGCTTAGGGCTACATCTCAACTTTTATTTCATTACTGACAGCTTCCATAAGAGCTAGAATGGATACTTCAGAATTCAAACAACTAAGAACAGTCAGTCAAAAAAACAAACAAACAAAAAAAAACAAAAAACCCAAAGTCAGCATTTGTTTTGAAATGAGTTGCCTAGAAATTAGACTTGAAAGTAACAGCTAGGGAAAAAAACAAATTTGGGGCATCATAGCCTGAATACTTAAATTGTCATAGATTAGGTAATAGAAATCTATTAGGTACAACATTTGCAACCCCCAAATGAAGGATATCTAAT
Source organism: Homo sapiens (assembly GCF_000001405.40). Classification (NCBI taxonomy): domain Eukaryota; kingdom Metazoa; phylum Chordata; class Mammalia; order Primates; family Hominidae; genus Homo; species Homo sapiens. Next base: position 35,188,995 of record NC_000010.11, on the reverse strand, counting down.
TAATTTAAAAATTCATTCATGTGGCCGGGTGCGGTGGCTCACGTCTGTAATCCCAGCACTTTAGGAGGCTGAGGCCTCCACCTGAGGTCAGGACGACTCCATCTGAGGTCAGGAGTTTGAGACCAGCCTGCCCAACATGGTGAAACCCCGTCTCTACTAAAAATACAAAAATTAGCCAGGCGTGGTGGCTCATGCCTGTAATCCCAGCTCCCCGGGAAGCTGAGGCAGAAGAATCACTTGAACCCAGGAGACAGGTTGCAGTGAGCCGAGATCACGCCATTGTACTCCAGCCTGGGCGCCAGAGCGAGACTCCATCTCAAAAAAAAAAAAAAAAAATTCATTCATGTTTCTATCTCTCTTTTTCTATCATGCTACTCTGAATTTGGCCTTTCTCCAGAGCCAGTAAAACCTGCTAAAAGGCGAAAAATGATAAAACTTAATTTGCTGTTTAATGTATTAAAATATTTCTTCTGTAAGCCTTTTTAAGTGCCTCCCAACCCCCCACCATCTACCTTCGATCTATTTCAAAAAACTATAAAATCACCACTCAATGGTGTGATATAGTAATCCATAGGTATTCTAAATGTATTAGATTAATAAAATATACCTTGAACAACAACCTGGCTGCCTGGGACAAAGAACTGCTGTGTGCCATCAGCTGATTGTGCTGCGTACTGTACAATTGTAGCACCTGGTGGAGGAGCTCCTGAATTTGTCATTGTTAATGCCTGCAGTCCCTGAACACCATCAGATCCTGGGTTAGAAATCTGGATTGTTCCACCTTGGGCTATAGCAACTTAACAGAAAAAGAAAAGAAATATTAGAGAATTTCAAGATTTATTTTTAATAATCCCCTATTGGAAGAATATACTCTGGGTCTATTTATTACCATTGCTTCTTTCTCAGGTTACCCTTATTTTCTATGCTGAATTGAGAAGGAAGATCAGCTTCGTCATGGGACGATACTCTAGGAAAAGCTTATAAACACTTGAAAATATTTTATATTCAGAAATGTTTGAGATTCATAGAGCCCATGGAGTGTTCCTCCTCCTTAGCATCCAGCTGACTACATCACTCAAGAGGAAGAGTGGAGAAGGAGACAGGGAGAGTCCAGCTTCCTGGTTTTCTCCATTCTCTCAGATGTTTTTCCTTATAAACACCATTCTTCTACCATTTAAAATTCCCATTTAAGGCCAGGTGTGGTGGCTCATGCCTGTGATCCCAGCACTTTGGGAGGCCAAGGCAGGAGGATCACTTGAGCCCAGGAGTTCAAGGCCAGCCTGGGCAACACAGGAAAACCCTGTCTCTAAAAAAAGAAAAGAAAAGAAAAGAAAAATTCCCATTTAATATTGCAATTAAAATGAATTTCTACCTTCATTCAGCTAACTACTTTTCTGATTTGTCATCAAAAGAAAGTAGTTTTTAAGAAATATATAGGCAAGGTGCAGTGGCTCACGCCTGTAAACTTAGGACTTTGGGAGGCCAAGGTAGGCAGATCACCTGAGGTCAGGAGTTTGAGACCAGCCTGATCAATATGGTGAAACCCCGCCTCTACTAAAAATACAAAAATTAGCCAGGTGTGGTGGCAGGTGTCTGTAGTCCCAGTTACTCGGGAGGCTGAGACAGGAGAATCACTTGAACCCGGGAGTTGGAGGTTGCAGTGAGCTGAGATTGCGGCACTGCACTCCAGCCTGGGCAACAGAGACTCCATCTAAAAAAAAAAACCAACATACATATAATTATATATGTTATATATAATTATATATTTTATATATATAAATATATAATATATATTATATATTAATATATTTATATATTAATATTAATATATAATATATATTATATATATTATATATTAATATATTAATATATTTATATATTTATATAATATATATCATATATATTATATATTATATATATTATTATATTAATTATATATATTAATTATATATAATATATATTATATGTGATATATATTATATATTATATTATATATAATATATAATATATATCACATATAATATATAAATTATATATTTATATATATAATTTATATTGTATTTATATATAACATATATTTTAATAATTATTATATTTTTATAATTATTTATATTTTATATATAATATATAATTATATATAACATATATACGTATATATACCTATATATGTATATATGTTATGTACAATTATATATAACATAATTATGTTATATATAATTTGTTATATATTATATATAACTATATATAATTATAACTATATATAATTATATATAGTTATATATGTTGTATATATGACCAAAATTTTTAATATATATTTATTATAATTATATATGTCATATGTTATATATAACTATATAATTTACATATATTATATATTTATATATAAATATATATAAAAACATATTTTGGTTATAAAGCTAAAGTCTAGAAAACTGTAACCTTTGCCATTTTGTCTATGTCAGGAGAATCCTGAAATATAAATTGTCAAGTTGCAAAGGTCCTTAAAAAGTAACTGTTACTAAAAGGATTTGTGCTACAATATTTACCTCTACCAAGTATCTCAAGTAACTACAGCTAATGGCAACAAATAGGAAGTAGATTTCCTTTAAATACTGAGATCTGCCAGTCATGTTTAAAAGTTAACATATTAATTGACTTGAAGCTTCCAAAGAATAACTGATCAAACGTTTTGTTTCAAAATTTCACTCTAATAGACAAGTATTATTTAAAATATCTGAAAGGTCTGTATATTTTAACATAAAGATTCCAACTGCATGCTTCAAACAGTAGATATTAAATGGTACCAGAGGCTATGCTTTTTAAAAAATCACATATAAACTAGCTAACTAGGCTTTACAATGAAGATTTTAAAAACACATCACCAGAATAACATGACATCTATACATCAATGTAAATACCTTACAGTAGCGTAACAGTAGTGTTTAAAATACACTCTGAATATTTTCAAGTCATTTCCAAACGTTTTTAAAGGCATCTAGGCAAAAAAGCACTTAGGCGATAACCTGATAGGACAAACCTATGAGAATTATGGAAAGAGTAACAACAACAAATTTTCACTTCTTTCACCTAAGGTGCCAGTGTCTACACAGGAAGATAGATTAACATTTTTAAAAAGACTTCCACATGCTGCGTTCTCTGTGTTTTATTTCACTGACAGGCCAGTGTGGCAGAAACTGAAGAGTCAGTTACAGAATGTCAATAGAACTGAGGTTGAGACACCCTGATGTAACAGCACTTTATCTGGCTCACCTAGAGCAGTTATTTTCTGTACACACTTTAAAAACAGGGTATTTTTAAACCATGGCTTTCCAAAGATTTCATGGGTCTCAGGATTCAGCCCTCATAGTAAAAGGGTTTGAGAGAGATCTAACTAACTTCTTACAAGTATGAAAATGTCAAAAGACACTGCTTTCTTGGCCCCTTGTGGCTAGACATGAGTAAATTGTGTATGTTTTCATATATTTGAATGTGTATTTTTCAGTTGATAATTAGTTTGATGTCACAGAAATAGTGCTTTAGAAAGAGCAGCCCAAGGTCAGGTAACCACAGTGTATTAGAAGTACAAAGCCTAGGCCGGGCGCGGTGGCTCACATCTGTAATCCCAGCACTTTGGGAGGCCGAGGTTGGTGGATCACCTGAGGTCAGGAGTTCAAGACCAGCCTGACCAACAAGGAGAAACCCCGTCCCTACTAAAAATACAAGAAATTAGCCAGGCGTGGTGGTGCATGCCTGCAATCCCAGCTCCTCGGGAGGCTGAGGGAGGAGAATCGCTTGAATCTGGGAGGCGGGGGTTGCGGTGAGCAGAGATTGCACCATTGCACACCAGCCTGGACAAGAGCAAAACTCCGTCTCAAAAAAAAAAAAAAAAGAAGTACAAAGCCTAGAACAGAGCAGCCACTCAAAAAATAGAATGAATGAATGAATGAATGAATGAATGAATGGCTATCATTTCCTCATGACAGATGATATTATAAAAAACTTAAGCCCCCTGTGAATCTAGGAGAGTTAAATGAGGTATGGTTTCAAATTCCAATCATAGAACCTAGTTTTTCAACACCAAATTATCAAGCTTTTAAATAACGATCAAGTCAATCTGAGGTGAGAGTAGCTGCCTCAGGGTAAGAACCCCTAAATAGGTAGATAACAAAGACCTTTACTTCCTTTTTTCTCTTTCTTTTTGCTTTACTCGTTTCCTTTTTTCTTTTCAGTAATGTTTCCCCACAGTTCTGATCAAAAAACTTTGTTTTCACAATATGAACAGCTGACACATCAAGAATCTGTTTCTCATTTTATTTTCTGGGGAAGTCATTATATAATTAGATATGGAAAACAAAAGCTAAACAAACACACACACACACCCCTCACACACTGGCTCTAGTGAGAAAACATTTCTACTGATTAAGTCAGGCACGTCAGCCTCATTTTCATTTTTATGCCAAAGGTGCTCTTGATTTTGTTGTTATCAAATGACAGAGGACCTTCCCATTGAAAATGTTCTCTCTCATCTGACAATAAACAAAATTTCCCAGTGCCTCAGGATCCTGGAAATAGGTTTTACGTGGGCCTGTCTGTATTCAGAGATTTGAGGAGAAAACTGTTTAGGTTTCAAAATAGTCAAGGATAGCATAACATGTGCTTTCAATAAACATAAATCAAGATAGAAAAAATAAGATGAAATTAACTGAATGAATTTAGACATATCTTCTATTTTAGCTATTTATTTAAGAGATGGGGTCTTGCTGTGTTGCCCCACATCCTGATATTGGTCTAGCTGGTCTTAAACTGCTAGGCTCAAGCAATCCTTCTGCCTCAGCCTTCTGAGTAGCTGGGACTACAGGCACAAACCACCAAGCCTGGCGATGTTATACACTTCTTATTTATTTATTTGTTCATTTATTTTGAGATGGACTTTCACTCTTCTCGCCCAGGCTGAAGTGCAATCGTGTGATCTCAGCTCACTGCAACCTCCACCTGCTGGGTTCAAGCGATTCTCCTGCCTCAGCCTCCAAAGTAGCTGGGATTACAAGTGTGCACCACCACACCCGGCTAATTTTGTATTTTCAGTAGAGATGGGGTTTCACCATGTTGGCCAGGCTGGTCTCGAATGCCTGACCTCAGGTGATCCGCCCACCTCAGCCTCCCAAAGTGCTGGGATTACAGGCGTGAACCATCACGCCCGGCCCATGTTATATACTTCTAATCCTAAATTTATACACATGAGCTAATTAAAATACATACACATGTAAATGTTTATATTTAAAACCACTCTTGTTCCAAATTGCAATCCAAAGATTCATAAATGAAATCTCACTGCATTAACTTTAAAAACAGCAGCAAACAGACCTTTGTTCCAATGAATTCTCAGGTTTAAATTCAGAGTGACCATAAGAGAGCACCTATGAGTACTTGTACCTTAAAAGCCAAGAGGTGCATTATAGCAGAAGGAAGACTAAATCATGCTATAACAACAATAGCAACATCAAAGTTTAAAAGCCAGAGTTACATTAAGTAGTGCCTTAAAAAATTTTGAAACAGTTGCCTTAGAGAAATGTAAACAACGTCACTATTAAGAACTGCAACTGGATTAACTTTCGAATGTGTAAGCCTATTATGTTCTAATTCCCTTTATGAAGAAGTTGAATTGGTGCTTATTCGTGAGCCTCCTGAGAATTCTGAATTCTTATAAGGAGTCCACAAAGTTCATATTTTTCTTTTCATAATGGTGCAGTTTAGATTGACCCACTTACCTTTCATGTATAAGAATTCCAGAAAGATGAGTTAATACTCTAATAAGATTCCTCGTAAAATACAATAGGCACAAGCAGAGACAAGGGCCATTTGTGGGAAAAAAACTGAAGTCTTGGGTGATAGTCTTTAATTGGTACAGGAAGAGGTTGGGTATAGTAGGATGGAGGATTTAAGTAACCTTTGTTTCAAGAGGAAATTTAATGAATTAGGAAGCTTCAAACATTTTAATTTCCTCGGTTGCTTTTACAAATTCACTCATTTACTGCCTATCTTAACTGTCTCATGCAGCAAGTAACATTCTTTGTTAATTCTAAGGCTGTCTCTCTCCCGCCATCTCTCGGGTATATGCTTCTGAAATAAAAGACTTTCTTCGACCAGCTCAACTGTTATGCAACACACCTATCACTAAGATCTGTACTTCCAGTG